>NC_000005.10:175458293-175761324 GCF_000001405.40 Homo sapiens | reverse complement strand
CAAACTTCTGCCTGGACATCCAGCAATTTCCATACATCCTCTGAAATCTAAGTGGAGGTTCCCAAACCTCAGTTCTTGACTGCTGTGCCCTCGCAGGCTCAACACCACGTGGAAGCTGCCAAGACTTGGGGCTTGCACCCTCTGAAGTCATGGCCTGAGCTGTACCTTGGCCCCTTTTAGCCACAGCTGGAGCAGCTGGAATGCAGAGTACCGTGTTCTGAGGCTGCACACAGTAGAGGGGGGGCCTGGCCCTGGCCCATGAAACAATTTTTTCCTCCTATGCCTCCAAGCCTGTGATGGGAGGAGCTGCTGCAAAGGTCTCTGACATGCCCTGGAGACATTTTCCCCATTGTCTTGGTGGTTAACATTGGGCTCCTCATTACTTATGCAAATTTCTGCAGCCAGCTTAAATTTCTCCCCAGAAAATGGGTTTTTCTTTTCTATTGAATCATCAGGCTGCAAAGCTTCTAAACTTTTATGCTCCGATTCCTCTTGAACACTTTGCTACTTAGAAATTTCTTTCACCAGATACCCTAAATCATCGCTCTCAAGTTCAAAGTTCCATAGATCTCTAGGGCAGGAGCAAAATTTTGCCAACCTGTTTGCTAAAGCATAACAAGAGTCACCTTTGCTCTAGTTCCCAACAAGTTTCTCATCTGCATCTAAGACCTCCTCAGCCTGGACTTCATTGTCCATATCACCATCACCATTTTGGTCAAAGCCATTCAACAAGTTCCTAGGAAGTTCCAAACTTTCCCACATTTTCCTGTCTTCTGAGCCCCCTAAGTATCTAAGAAGTTCAAAACTTTCCCACATTTTCTTGTCTTCTGAGCTCTCCAAACTGTTCAACCTCTGCCTGTTACCCAGTTCCAAAGTCACTTCCACATTTTCAGGTACCCTTACAGCACCACCTCACTCTCTGTAGTACCAATTTACTGTATTAGTCTGTTCTCATGCTGCTAATAAAGACGTACCTGAGACTGGGTAATTTTTAAAGAAAAGAGGTTTAATTGACTCAGTTCAGCATGGATGGGATGCCTCAGGAAACTTACAATCATGGCAGAAAAGGAAGCAAAGTTGTCCTTCTTCATTGCATCAGGAAGGAGAAGTGTGAGCAAAGTCAGGGGAAATCCCCTTATAAAACCATCAGATTTCATGAGAACTCACTCACTATCACAAGAACAGCATGAGGGTAACCACCCCCATGATTCAATTACCTCCCAACAGGTCCCTCCCATGACACATGGAGATTATGGGAACTACATTTCAAAATGAGATTTGGGTGGGGACACAGCCAAACCATTTCACACCATTTTAGTTGTGCCCCAAATTTTGATATGCTGTGTTTCCATTTTTATTCAGCTGAGTGTATTTTTAAAAATATCTCATATATCCTTTTATGACAAAGGCTACCTCTTTGATCCATCAATAGAAGTGTGTGATTTAATTTTTAAGTGTTCGAAGATTTTCCTATTATCTTTCTGTTATTGATGTTTCATTTTATTCCATTGTGTTTGAAAAACATACTCTGTGGGATTTTAACTATTTTAAATCTGTTAAGGTTTTTTTTTTTTAATGTTGTTTGTTTAGTTTTGTTTTAAATGGCCCGGGATATGGTCTACCTTACTATATGTTCTGTGGGAAACTGAAAAGAATGTGTATTCTGCTGTTGTTGGGTAGAGCATTCTATAAATGTCAACTGGATCCTGTTTGTTTGTGGTGTTAAGTTCTTCAATATCCATGCTGGTTTTCTGTCTAGTTGTTCTATCTATTTTTCAGAGGGTGTGTTAAAACCTCCAAATATAATTGTGGATTTTTTTTCTTTTTAGTTCTATTAGTTTTTGCCTCATGTATTTTGTAGTTGTATTATGTTTTAGCACATATACATTTAAAATTGCTGTTTTCTTGGGAGATTGAACCTCTTATCACTATATGATGTGCTTCTCTGTCTCTGGTAATTTCCTTTGTTCTGAAGTCAGTTTATCTGATATTAATATCACCACTTCTGCTTTTTATTATTAGTGTTGGCATGATATATTTTTTCTACACTTTTTCTTTCAACGTGCCTATGGCATTATATTTGAAGTGAATTTCTTGTAGACAGAATATAGTTGGGTCATGTTTTGTAGTTTACTCTCCCACTTTCACCATTGTCTTTTAATTGGTGTAGGCAATTTACATTTAATGTAATTATTAATATGATATGGCTTAAATCTGACTTTTTTGTTTTGTTTACTAGATTTTTGGTGTACCTATTTTCTTTTTCCTTCCTTCTTGGGGGTTACTTGAATATTCCTTAAAATTCCATTTTGATTTACCCATTTACTCATGGTATTTTTGAATGTATCTTCTTGTATAGCTCTTCTGGTGGTTGCTCTAGGTCTTACATTATATATACTTGTATATAACTTGTTACAGCCTACTGGTATTATCATTTTACCAGTTCACGAAGGATCTTATGTCCCTTTACCCTCTCCCATTTGTAACATAATTTTCTTAAATGTTTTCTTTGCATACATTTAGAACCACATCAGATAGTGTTATAATTTTTGTTTTGACCAGCAAACATAAGTTAGGAAACTCAAGGGGAGAAGAAAAATGTATTATATTTCCTCATATTTTTGTTTTCCATGTTCTTCCTTTTTGATGTCCCAAGATTTCTTCTTTTATTTCTGTTTAGAGAACTTCCTTTGGTCATTCTTTTAGGGTAGTTGTGTTGGTGGCAATTACCCTTAATTTTCCTTCATCTGAATGTCTTGTTTTTTTTTCTTCATTCCTGGAGAATATTTTCAATGAGTTCTTTTCTTTCAGAGCTTGAAAATTGTTTTGCTACTTTCTTCTGTCACTTGTGGATTCTGATGAAAAATTTGCTGTCATTCAAATGTTCTTCCTCTATAGGTAAAGTACCATTCCTCTCTATCTGCTTTCAAGACTTTTTTTTCTTTGTCTTTAGTTTTTAGAAGTTTGTCTATGACGTACGTTAGTGTGGATTTCTTAGTGTATGTCATGTTTGGAATTTGGTCAGCTTCATGAACCTGTAGGTTTATTTCTCTTGCCAAACTTGGGAAGGTTTCAGCTATTATTTCTTTGAATATTTTTTAAACCACACCCCCTTTCTCCTCTTCTTTGACTCCAGTGACATGGATGTTAGATCTTTGTTACAGCCTCATGAGTTCCTGACGCTCCATTAGTTATTTTTCTGTTTTCTCTCTGTTGTTCAGATTGGGTAATGTCTATTGTTTTATTTTCAAGTTCTCAGATTCTTTCCTCTGTTTTCTCCATTCTACTGCTGAGCCCATCCATTGGGTTTTAATTTCAGTTATTGTTTGTGTTTGTTTGTGTGTTTTTAAGAGACAGAGCCTCGCTCTGTCTCCCAGGCTGGAGTGCAGCGGCGCGATCTCGGCTCACTGCAAGCTCCGCCTCCCAGATTCATACCATTCTCCTGCCTCAGCCTCCCGAGTAGCTGGGACGACGGGCGCCTGCCACCACGCCCGGCTAATTTTTGTATTTTTAGCAGAGACAGGGTTTCACCGTGTTAGCCAGAATGGTCTCAATCTCCTGACCTTGTGAACCACCCGCCTCGGCCTCCCAAAGTGCTGGGATTATAGGCGTGAGCCACCGCGCCCGGCCCAGTTACTGTATTTTTTAATTCTAAAACTTCCATCGGATTCTTCTTTATATTTTTCTATCTCTTTGCTGAGGCTTTCTATTTCTTTACTCAACTTTCTATTTTTCATTTGCTTCAAACATGATTATGACTGCTTGTTGAAGCATTTTTATGACAGTTGCTTTAAAATTCTTTCAGATAATTCTAACAACTGTGTGGTGTTAGTGTTGACAACTGTTGACCCTCTTTTCTCATTCGGTTTCAGATCTTCCTGGTTCATGTTATAACAAGCAATTTGATTGAAAGTGGACATTTTGGGTATTATGTTGCAAGACTCTGCATCTTATTTACTTTATTTATTGATTTATTTATTATTTATTTATTTATTTTTGAGACAGAGTCTCAATCTGTTGCCCAGGCTGGAGTGCGGTGGCACAATCTTGGCTCACTGCAACCTCTGCTTCCTGGGTTCAGGTGATTCTCCTGCCTCAGCCTCCCATGCCCAGCTAATTTTTGTATTTTTAGTAGAGACGGGGTTTCACCACGTTGGCCAGGCTGGTCTCAAACTCCTGACCTCAAGTGATCTGCACACATTGGCCTCCAAAGTGCCGGGATTACAGGCTTGGGCCACCACACCCAGCCTCTGCTTCTTATTTAAACCTTCTGTTTTAGTAGGCTTCTTCTTGTAACTGCTCTGGTAAAGGAAGAAGGGTGCTGCCATGTTAGTGCTAGATGGGGTGAAAATCATAGGTTCCTGACCTGGCCTCCTTGACATCCAAGGTGGGGGATACTCTTCATTGACTGCTGGGTGGGTATGGGAGTTTCAGCTCCTCACTAGGTCCCCATTTATGCCTCCCTGGTTGGGAGGGGTGGGAGTGCCTCGTTAGTGCTTCCCATATGGTCTCCACTGACACCATAGGTGGGGCACTTACTACCTGCTTGGCCTCCTTTGACTCCACCTGGAGGGTGTGGGCACCTTGTTATAGACCTGTGAGAATGGAGATTTAGGCTCCCCACTTGGCCTTTGCTGGTGTGGGTGAGAGTAGAACTGAAGATTTTCTAGAGTGGAGCAGTTATTGTCTAATAGTGTTCTGTCTTTCCAGATTGCACATTTCCTAGTCCTTTGGCCAGAAAGAGCAGGCTTTTGTTGGATCTTTTTCATTTTTTTTTAACTTCACAATGGAATCTTCCTTTTATATACATACATGCTAGAATTGTTTTCTGTAGAGAGGGAGGAAAACAAGTCTTCTTTTCTGAAAATTTTTTTTTGTATTTTGTATCTTTAAAGGAGTTATTCTTTTTAATTATTATGGGTACATAATAGTTGTATGTATTTATGGGATGCATGTGATACTTTGATATAGGCATACAATGTGTAATGATTGGGGTAATTGGGGTATCCATCATCTCAAACATTTATCATTTCTTTGTATTATGTCGGACCTTTTGTTATTTGTACCTGTTGGCTTTTCTTGATTGCTGGTTTATTCAGCTCCAAGTCTGAGATATATGAGGCTAAAAGAAAACCCAGGGAACTGAACACTGTGTTGTTCCTTGGGTCATGAGATCCCTACCCAGTCTGCCTTCTTCTCTCTATTTTTCAGTCTTTTCATGTTTGTTTTGTGTGTAATGCCCAGGGTTTTTTGTTGTTCTTACAGGAAGAGGAGGGGAAAGTACAACTACGCTACCTTCCTGATGGTGCAAGTCATCTTTCATTTACTTGGTTTTGTTGTTGTTGTTGTTGTTTTGTTTTGTTTTGGAGATGGAGTTTCACTCTGTTACCCAGGCTGGAGTGCAGTGGTGCGATCTTGGTTCCCTGCAGCCTCTGCTTCCCAGGTTCAAGCAATTCTTGTGCCTCAGCCTCCCAAGTAGCTGGGGTTACAGGCATGCACCACCACAAATGGCTAATTTTGGTATTTTTAGTAGAGACAGGGTTTCACCATGTTGACCAGGCTGGTCTCGAACTCCAGGTGATTCGCCCACCTCGGCCTCACAGAGTGCTGAGATTACAGGCATGAGCCACCGTGCCCCATTGATTTACTTGTTTTTACACATCCCTCCTTGTGCAAATGTGGGGATGCTACTGTGGCGTAGATATTGAGGAGTAGCATGGCTTGGCCATAGGCTGTGTGTATTTGAAGTTTTGAATTACACTCCTAGTTGCATCAGTTATAACTTCCCCACTAGCAGGATATGAGTGTACTCCTTTTCTTCCCATACTCTTGTAATATGTGTCATTGTCACACTTTTAGAAGTTTACCACTGGATGGAAAATGATATCTCGTTTTACTTTGAGATTTCTTTGATTACTAGTGTGGACAAATATCTTTTTCGTAGACATATTGACTGATTAGATGGATGTTATATTCTAGTGAGGGAGAGAAACGAAAAGCAAGTGAAAAAATTAACTAGATAATTTCAGAGAGTGAAAAGTGTAGGAAGAAAATAAAACAGGGTAATGGATACAGTATAGGGGGTTCAAAGGCTCTGGGGACTGATCAAGGACAAAGACATGATCGCAAGAGGGAGTAACATGCAAGGGTCTTTATTGGGCAATGCTCCGACAGGGTTGCAGGAGAAGGCAAATCCCTGGCAGCATGAGTCTGCCTGGAGGCTTGCACTGAGGGGGCTGCCATTTAGAAGGGGTGGAAGGCAAGGGAACTCCTGGCGGGTGCTGGAGATGGGACTTATATATCTTGGCGATGGCGCTCCACATCATGGTGGGGTCTTTTTGGGTTAGATTGTTCCGATGGGCAGAAATAGCCTGGAGTCTTATAACCACAAGGCTCCACTTTACCAGTGGTCAGCAGACGTGGGGTGTAGTTTTGTGGAGTATGCAAAGCTGGTGCATCCTAAGCTACTAAAAAATCCGCGGGTTTGGGCTATTTTTAAAACAAGAGGATGTGTGAAAATTTGAGTTTGGTGCTCACTGAGCTTTAGAGCTAACTGGTCTCAGCCTCCTGGGAAGAAATAAGCTAGGGACCAATGTATGGGGTGTATTTGGCTCATTTATATAACAGAGAGTAATGGAGAGAGAAAACTACTTTAGATGGAGAGGTCAGGGAGAGCCTCTCTGAAGAGGTGACACCCAAGGAATGAGAAGGAAGCAGCTGTGAGAAGATAGAGGCCTTGGAAGTAGGAAAAGGCCTGGTGTGTGTGTTCAAGAGACAGAAAGGTGACCAGAAGGCTGGAGTGGCCTGAGCAAAGATGGGACAATGATGGATGAGATGAGATTGGAGGACAGGCAGGGAATAGATGGTGCTGCTATGAGGGATAAGGAGTGACTTTCTATTCTAAGCCCAATGCAATGCCTTTGGAGGGGCTCAATTAATATTTTAACCATTCCACTTTATATTTGGAAAAACTCAGGCTGTCAAGTGGAGGGAGGAGGAGGGGTAGAGGCGAAGCGAGGAGCCCAGTGAGAAGCTCCAGGCAAGAGGAGACGGCAGCTTGAATTGGGAGGGGGCGAGGAAAGGAGAGAAGCAGGCAGATGGTGGGGGTGGGATGGAGCCAGCAGCCTTGGTGAGGGATGGGATGGGGAGATGAGGCAAACAGAGATAATGAGGGAGGATTCCAGGGGGATCGTGTTCCATTTCCTGACTTGGAGTAGCCCAGGGAGAAGTAAGTTTGGAGGAAGTCGAGTTGCCTGTGCGAGGTTCATCCTCTCTGCAGGGTGATGAGCAAGAGGATCCTGAGTTGGGCACGCGGCGCTGGAGATGACTTATTCCTGTTTGTAGATTTAACTGGGGCCTCCTGACCGTATGCAGGAGACTCCAGGGGACTCTGTGTATCCAACCAAGAAAATGAGAAACCAGATCTTAAACTGTCATTTAATCAAGAAGCAAAAATAAATTCTTAATTAGCCTCTGTCGACTGCTTATTAATTACAGTTGCATTTAAATGGCTTCTTCCTAAATGCAGGGGGTGAGGTGGTTGGGATTGGGGAGAGAGGAGGAAGTAAAAGTAAGGGCTGCTATGCACCATGCGCCGTGCCGTGAGGGGTGGCCCCTCATCTTCATCCTCCCAACCACCCCCTCGGGAAGGGCCGGTTGTCCTTGTTTCACAGATGAAGAAACAGAGTGTCAGGGAGGTGAAGGGACTCGTCCAGGGTTTCACAGCTCATAAGCGGCAGAACCAGGATTAGAACCCTGCTCTCTGGACCCCAGAGCCTCCTGCTTTGTTTTGCCTCCCTCTCATGTGCCCGCCATTATCTATTTCTTTATTTTCTTTAAATCAGCTTAAAATCCAAACCCCCATCTCGCCTGACAGACCAGAAAGTCAGTGTGAGTCATCATGGGAACAGCCCTCCCCCGGCTTAGGGCAAAGGTTATGCATTCTTAGACCTTGCCGAAGCCTCTGAGAGGCCCCCTCTGGCACTGGGCATAGGTGCCCGTGGGCCACCATGGAGACATTCCCAGTCCCGGCTCCCACAACCTTCTTACACAGTGGAAATGGTGGTTCTATGGCTTTTCTACTGCTCTCGGGACTTGAGGAGCTTTGCCAAAGAGGGACCCATCCAAACCTGGAGAAACCTCTTCCACTCCTCTTTTCAACCTCAGTAATATTCTCCCTTCTTTTCAATGGAGACTCAAGCAGCTTTTACTTTCGGCCCTGCCTCCTCCTCCTCCCTGGAAGTCAGGGAGCAAAAATCAGCCAAGCTGTTTGAGGTGGAGGAAGAGAAAAAACACAGGAAGCACAAACTCAAATTATCATCTCCATCAATTATTCTGGTACACTTGTTTCATCTCCCTCTGGCTGAGCCTGTCTCAGGCTCTAGACGTAGCGTGTTGAAACATGTCAGAGCAGCTTACACTGATAGTAGGCCAGAATTTTCATTTTTATTTTTTAACATTTTCTTGTGGAAATTTTAAACTTTTACAGAAGTAGAGAAATAGGGTAATAAACCCTCATGTGTCCATCACCCAAGTTTCAAAGCTCCTGGCCAATTTTGTTAATTTATACCCCCACCTCCTCTCCCCCTTCCATATTATTTTGAAGCAAATCCCAGACATCATACTGTTTCATCCATACGTATTTCAGTCTGTATCTATAAGAAGTGGAGAAAGATATATTTTTAAAGGAAGAAGATTTTCTCACCTGAAATCCTTGCTTATTGGAAAATGAAAGACAGTGATTCCCTGCAATGAGGGATGAGAGATTCTAAGCTCTCCCTGGCCCCACTGCAGTGCACATCAATCAAATCCTGCCCACTCACTGCTTCCCTTTCCTCACCAGCAAAATACAAATAAGAGTCCCTGCTTCACAGATGAAGAAACTGAGGGCCAGAGAGGGAACAGCGTTTGCTCACGGTCACAAGATGTGATAGTACTCGAGATGGCTGGAAACCAGTGGGTTACTTAAGCAGGCTAATACTTTGGATCTCTTCCAATCAATACTTTCTAAATACTTGGTCAATGTTTCTCTAGAGGTGAGGTCGGGTGCTGCACCAGGAAGGGTGGAGAATGGGTGCACTGATGGTGGACTCAGTCTACCCTCTACTGTAGCAATTCCTTTCTGGTCTCAACTTGCATAACCCACCCAGCAAAACTAAAACCCTACAGTTAACCTTCCCACTCTCCTTTGAAGGCAGTTTAGCAATCATCTGTTGTTATTCAGTTTGCCTTGGGAATCCAATCCTCACCTCCAAGCAGTCTCTTCAGTGATTCCTTCCAAACTCACAGGGTTTCCTCCTTGAAATGAGTTGGGATGAAACCACCAGGACTATTTCAAGTGCAAATGGCAGAAAACCCAGCTCAATTATCTCAGCAAAAAGGGAAAAATATATTGGTTGATATAAGTTCAGTGGCCTCTGCTTCAAGATTAGTTGGACCTAGAGGGAAAAGTCTGTTGTACTCTCCTTCCTGGCCTTGCTTTTCCCCATGGTCGCTCCCATCTCAGGCAGGCTGTACCTCGTGGTGACAAGGGGGTAGCCTAATTCTGGCCTGTGTTCTCTCCTGTTAGTAACCCAGCAGAAGGGAGAGATTCTCTTTCCTGACTCCCATTGGTTTGTTTGGGGTCATGTGCCTATGCCTGAGCCAATCACCATGACCAGGGGTCAAGATATACTAGTTGGATTATATCTGGGTCATCTGGGAATTGGATTAGGTCTGGGTCATCCCTTGATGGGCCAGCCTTGTGCAAACCCCGATGGAGTGAGACGAGAGACGTTTGATTGTCCGGAGGAGAATCAGTAGGCTGCCACCATTGAAGAAGGGACAGATGCTGAACAGGCAGGTGACAGATTTCCACTCTCCCTCTGGTTACATTCCCAGGGATATTTAGGTGTCTTTAAAGATGTGTGCCCTGGGCACTGGCCAGCTGCTCTGTCCCTTACGGCAGCCTTGGTAGTATCAGATCTGTAATGAGAACCTGGAACTCCCTGCGCTCAGTCCTTTCCTTCCCACTTTCTGCCGTTGCGGGCAACAGAAAACTGTCCTGTGCTTACCTGAGCACATTCACTCTGGGGTAGGCCTGCCTCTGATCTTGGCAACAGTGAACCCCACCCCCCCCCACCCCCCCACATCCGCCAGCCTCTTAGCCAGAAGATCAGGGAGTTTTTCCTCCTGGAGTTACCCTCTGGCTTTCCTGTGACCTTGAGCAGGTTCTCCATGTCTCTGAGCATCAGTTTTATATTTTGGAACATCTGTACAATGGAGCGAATGGCAATGCTCACCTCCCAGAGCTGGGAGAAGCAGACATGAGCTTGTGAATTGTAAATGATGGTAAAAATGGAAAGAGTAACTGTTACTATTGCTACCTGCTTCTTCCTCTCAGGAAATGCTCTTTCTCGGCTCTCCCCTTTTTTTCTCTCATCCCCCCAGGGGAGCATGGGCTCACTCAGGGCTTTGATGGAAATGAGTTTTGATGGCTTGGATGCTTTCAGAGCCGCCCACTCTTCCTCCTCCCACCCCGCTGAGCTGACAATTTCACATGACATCAATTCCTCTGACAGCCGTGTAAACAGATGGTGGTCCCTGCCGCCCGGGGTGCTGGGGAGCGGTACCATGGTAACCTGCTAAACGGTGACAGGTGCCAGGACGGTGGGAAATCCGGGACCTTCAGACGCACATGCACCTGGCTCAAGCGGCAGGCCTTGGGCTGTGGGTTCTTCCCAGATACAGTGGGCCAGGGCTGGTGGCATCACAGCAAGGGTGCGGGCTTGTATACAGACCCTGCCCCTTCCTAGCCAAGCGACTGTGGCTGAACCCCTTCCTCTCTCTGGGCTCAGGAAAGTAATCAGCCCCATACCAGAAGGCAAGGATTTTGGACTTGAAAGTACCTGCTTAAGGTTGGGTACATAGCTGGGGTCCAATAAATGTTTGTTGAATGAATAAACAAACACATCAAGGAAACTGAGGACCTACTCCTTGGAATCTGGTTGGCAACTGGGCCCCTTGCAGGTTCTGGTTGGAAGAAGGCAGAGTGTGCAAGTGGGTTCTGAGAGTACAGGAGGCTGAGGCAGCCACCACAGCTCCCTCTTGGAATAATGGGAGCCTAATGTTTTTCAAGCGGCAGAAATCTCCATCCCCAAGTTCCTCTGGACAGGGAGGGTGAATTAATGAACACTCACAGCTAGGAAACTGATGAGTGGGCTTCAGGGGCTCTGCACTTATGGAATCTCAGTTCTTTTCTAACTACTTGCCTCAGTTTCCCAAATTATTCTCTTATCCTTGCTGGGCTTAGAGCTCTGCTTTAAACCATGACCTACCCCAAACTCAAGAGGGCAGTGCCTTGACCAAGGCCACACTGCTGGCCATACACACCACCTGAGTGTGGGCAGCCTCCCCATTCTGCAGCCAGGCCCTGTGGCTTGAAAAGCCTTCCTTTCAGCCCTGTGACCTCTGCTCTTTCACGGGCTGCCCAGTCCACCCCTGCACTCCCTTCTTCTCACTGTCCTCCTCTTGCTGACTCACACACCTTACAGCTGGGCTTGCCCCTGCCTGAATAGGGAATACGGCAAAGACATGGAGCACAGCCAGGCTGGCTCTGCCACTGAACCGCAGTGGCCTCAGGCACGCTTTGGAAGCCATTTCCTTCATAGGTCAAATGGGAAAGAGGATGTGGATGCATTAAATAGATGACATCTGTAAAGTGCACAGAAGAGTGCCTGGCATGTAGCACATTTTTAATAAACAGTAGTGATTTGTGTTATTATGCATAAGACCCCTACGCCCTCACCTCACCCAATGTTGCTTTTTATAAATGGGATTAACTTCAAGTAGTATAGAGAGGTAAATCACAGGTGTGGGGAACAGCTGGACATAGGTCTAGCTGTGTGACCTTGGACAAGCTACTTACCTTCTCTGAGCATCTGTAAAATGGGGCTAATGCTCCCCACCTTGCTGTGGTGAGGATTGAATGGCCCTCTGGAGCAGGTCCTGGCTGAACAGGCGCTCGGTACATGACTTGATGTTGATTGCAAGAAGTTCTCCAGGAACATGGGTGAATTCGATGCTATTGGGTGCCAGAAGTCACCTAAGACCGGGATTTCTCATACTGCATTCCTAGGAGGTGGCAGTTTGCCCTCTGCCTGCAAACCTCTGGTGACAAGAAACTCATTCCTACCTAGTTGGGCAGCTCTGTTTGTAGCTGATCTTCTATGGAGTTAAAACTTACCTCCATGCTGCTTCTTCTCCGGGGTCTCTAGTTCTGTCTTCAAGGCCACCAGGACCAGATTCCCTCTACTTTTTAGGGGCATAGTGGCTTGCTTGAGCCAATGGGAACCAGAGTGGAATAGGTGATAGTCACATCTGCCCCACGACACCCTTTCCTTGCTCCTGAAGAGCTCTTGACCTTGTTGGCCAGGCTGGAAAGTTTGAGAGCTGGCAATCAAGCACAGAAGATTGTCCTTGGGCAGGCTAAGTGGGCCATCTGTCCTGGCCGAGTCCCAGGGCTGGGCCCATGGTGGAGGACCAGGACATGGCTGGACCCAGCATGGAGACAAGAGTGTGAGCTGTACAGTCTCACAGGCCCAGGATTGAGTCCAGCTCCCCATTATGGCTGAAGGTGAGGGCAGGGGCGAGTGTGGAGGACATGACAACAATTCATACCTCAAAGGGTTCTTCTAAGAATTAAATGGTCAGAGATGCTTTAATGTCTAACATGTTCTTGGAATCTGCTAATAATTTTTTTTCCCAAATACATAATCAGTAAATGGGTTAATCTGCTGGCAGAGAGAAGCTTCAAACAAGCCAAGCTTTTAAACATTTATTACTCTTTCAGCTTCAAGGTTTTTCAAAAATTATTTTATGCTTCTTTTAAAATTCATCAGCTTGGGGCAAGCTGGCTGCCTTAATAACAGCACTAAGAAAATGTTGATAAGGTTCTGCCAATAACAGATACTTCTCCAGCAGGGGAACAGCATCAGAATAATCTCTGGAGACTCCCAGTCGGTCTCCTCTTTGGTCTTTGAGCAAGAGCAGACACCTCTAGACCCTCTTCCATGGTTGTATCAGCCACCTTGATGTCACATGGATCCCACCTTCCCTACAGGAGACAGGGGAGTTGAATGAAGTTAAGCAAGGACCCTGAAGACAGAAGGAATAGGCCAGAAACCCACCCTGCTCGTGCTCCAGATTTTGGGTATAGTTTTGGGGATTAGATGATGAACTTTTCTCACTTTTCCCTCATGATCGTCATGCGTTATTCTATTCTCAGGCATCACAGAGACAGAGCCAGGAGAATGCAGAGAGGGGAAGGAGAGGGCAGGACTCCCCTGCCCTTCCCTTTCATTCTGGTCTTGAACAGGTCATGGAATCCTGAACTTGGAAGAGAATGAGAGGTTGTTCAACTGAGCTTGCTGCCCAGGAAGGGGATCCTTGCCTGAGGGGTCTCCTGAAGGAAGTGCCCTCCAGGAGGTCATCCAGGGCCCCTGAACACTTCCTCGGTGGTGGAGCTCATTACCTTGTAAAAGGACTCAAGATAGGGAAAAGACCAGTGAGTGAGCAAAGAGAAGTGTGAGTTCCTGTTTTGCCTTTGTGGCAAAGTGGCTACGTGGCTTTGGACAAGGTGCTTCCCCTCTCTGGGCTTCCATTTCTTCACGTGTCAAAGCAGAGGGTGGGATTAGCCAATGGTGATAATCTAGAAGTCATCATTACTAGGATGCTTTTTTATGCACTAGATTCTGAGTTAAGTGCATCACATAAGTCATCTGTTTAACTCTCCTAACAACTCTAAGTTTCTCTGGAGAACCTGAGTGTCAATAAAGATCACATTAAATCTTAGGTATTTTGTGCATCTCAAAGTTATCCTAGCCACACTTTCACATATTTGCAGACATCAGACTCTTGATAAAGAACAAGGAATTTCCAATTAGATAGAGTATCAGTTAGGATTAGGTTTTGCTGTATGTGACAGAAATCGCAAAGTAGCAGTGGCTTAAACACAAAAGGGGTCACTTTATTGCATAAAAGTAGTCAGGGAGCTGGCAGTCAGCCACAGGCATTCATCAAGGACCCAAGCTCCTTCCTTCTTTATGCTCTGCTGCATAGGACTCACAGTCACCACATGGTCCAGGAAGACTCCTGGGACTTCAACTGTCACAGCTCCACTCCAGGCAGAAGGAAGAGAAAGAGAGGAAGGACAGAAAGCAGTGTACTTCTGGCTGAGTCCAACCCCTTTAAGTTGTCTTCCTGGAATTTCCACAACTCACTTCCATTTGTACATCATTGGCCAGGATACAGTCATGTGGGCACGCCTTGCTGCTAGGGAAGGATGGGAAATGTAGTCTTTTAACTGCGCACACTTCCACCCTCAATAAAATCTGGGCTTTGTTCCTAGGGAACAAGAGAGGAAGGAATACTGGCCAGCAAATGGGAGTCCTCCCTGCTACAGATGTCTACATACAAAGGACTGTCTGTATAACAATAGCCTGACTAAGTAGACAATTTTGTAGAAGGCTTATGTAGCTATATGAACCTAGAACATAAGGGACCAATATCTGTACCAGTTAGAATTCTTTCCATTTCAAGTAACAGAAGCCTCATCTCCAACTGGTTTAAACAGGGACATTTATCAGTCCACACACTTCACTCCCAGAGGTAGAGGTGGCTCCAGGGTTGCTTGATTCAGCAGCCTAGCAACATCATCCAGCCTGGGCTCTGTTTATCTACCTGTTCTCTTGTGCTCGGTGTTGGCTTCTTCCCCAGGCTAGAGGCAAATGGCAAACTTGTTTCTAGGAATCACATCCAAACTCAATCATATCCAGGCCAAGAAAAGAGAATATTATTGCCAGTGGCTCTTAGGAGCTAGACATGTTCTCAAGAGTTTCTTGTGCCTCAGTGGCACTGGATCATACATCTACTCTCAGACAAACTGCTAGCAAGGGCAAGGGCAAGTAGACTACTTCCTGGGCTGGGATCAGCTTTCCTGAAGCTCATGGCTATGTCAGGGAGTAGTGGATACCTGAAAAAAATTGGGGTTCTGTGCGTATGGGACAGAAGAGCAAACATAGCGGCAGGCAACCAGCAGTATACACTACAGCCTGGAAGGCGGGGTTAGCATCTCCATTTTGCAGCAAAGGGATTGAGGTTCAGAGAGGTAAAGTAATTTGTTCAAGGTTACACAGCCAGGAAGTGGCAGAGATAGTGCCAGGATCAGGGAGTGTCATCCCAGATCTAAGAAGCTTAGCATTGCACTCTGCAGCCATAAAAGGGAGAGGGTCTCAGCTGTCATCTCTATCCATGTTTCCCAAACTTCAGCCATTTGTTCACTACCTTTGTGACTTTTTTCTACATTTACTTTCATCTGCACAATGACTTACTCAATATTTTATTGAAGTAATATCACCATTTTATTGTTGCTAAAGTAAATTCACAATTTTTATGTAAAGAATTGCATTTGTAAAGGAAACTAAAATACTGTCATAGACAGAAAACTAGTGATGCTTGCCAGAAATAGAAGGTACATTATAAAAATATATACAATAAAACAAGCACTCATTCTGTTCTAGAGGGATACCATTACCCGATGAGCTCAAGGTCTGCTCTGTTTGTTCTCAAGGAGTGAGGAGAGCATTAAAGACTTGCCAGGACCAAGCTGAGGCTTCCCCTTTGATAAAATGAGAAGGAACTAATGAGAGTGGGAAAGAGCCCTGCTTTCTATGCTTTTCAATGTCATTTGGGGCTTCTCACCTGAACTCATTCCATGTAGCATTCTTTGAGAAACGTTAACTGCACCCTGAACAGTTAGCTACTGCGGCATTACACACACACCACTGACTCGGGAGCATACAACAATAACCCCTCATTCCTAGAGAGCTGCAGGTCAGCTGATGCTCTGCTGATCCAGGCTGGAATTGATTGGGTGACTCTTCTGTCTAGGGTAGAACAGGGTTGGCAAACTTTTTCTGTAAAAGGTCAGAAAGTAAACATTAGGCATTGTAGACCACACAGTCTCTGTCACAATGACTCAACCCTGCTGTTGTAGTGTGAAAGCTGACACAGACAGACCAGACATAAATGAATAATCATGGCTGAATTTTGATAAAACTTTATTTATGAACCCTTAAATTTGAATAAAACATAATTTTTGCATGTCATGAAATAGTATTCTTCCTTAGATTTTCTTCCAACCATTTAAAAATGTAAAAACCATTCTTTGCTTTAGGGCCACACAAAAGCAGGCAGTAGACAAAACTGCACTTGAAGACCATAGTTTGCTGACCCTTGGTCTAAAATAAAAGCTGTCATTTCCTCTACCAGGGCTGGCTTTATGGGTGTGGGACGTGTGTAGTCGCTCAGAGTCTTGCACAAAGAAGGACCCACACTTGGTTGAATGCTGTGCAGTAGCTCTCTTGAAATTTTTAATAATTTTTGAACAGGAGACCCTGCGTTTTCATTTTGCAGTGGGACTTGCAAATTATATAGCCATTCCTGGCCTCTGTTCACAAGATATGTAGAGACAGGAAGAATGATCTCCCAACAGCTGTCTCACTGGTGCATGCTTTCCTCATGGAGAGGGCAGAGGTGCGAGGAGGCCAGTGGAAACACCTCTGCCTCTTAAGGTCTAAGCCTGGAACGGACCCACTATGTCGTCTGACCACATTCTCTTGGCCAAGGCAAGTCAAATGGTCATGGCTAAGGTCAAGGAAGGGGGAAATACACTCTGTTCCTTCAGTGGGAAGGACTCCAAAGGCACATAACAAAGGGCTTGAATATAGGGAGAGGTGAAAAACTGGGGCTGATAACGCAACCTACCACCAACTGTATAAGAGTGTGTTGGCCCAGTGTGGTGTTTCATGCCTGTAATTCCAACACTTTGGGAAGCAGAGGTGGGATGATTGCATGAGGCCATGGGTTCGAGACCAGCCTGGGCAACATAGTGAGACCACATCTTTACAAAAAAAAATTTTTTTAATAGCTTGGTGTAGTGGCACTTGTTTGTAGTCCCAGTGACTTAAAAGGATGAGGTGGAAAGATTGCTTGAGTCCAGGAGTTTGAGGTTGCAGTGAGTTAGAATTGTCCCACTGCACTCCAGCCTATGCGACAGAGTGAGACCTGGCCTCTAAAAATAAATGTGTTAATCATTCTGGCTATTTGGACAAGGGGAAATGTCAAAGAACTAATTTCCTGGTGCTCTTATCCATGAGTTTTATCAGTCCCTTGTTCATCAGACCAGGCAGAGTCAAGACAAAAGACTGTGTGTGTCCTGAGGTTGGTTTCAGGTGGTACCAGTACATGCATTATCTTTCTTTCTATGGGAGCAGGGAGACAGCACAGGACTGATTCCACTTGTGCAGATGCAAGGGAAGGGAACTAGGTGGCATTTCAAATGGAGGAGCCAGCATGCCAGTCTCCTCCCACAGTACTCAGCCTGCTTCCTTTCCTGGAAGAGCCCTCTGGGGGGATCTCAGTACCTTGGATAGCACCTTCAGGCTGCAAAACTGGAAAAGAAAAATGTCTGGCTCACACTCTACTTGGGAATTCTTTCTAGGTTTTAAACACATTTGAATAAACAGAGTGAGTCCATACACATACATCTGAGTATACCACTGCCCTGCTTAGTATCCTTTCCTGACTCCCGAGGCCCATGTTTGGCTTCACATTGTGGCCCTGTATGACCCAACCACAGTCCATTCAGAGTGAGCACCTCACCCTTCCTGGACACACCAGCCGTCTTCCCCATAGAGGTCTTTGTAGCCACCATCACAGCTGTAGAGGCCACACGTGTGATAAGCCAACTCGAATACTTTTAAATAAAAATGGAAAATTACTGGCTTTCGTAACTTATATAGATTGGATATTTTCCCTGCCCAAATCTCATATTGAAATGTAATCCCCAGTGTTGGAGGCGGGGCCTGGTGGGAGGTGACTGGATCATGAGGGTGGAAGTTTCATGAATGCTTTAGCACTGTCCCCTTGATGCCATCCTTGTGACACTGAGTTCTCTCGAGGTTTCATTGTTTAAAAGTGTTAAAAGAGACACTCCCGTGTCTCTTTTTCTCCTGCTTTCCCCAGATCATGCCTGCTTATCCTTTGCCTTCCACCATGATTAGAAGCTTCCTGAGGCCTCCCCAGAAGCAGAAGCCAGCACCATGCTTCCTGTACAGCCTGCAGAACCATGAGCCAATTAAACCTCTTTTCTTTATAAGTTACCCAGCCTCAGATATTTCTTTATAGCAATTTGAAGATGGACTAATATAGTAACTGAACATCTAGTGGAGGGAGCTTCAGACATGCAAAGTGCTTAAAGATTGCCTCTAAGAATATGCTTTCTTCTGTGTTGGCTCCATTCTCAGGCAGGCACACCCTTATGGTGGCCACTAGCCTCTCCTGGAGAAAGAGAAAGCCTCTTTCTTAAGTATTCCGACAAAGGTCCCAAGGCAGACTCTCACTGGCTGATTTGGGTCATGTGTCCATCAGTAAACCAATGGCTGTGGGGCATGGAGTGTACCGATTGGCCAAGCCTGGATTATAAACCCACTCCTGCAGCTTGGAGGATGGGGTAAGCACCACAAAAACCACAGACATCTAGAGTTGGGGGTCCCAGAGGAAAATCACGGTGTGGTTACCAAATACAGCAAGGAACGGAGGCCGAGAAGCCACAACAATAGACATCCCCCACCCTTGGGACTCTCTGTCTGAAAGGCTTCCCTTTCTCCTCCTCCTAGCTTGGTCTCCAGTGTCACCCCCTCTTTAAGACCCCTCACGCCACCCCAGAGCAAGTCACTTCTTTCTCTCCATGTTCACACCATGCTCCACTGCCAGGTGTCTCTTGGGGCCACCTGTCTCCGGAAGATGCGGGTGAACGTGGCTGAATGCCTCAGTGTCAGAGCCTGTGCTTCCCTGGGGGCTGCGTGCTCCTGGCCTGCCTCCCCTGTGGTCCTCAGCTCCCACACCTGTGGGTGTCAGCTCAGGTTGGCCTCTTGACTACTGGTGTGCACACCTTGGTATCCTTCCATCACCACTGAAAAACATCATCATACTTGGGACTTTGTGAGTTTAATAGCTTTACTGAAGACCTGAAGGAACAGAGGGAGCACATGGCTCACAACAGAGCTTTCCGCCATGAAGCTGCCTCCTCACTTTTCCCCCACACCCTTCTTCTTCTTTTTTTTTTTTTTTTTTTTTCTGAGACAGAGTCTTGCTCTGTCATCCAGGCAGTGGCGTGATCTCAGCTCACTGCAACCTCTGCCTCCTGGGTTCAAGCAATTCTCCTGCCTCAGCCTCTTGAGTAGCTGGAATTATAGGTTCATGCCACCACACCCAGCTAAGTTTTGTATTTTTAGTAGAGACAAGGTTTCACCATGTTGGTCAGGCTAGTCTCAAACTCCTGACCTCGTGATCTACCCTCCCTAGCCTCCCAAAGTGCTAGGATTACAGGCATGAGCCACCATGCCTGGCCTCCTCCACCCCCTTCTAAGAACACTTTCTCCTCAGGGCAGCCTCCCGCTGGGCTTAGCCTTGGGGAAGTGGAGTTCTGCTCTCTCCCTCCCTTGTCTCCTCCTGCTCCCCTTGCAAGGCACAGACCCACCAGGCCAGTCTGCACTTCCCCATCACCCTTCCCGCCTTGCCTGCTTCCTTAACTCTGGTGACTCATTTACTTGTGGCAGTCTAAGGGTCTGTTGAGTCTCTCTCTTCCCTAAGTAGGGTCTGAGCTCCTTGAGGGCAGAGCTTCATCCAGGTAATCTCTGTGTCTCCATTGCCTTAGACTAGGAACTGAGCACTGAATTTCAAAACCAGTTTCAACAAAAGGCTGCATTTAAAAAAATCAGCAAGAATTTCTTTGGCTCTGCAGAAAGCACAAAGAGTGTGGGTGAGTGATGATTTCAGCAGAAATGCCATAGGACGCATGGGTTCTCAATTATTTATGGGCCTGAGGAGACTGTTCCCAGAGCATTGCAGTGCATTCTGAGGATGTCAGGGGAGAATGTGAGTGACTTTGTTCCTTGGAGTCCCTGCACCCCTACTCTGCAGATACGAGGGAAGGGGCTTTGAGCTTCTTTTTGCAGCAATGAAGAACTGAAGAACTCAGTTCTGCTCTTTCCTGGTTACTGTTTCTCAGTGTGCTGGCAAGAGTGACAAGAGGAGGTAGGATGGCCTCTGGAGACAGAGGGGTCTGGGTTCAAGTCCTCCTCTGCCCTGGGTCACTCTGTGCTGGCCATTTTCTGAGCTGCCATTTTCTCATCTGTTTGATGGAGATGGGCACCACCCCCTGACGGGGTCCCTGGGCCATTCAGGGAGGCAGAAACCTATGTGGACTCACAGCTCCCCACTGGGTGCACACAATAGGTGCTCACATGGTGGCAGTGGCAGTCCCACTCTCGGGTCTGGCTAAGCTGGGTCCAGCTTGACTCTGTGTGGTTCTGAATTCTTGGAGTCTCTCAAGTGCAGAGTTTCTCAGTGGAATTTTCAAGAAGATTTACAAAGGATTTGCTTTTCACTTGAACCAGAGGATAGAAGTTGTATAATTATCTGCAAGGGATTTCTTCCCGTTTATGTAAGGAAGAGTTGAAAGGTTTTCAGGCAAAACTGTTGATGCTTTTCTCAAGAGCAGAGGCTGCATCAGTGCCAAGGACAGGGATTGTGCTGGTGGCCAGAGACAATGGATGTGCTTTTTTTTCAGGGCCAGAGGTTGTGCTGGTCCTGGGAGGCAGAGAGTGTGCTGGTCCTGGGATAGAGGGTGTGCTGGTTCAGTAAGACATACACGGCTGCCATAGTCAGAGGTCTTGAGCTTTCACCTTGTGCTTGGAGACCCCAGAAGTAGTTGGGGATGGAGGCAGCCTCTGGAGTCTGGTGTCCCAGGTTGCTGGCCTTGATTTTCACCACTGATTTCCTCCTTTGGATTCCTTCTAGGATGTTTGCATGATGACCACAGAGCCATCCCAGTGTCTGGTAGTACATAAGTCCTTAATAAATGATTGTTGAATGAATTATGTGATGAGGAAATAGTCTTGGACTTGGGGCGAGATGAAGCCTGATGCAGATTTTATGTGTGCATGGCTGAGTGTCTATTCCTTCTGAACATCAATTTCCTCACTGGTGACAGTGGGTGTAACACCACCAGCAGTGCTGGGTGTTTGAGGCGTAAACAATCACAGTTGAGCAAGCACCTAGCACGCGCTGGCACTCGATCCATGGTGATGTCTTCTCTGAGTGCCCAGCTGCCTTCTTCAGATTTCTGGAAGTCTTCATTTTCTTTCTTATTTTGTTTTCCCCTAGTTCAGTGGGTTTTTTTCAGGTTTAAAAAAAAATCATGGCAGGAACACTTACCATGAGATCCACCCTCTTAACAGATTTGTACATGTACAATACAGTATTGTTGTCTGCAGGCACGGTGTTGTACGGCAGGTCCCTAGAACCTCTTCATCCTGCACAAGTGAACCTTTCTGCCCATTGAACAGCCCCCTCTTCCCCCCTCCTCAGCTCCTAGCAACCACTATCTACTCTGCTTCTATGCAGCTGACTATTCCTTATTCTTCCCAAAATGAATAATGTTCCCCTTAAGTACTGCCTTCTAGATAAGTAAAATGCTCTTATTTAATTTGATTGTTTTCCTGTTTGTTTAATTACTACGATTAAAATGTTAATGCTTTTTTGTATTTTCTCATGGCAAATGGGATATTTTAGTTCCATTTTGGGTTACTGTATTTGTCAAGTCTCTGATGTTGCAAGTGTCAGAAACCTGATTCAAATTGGCTTAAGAATAAAGGGAAATTTATTGGTTTCTGTAACTAAATATTCCAGGGGGATTGCTTCAGCCAAAGTGGAGGCTGTGTCCAGACAATCCAAGGATGGCGTCAGGACCCCTGTCTACCTCCCGGCTCTCCACCGTGTGGCTCTCGCTCGTGACACAGTGGTCTTTCGCCCCATCATCTCCTCTCTACAGCTCCACTGAAAGAGCCCTTCCCCTTCATTACAGACACTCAGAGTCCCAGGACTTAGATCCAAACCCTGCTGAGGGATGGTAACACGCTGGCTAGCCCTGCTGGGTCCATGCCTGGAGCTGGGGTGGGGCTTATTCCCTTCCGGACCTCATGGGCTCGGAGAGGCAAGTGATGGGTCTCTGAATGAAATCAGTGCTGGGTTCATGGACACGGAAGGGAGGGTTGTTGTTACTTCTGTTTTACTGGTGAAGAAAACACCCGTGTTCACTACTGTCCTATTGGCAGCGAATTTGAACACCTGTGATAAGCTTATTTCCTCTGAAAAATGGGACCTGGGCATTAAACTATCAACTCCTAAAGCCCTTATGGAATCGGGTGCTTGTGTTGACTTCTGGGCCTGTCCAGGGGCCTGTGTGGGGCCGTCTGTGCAGGTGCTTGGGCGGGAGTGGGCAGAGAGCATCAGGGAAGGCTGAAGTTGGCCCTGTCCTGGCTGTGCCCCAGGCGCCCTTGAGGATCTAGTGCTGGTCAAGACCTGCCCTGGATCTTCACTCCCTCATTGTGAAATGGAAGCAAATAACTCCACCCTCCCAGAGATGTGGGGAGGATCAAACGAGGGATGAGCGCTTAGTAAGCGCCCAGTGAATGCAGAGTTGGCTCAGAACCCACGTGAACTCGGGCAGGTCATGTTAGCTCTCTGAGCCCAAGCAGCTTCAGCTGTAAAATGAGATGATGATGCTGCGTCTCAGGTGGGTCGGGTACGAGGTGCTCACTATGCCTTTGGAGACTGAGGGAAGAGGAGACTTCGAGAGCCATGAATCCCCCCAGTGCCGGGCGTCCCCCCTCCCGCAGGTGTGCACTTGCTGAGACTCCCACTATTGAAGTGAGGAAATGGATGCCCAGAGAGGCAAACTTATTCCCTCAAGTTCATGTAATCACACAGCGAAGGGGCAGAACCAGGCTCAGTTCCAGCTGCTTCCCCAGGAACTGGGACAGCACTCCTTGTATAGTCCTAGCTACTCAAGACCTGGCTGAGAGCTGGCCTCTCATGAGGTCTCCCCAGGGCCCGAGGCTGAGTGAGGGGCTCTCCTCTGTTCCCGCCAGCTCCCTGGGCTCTCCAACCAGTTCTCACTACCTGGAATAGCAATTGTCTATCTATGTGTTTGTCTCCCTCGCTGGATGGAGGATCAGGTCTGATGTACCCTAGAGCCCCTGACCCTTGATGTGCTGCTGGGGGTGAAAATGATGCTGGGCAAACAGAAACAATGACATGGTAAAGAGAGCTTCTGGTATCACCCCGAGCTCTCTCCACTGGACCTTGAGCAGGGTCTTGCCCTGCTTTTGCCTCAGTCTTCTCATCTGTGGAATGGGAATAAGAGCACCTCCCTAGCTGTGTTGTTGTCAGGATTAGAAACAGTCTAATAGTAATATAGTCATAACAGCGCTGGCATTAAGTGAGGGCTTACTCATTTATTTCTTCCCACAAACTTTTAAGGCAAACACCAGAGTCTCTCATATTTTACAGATAAGAGACTGAGGCTGAGAAAGAACTGCTTTGCCCAGAGTTGCACAGCTGGAACCTACCGCATACACAGAGGGAAGTTGATAAGTGGTGTCTGGAATAATAAAGAATGTTCCTGGGGTAACTGAATGAACGTGCCCCTGACCGCATGGCCTCCTCTCCCCTGCCGTCACAGGCCCTTGAGCCCTTGTTAAGCAGCAGGCTTGGCCAGGCAGTGCCCAGGTGAGTTACTGAGGGAAGGCCAGCCTGCATAGGGGTGCATGAGCGTGCAGGTCTGAGGTAGCCTCTGGAAGGAGGGGGATTTGGAGTGGAGCAGAAGCCTTGCCAGGGAGTCCTGAGAAGCAACCGGGCTCATAAAGTCTGGCGTTTTGATCTGAAGAAATTGCTGCATCCCCTCCTGGACCCTGGCTTTTCGTTGCATCCCTCTCTCAGCAGCAACCCCTTCGTCCTGTGGGAAAAAGCTGCATAGCCGTCGGGCACCCTTCAGCAGCAGCCTTGGGCTGCAGTGGAGCATTCACAGTGCGCTCCAGTGCAGGAAGGAAAGACGGATGCAGGCATAGTGTGGGGCGGCTTAGCATCAAATAGGCTGGGCTCAAGTCCCTGCTCTGATGTTCACTGGCTGGGATACCCTGTCTGAGCCAGGGTCCCTCTCTGAAAATGGGGACAGCCACCCTGGTCTTGAGGGGCGGAGTGAATTAGTGTCAGTAAAAGGCGCTGGCACTCGTTGGTGCTCAGAAATGCTTTCTCCTCTTCCTCCCACCCCTTCCCTTCCTCAGGCGTTTACTGAGAGCCTTCTGGGTCCAGATGTAGCCCAGGGGTCACAGAGTCTTGGAAGCTCTGAAGAGCTGGGGTGTTTGGGGTTGGATATGAGGGTCATTGCTGATTCCAATATGAGGCCACCTCCGCCAGGCTCAGTGGCATTGTCTGGGCATAAGAGTGAGCTCCCATGCCAGGAAATGCACTGTCCTGGCCTCCCCCAGCCTGGAGGCACCAGGGCGAGTGACCTGTGGGGAGGTATGGGTGCCTGGCCTGACCACAGTGCCCACGTGCGCCTCTCCACCCAGCACCACAGCCTGGGCTGAGCTCAGGGACCCTGGAGGTGGAGGCCTGAGTGTGGGGGTGCTCTGCTCCCCTCCCTCCTGGGGCATGGCTGTGGTCTTGTGCTTAGCCAGGGTGAAACTGAGAACTCTGGGGCACCTAGAATCTTGTTTTCTGCTCTTAGAGCTCTTAGGAATCACTCAGGGTTTCCTCAGGGAGCAGATGGAAATACTTAGAGTATGAGAGAGGGGCCCTGCAGAAATGTAAGCGGGGGCAGCAGGGTGGGGGATGCGACAGACAGTCCCACTGCACAGCCAGGGAATAATATTGGGCTGGGAGCCATGCTGGGGAGTGGGTTATGGAAGGTACCTAGCCAGGCATTCTTGGAGGGACAGAGGAAAGGCAAATTTAGGGGGTAGACCTGGACTCACTGTCCAGCAAGAGAATGATTTGCCAGAGAGGTGATGATCACCCTGTCTCTGGAGGCATTCAAGTTGATGCTCATGAACGTTGGGCAGAGACATGGAAGAGCTAAGGCACCAGGACAGTTCTTCTGTTGAGAGTGACCTTGGCCTTGCAGAGAAGAAGGTGAGAAGCCCCACTCTGGCTTTGGGGGCCCTGTTGAGAACAGGGCACAGCAACTTCTGGGGAGGCCCAATCATGCTTGTCTTCCCTGGATCTCAGATGGCAGCTGTTGACTCTCCCACAGGTCAGCATCTGGTTCTGACAGAGCCATGGAAGGTCTCGTTCCTGGGGCTGCAAGTGACCAGAGAAGACGAGCAGCCCATTACCCAAGAGGTGAAAGACAGGGGGGCTGTGAGGGGCACCCTGGGCCAGGCAGCCACCCTGAGAGGCTGGGACCCTAAGGTAGGGCCAGGCCAACCTGGAAACGGGAGAATCCGAGCCAGCGATGGCTTCCTTAGGAAGGTGGCGTTGAGCACAGCCTTGAAGGATGGGGAGAAGCTGGGTGGGCGGGCGGTGGGGAGAGAAGAGACACAGCAGGCAGCCTCAAAACCTGAGACCAGTGCCGGGGGCTGGATTCGTCAATACTTATGCGGTTGCAACAGCTAGAAATGGGATTAAGCTGATTTCTTCTTCTTTTTTTGGTTCACATAATTGAGAAATCTAGAGTTGGCTTTCTGCATAGCTAGATGCAGTTTTCCAAACGCTGTCATCATCTCTTTTCATCACTCAAGTCCGCTCTCCCCCTGTAGAATCTCAGAGGGGCTCTCTCAAAGCAGCCCCCAGCACCAATGTCTTCCCCAATAGCTCCAGAGTAAGTTCCAAGAAAGGTCTCTCTGCCCTGGCTTGGGCCACGCCCACCCCTGAGGGATGGGGGATGAAAGGCTCTGGTTGGCTTTGATGGGGTCACGGGCTGATCCTTGGGTTAAGAATGTTCAGAAGTATTTCCGTTAGGAAACCTGAGGTGCAGTTACCAGAAGAGAGAGAATGGATTTAGGGCAGGCAAAAACGATGTCCATGGCAGGGCCTGGTCCTGCTGTAATGCTTCCTGCTGCCGGCTGCCACTATCATTCCTTTTTTTTTTGAGACGGAGTCTCGCTCTGTTGCCCAGGCTGGAGTGCAGTGATGTGATCTGGGCTCACTGCAAGCTCCACCTCCCGGGTTCACACCGTTCTCCTGCCTCAGCCTCCCGAGTAGCTGGGACTACAGGCACCGGCCACCTCGCCCGGCTAATTTTTTGTATTTTTAGTAGAGACGGGATTTCACCATGTTAGCCAGGATGGTCTCGATCTCCTGACCTCATGATCTGCCTGCCTCAGCCTCCCAAAGTGCTGGGATTACAGGCATGAGCCATGGCGCCTGGCCATTTTTTTTTTTTTTTTTTTGAGACAGGGTCTCACTCTGTCCTCCAGGCTGCAGTGCAGTGGTGTGGCTACAGATCACTGCAACCTCAACCTTCTGGGCTCGAGCTATCCTTCCACCTCAACCTCCTCCGTAGCTGGAACTGCAGGTGCACACCACCATGTCCAGCTAATTTTTGTATTTTTTATAGAGATGGGGGTCTCACTATGTTACCCAGGCTGTTTTGAGCTCCTGAGCTCAAGCAATCCTGCCACCTCAGCCTCCCAAGGTGCGGTGAAACAGGAAAGGTTCCCTTGCCGCCGTCGCAGGGCGTGCAATGTGGGTGTGGCTCGCTTCTTCAGTGCCCCGATGCTCAAACCTCTAGGGAAGCAAACAGATGGGCAGGCTGTGGGGCTCTGACCCCACGGCAGTGTATAGGGTGAATGTTTACAGCTCCTGAAGCCCCAGTGGGCGTGTGTTACAGGGTGCTCTCTTAGTTTGCCATCTATAGGTGGCTTGTGTTAACCAGTTCCATTAGACCCTCTACCTGTTCCAAGGTCAGAGGTGTTTCTGTATCCCGGGTTCTCGTCTTGCTGTACCGGAAGAATGGGATCACACGTGGGCTTGGAGAATGAGTGCAAGGTTTTATTGAGTGGAAGCAGCTCTCAACAGATGGGGGAGACAGAAGGGAGATGGTTTTCCCCTGAAGTCTGGCTGCTGGGCAGCCTGACTCTTCTCCGATCTCTCTTTCCTAACTCCGTGTTGTGCCGCTGGTCGCTGGCTTGCCGGCCTGCCGTTGCCTGTCGACGTGCTCTCCCGCCAGTGTGCTCTCGATGACCAGCTGCTTCTGTCTTCTTCCACCGATGTGTTCCTCACGATGTCTAGCCACTTGTGTCTCTGCCTTGCTAGGGTCTCAGGTTTTTATAGGCCCAGAATGGGGGCGTGGTGGGCCAGGGTGGTCTTGACAAATGCAACACTTGTGTGCAAAGGCAGAAGTGCCTGTCCTTACCTAGCTCCGTGGGGGTGGAGCCCTACCAGGGACCACACCCTCCTTTCCCAGTACTCCCGGATCACTGGCATTACAGGCCAGAGCCAGCACGCCCAGCCCACCTTTCCTTCAGACGTGAGAGCTCTGGGCTTCCCTGTCCCTGTCCTCTGGCTCTCTGCACAGATGCTCCTCATCTTCTCTGAGCTCTCTCTTGGTGACTGCTGGCATGAACGACCAGCTGTGGCAGGCTGAAGAATGGCCCCGGAAGATGTTCACGTCCTAGTCCTTGGAACCTGTGAATGTGTTTCCTTACGTGACAAAAGTGGCTTTGCGGATGTGATTAAGACTCACAGGCTGGGAAGGTGACCCTGACTTACCTGGTGGCCCTGATGTAATCACGAGGGTCTGTCCTTATAAGCAGAGTCAGAGAAGGGGAAGGCATGACGAGCAGAGGTGGGAGGGATGCAGCTGCTGGCTGGGGCCACGAGCCAAGGAATGCAGGCAGCCTCCAGACACTGGGAAAGGAAGGGCAATGGATTTTCCCTTGGAGCCTGCAGAAGGAACACAGCCCAATTGCACCTCGATTTTACCCTGTGAGACCCATTTTCGACTTCTGGTCTACAGTACTTTCTGTGTCCTACATCTGTGTTGTTTGAAGCAATTAAGTTTGTGATCTGTTATAGCCACAGTAGATCAAAAACTTAATGGCTTTATACCTGACATCTTACTTTCTGGAGATCTTGCTTCACACTGGCCCCTGCTTTGTCACCCACAGATGGAGCCACCTCTCCCGGCTCGCAGCTGTCGGCTGGATTCAGGTCTCCCCTCCAATAACCCCACTCCACCTGCTGGCTGACCTGCCACTGTCTGGGACCTACCCTCCACCTTCCTCCTCCACGGGGACAACTCCCACACCTCTCAGCTCCAATGCCATCTCCCCTGAGAAGTTGGGCACGTGCCCCTTCAACACCTTCTGAGCACCCTTTTCTGTCCAGTCCCGCTGGGGTGGAATCACATGTTTCTCTGGTCTCTCCATTAGGCAGTGAACTCATTGGATACAGATGATGGCTGATTCATCGCTGTTACTGGTTCTCACCCTGGGGCCTGCACATATCAGAAGCTAAGTCAAAAATTGCTGACTTGGATGGGCCACTAGCCATGAGGGGTGGGCCAGCGAGAAACCCCCAAAGAAAAGCGTGGGGCCTCCCTCTTGATGGCTGGCTGCTCACCCTGAATCTGTTTTCTTTTCTTCCTGGTTTGTGCCTCCCTTGGGCTGTGGGCTGAGTTCTGTGTTCTGGCCCATAAACTGTGGGCAGAAGTGATGGGTTCCCTTTTGGAGCTGAAGCTTTTAAGGAGCAAGTGTGTCCCTTATTTTCTTCCCTTCCTGAGTCTGGAAGAGATGCAAACAAGGCCCCTGTGCTCAAGGGGAGGTGGCTCCCAGGGGTGGAAGCCTGGTGTCTGGCTTACTGTGAAGAGAACCCTCCCACCACCCACGGCTGCAACCGCAGGCTCAAGACCATCAAGTGAAGAAGAAACCAAATTCTGATGTGTTGAGTCCTTATTCATTTTGCAGCTTGCATTACTCTAATCAATACAGGAATTGGCACCTTGAAGCAAGGGTGTTGCCATAACAACCTTAAATACGTGGCATGGCCCCAGGGGGTGGACAGTGAGTAGCGAAGACTGGAGATCCCAGGTGGAAACTGGGGGGACTTGTGTGATGCAGCCACAGTGCATCTGATGAGCCATTCATTGCCTAAAATAATTTGGAAGGAAGACAAAGGCCAGGGAACTGGCAGCTCCAGGGGAAGAGGTAAAAATCCTGACAGCTAGTGTGTGTTTCTGCCCATAGAAACACACACTAGCTTTTGCTGCATTTTGCTGCTTATAGCAAGGTCTTACAAGAAAGACATGAACTCAGGTAAGATTTGTGCAGTCTGCAAGCAAAAATGAAAGAAAATAGTCAGAAAGGTGGGGCCTCTCTGGGTTGGTTGGATTTTTCCAGATTTGGACTATTGCATTGCATGAGCAAGTAATAGACTTCTATTGAGTTTGAGTGTGCATATGCCTCTGGGTCTATTTTTCCGGCAGCTAGCATTGCCCTAACATAGGTGGCTTTGGTAAGTGCCACCTTTGGGTACGGCTAGTACTCTTCACATCCACTTTGGCTCAGTCTCCCATGGCAGGGAGGGGCCACACTGAGCCACCACTCCCTGGATGGCCTGCCCTGGAATCTATGTCATCACTTGCAAGCAGAAGGCTGGGGTCAGAGGGCTGCAGGGTTCCAAATAAGCCCAGGGTCACACAGCTGATGAGCTGGGGGAGCCAACCCATGGCAAGCTTCCCTGGCTCTAGAAACGTGCTATTTAGTCACGTGAGATGTGTAGGGGCCTCCTTTTCACTGGGGCCTGGTGAGTGTGAGTGTGTGCCTGTGTGTGTGTATGGTGGTGGGTGGCAATTGAGTCCTCAGTGACCCCAGTGTTGAGATTCTTTGTAAGTAAAGCACTGCTGGACAGAGGGACTGCAGAGAACAGGTATGCTTGCCCAGAAAAGTCTTTACTGATGGTAAAACTGGGGCTCAGAGAAACAAGGACCTGCTGGAGGTTGCACAGCAGGTGGCTGGCAAGCTGTGATGAACAGCCAGGACTTTGCCCATCTGCAAGGAGGGCCTCCCTCCTTTACTCTTGCTCATTCTGCTCTGTCCTCCCTGAGCCTCGCCTCCCCCAGTGGCTTTCACACACTCTGACGGCAGAATCTTGCCTGCTCCTTCTCATGTCTGTACCTTTCTGAGCTCCATGCTGCAGGGCGGGGCCCAGGGACCAGAACAGGAACCAATGTCATGGGAACTGGAGTCCCAGCCTGGATTTGGTGTATTGAACTGTCATGAATTTGGCTGATCTTTGGCCATCCGGCCTCTCTGCCCACTTCACTGGGGGGACTTGCCCTTCTGAGTTGCATGTGACATTGTCCTAGGGTGTCCATCAAGCTGTCCTGTGCTCTCCAGGCCAGGCCAGGGGATGGCCTGATTGCAGGGGCTCTGCATCATAGAGAGACCACCAGAAGTCATTCATCACAGTAGTGGCAACTTGGCAGAGAGGAAAAGCGCTCTCGGTGTCCTGGTCCCCAGAGCTGCTCTGTTGTTCGCTGAGCTCAGACCTCCAGCTTTCCTTCATTTTTTCTGAGCTACCTGACATCTTTCCCATAAAGTTCACACAAGTCAGTGTTCAGAGCTTGCACCCAAAGACCCCAGATGATGCAGACAGAAACCCAAAAGAATAGTGGAAAAGAATTTCCCGAAGCCATCCTCAAGGCAATGCAGTGTGCAGTTTTTGATCACCTACTGTGAGCTAGCCAGTGAGGTTGCAGAGAGGCAGCAGTCTTTACAGCCTGGAAAAGCTCACATATTGAGGGCAGGGAAAAGAGACACTGGACGAATGGGGGACAGTGCCCAGTGGCCAGGAGTCGAGGCTTGGGGCTCTGCTGTGCCCACTGTCTCCCGTATCATAAACTTTTAACTATGAATTTAATTGGCACCCAAAAAGGTTTGCTCCTATTTCCTCTCATTCCCCTTAAAAAATAAAATCAATAAACCATTCAGGATGTCTTTAATAGAGACTAAATCAGAGTTTTTCATAACCTTGTTATGGGGTTGGCATTTGCAACATTTTACCCCTAAAGCTAAAGTTGGGTTAATATAGCATCATTTGGAAATCAGACAGTGGACTGAATTAACCAATAACCAACCTATGTCTGGCAGTTTATCATTTTCAGGGAACCCTCGCAGGCATCATAGAAGCCCTGCAGGTTAGAGAGTTTGGCTCAAAGAGGGGAGGGAACATGCCTACATTCACACAGCCAGGGTGGAAATGGTAGAGCGGGGCTTGATCCTGGATCTGCCTGACTCCTCAGCTCCACTTTTCTTCTGTTTAATTGAAAGGGGTAGTTGAAACTCTGGAAGCCTAGGAATGCTGGCGCTAGGGGGAGACGATTTCTGCAGGGTTTAGGGAGGGCAGTTTACGCGCAGGTGCTGGCTGGATAGGCATTTGTGGTCCTGCACTGCCCCCTGGTGGATTCCCCGTGCCTGGGCTTCCCCTGGTTTGGAGACTAGCTGGGAGTTGAAGGCTGCTGGCTGTGGGCGGGTTGGAGACCTTCCTGGTGCAAGCAGCTCCTGCTTTGGGACAGCTGAATGTTTAAGCCTGCGAGATCACCTAACAGATGTTCATGTGTTTGCTTATTTGTGGGAAAAGTGTTCATTCATTAATTCACTTCCCTGTATTCTGCAGGTCGCAATGCTGATACTCGGCACTGCCCTGGCCCCCAGCCTCACGGGAGGATCAGATCCACAGAGAGACGCCTACTATGCAGGGAGATAGGATATCCTAAGCTAAGCGCAGGGCGTCCTGGGGAAGAACCCAACCCGGGCAGGAGTGGGGAGCGGTGGGCGGGGCTGGGGAAAGGCTGCCCCGGGAAGGTAAGGGAGGGGAGATGGGACCAGATGGGGGAGGGGAGGCAAATCTGCTTTAAGGCCAATGGCCCGAAGCTTCAGGGACCCTCGTTTTCTAGGACTCTGGACTTCATTGTCCCATTTATCCTTTTGTACTCTTTTTCTTCGGGAGATACACTCCAGCTCATGTAAGCTTCAGGGCTCTACCAAGCCTGGCTCTGCCGCCGGACAGACGGGGATGCATGCGGAGGACGCTGGGCAAGTGCTCCACGGAACCTGCAGGGAGCAGCAGGGGATCAAAAGACAGAGGCAGAGGGCGGGCTGGCGCGGAGGAGACCAGTGGCCTCTGTCCTGAGGGCAGTGGGTCCCACTGGAAGGTTTTGAGCAGGGGTGTGGCCAGGCCCTGTGAGTGAGATAGGTCTCTATAGAACAGGAGCTCGCCCACAGGGGCCCTGGCCTTCCTCCGCCGAACAGTCGTAACGTCTAATTCCAGGGTCTGCAGGGAACTTGCCCGGCCCCAGTTTGTAGAGGAGGGACCACGCTGGCGGTGTAGTGCCCGAGGATGGCTGGTTTTGGGGGCTGTGCGGAGGGAGTAGAGGGGCCTAATGGAGGGCATAGGCAGTGTTGTCAGCCGGGGGCCTCCCCCAGTCCACCCTCATCTTTTCCACCATTACTTAGGAGAACCTGAGTTGTGCACTCTGCAGCTCACCCAGGGCCAGACCAGGCTGGGCTTCCTGGGCCAGAGGTGCTGGGGAGGCCCAAGAGGTGGGAGTGGGCGGGTCCTGCGGGCAGGTTGTGGGATCTAGAGGCTGGAAGTGAACATAGGAATGTAGGGGTGCTCTGAGAGGAGGACTGGCCATTAAGGGGGACCCAGCCCTAGGGTGACAGTGCCCAGTGCAGAGACAGTGCCTGGGGCAGGAAAGGGCAGGGAGAGGGCCAGGACCCAGATGCCAGGGCCGAGGAGCCCATGGCTCATAATGTGGTAATTGCTGGCCCTTAGTAGCCCGGGAGTGAGCCAGGTGGCTTACGAATCTACGGCCAGGGCAGAAATCCAATGGGAGGGGCCATTCTCGGGGCTGGGAAGCTTTATCGCCGGGAGGAGGACTGGTCTATCTCTGACAATCTGGTCTCGGGGACATAGGCCAGACCTCTTGTTCTCTCAAGAACAGGATTCCCACCCTGTCTGCAGCCCCCAGGAGGCAGCAGGAGGCCCCGAAAGGCGGGGAGGAAGCGCGTCTCTGGCCCAGCCTGGTGATTAGGTCCCTCAGTTGCAATTACTTTTGCAATTAGCTCAGCTGGTAATTGGAGCGGGAAGTGGTAATTTCTGTCCTTCATGGAAGCTTCCTTTGAATTGGGCTCTGCTCATCTGTCCAGGATGCAGGGTTGTGATCCTGGAGCACTGTCTCTCAGTGGGAGCTCTGAGTTCACAGCCCTGGGCTTGGCAGGTGATGCATCTGGATTCTGCTAGAGCCCCTGGGGTGGGACATTTTATTTATGGCAAGGAGGTGCTTTGTGGGCTTCACAGGAAAAAGCAAGGCTGCTCTTAAGATTTGTGGAGCTTGGGAGGACCGTATCTCACATATCTAAATACTTACAAGTCAAAAATCAAACAAGCTGTGACAGGCAGCCCCTAAGATGGCCCTAGTGATTTCCACCTCCTGATGTTCCTGCCCTTGTATGACCACCTCCCCTTGAGGGTGGGCTGGCTGGAGACTTGCTTCTAACCAGTAGAATATGACAAAGGTGATCGGGTGTCACTTCCATGAGTAGGTTATAAAAAGTAGTAACTTCTGTTACAATCTTATGATGCCTCTTGGCATGCATGCCTTGATGAACCAAGATTCCTTCTGGCAAGGAACTGAGGCCAGACTGGCTGACAGACAGCCACTGACTGAGTTCAGCCACCAACCCTGCCCTAGCTGGGCCTTCAGATGAGATTGTAGACCCTGGGCTAAGACTTGATTATAGTCTCCCAAGACACTGTGAAGCAGAAAACCCAGCTAAGCAGTTTCCAGACTCCTGATCAGACAAATCGTGAGACAATACATATGTGTCATTTTAAGCTACTAAGTTTTGGGGTCGTTTGTTACACAGCAATAGGTAACTGGTACATAGACACATTATTAAATTAAATAGCTTCTATTTTTTGATCTTGAGAAAGTACACTTTTCAAACTACCTAGAAGGTCAGGTTAATCTGGAAGCTTTGGACTCCTTGGAGTTCCACACCAGAACATGGTATGGGGAGGAGAGCTGAACCTTGGCAGAAGGCCACCCTGCTCTGTCTCTTCCCACCTGGGCTCCATCCCATACACCCCACATCTTCTACATGCCCAAGGGTCAAAACTCCATTCATATCCCCCCATAAGTAGCCACCCTTGGGCCTAGCCATGTTCATGTTCCACCCCTGAGAGGTTGGACGTGGGGACAGGCCTGCACAGGCCCAAGAATTGGGTTTTAGCACCATTTGGCCAAGGAAATCTAGGGCCCCAATTCCTGCAAGTGTGATTTAGAAGGGGGCCGGGGTTGGCTCCAGGTGGCCACATCCTTTCAGCCCCATAGACCCTTGACCCCGTGGGGACCACTGGAGAGACAGGGCCAGGTCTTCCAAAGCAGGGTCCTTCTTGCCTGGGTCTGAGGGGGGTCCTGGGAGGGCTCCTTGTTCTAATCTTCTCAGACAGAGATGAGGTGTCCCCAGGGATATACCAGAAAAGAGGGAGATTCAATAATACTCAGCCCAGGGGCAGGGCTGGGGCCCACATCTCCTCCCTCCTCCCTGTCTTCCACCTTCATTGGGGCCTGATCTGTGCTAAGCACTTGCTAGCAAAGCAGCTGATGGACACAGCCTCTGGCTTCCCAGTTAGTAAGGAAGACATACCTTAGAGCAGAGCCAGTCCTTCTCCCCAAGCAGATTCATTTAATTAGAATGCATTGAACACATATTACAGGCCAGGAGCTGGGTATTAAGCAGGGAGAGATTTATTAGCATAGGTTATTAGAAAGCTCACAGATTGACAGCAGAGCTGGCCTGGCTGGGAGCTGGGGCTGCCCTTGGAAGCCTGTGCACCGGGGTGAGCCAGCTACTGCCAGAGCCCACTGCATTCTGTCCTGCTCGGAGGAGCTTCTTCCTCCCTCCCTTTTTAAAATTGATTTATAATAGATGTACACATTTATGGGGTACATGTGATATTTTGATACATAGGTACAATGTGTGATAATCAAATCAGGGTAACTGAGTATCCATCGCCTCAAATATTTATCTTTTCTTTATGTTGGGAACATTCAAATTCTTCTCTTTTAGTTATTTTGAAATATGCAATACCTTATTGTTAACTCTAGCCACCTTACTAAGTTATCAAACACTAGATCTTCTTCCTCCTGTCAGACTGTATTTTTGTACCCATTAATTAACTTATCTTCATCCTCCCTTCCCCTCCCATTCCCAGCCTCCAGTAACCATCGTTCTACTCTCTGTCTCCATGAGATCCACTTTTTAAGCTCCCATATATGAGTGAGAACATGTGATTTTTGTCTTTCTGTGCCTGGCTTGTTTCACTTGACATGATGACCTCTAGTTCCATTCATATTACAGCAATTTCACTCTTTTTTGTGGCTGAATAATATTCCTTCATGTATTGATATGGTTTGGCTGTGTCCCCACCCAAATCTCATCTTGAATTGTAGCTCCCATAATCTCCACCTATCATGGGAGGGACCCAGTGGGAGGTGATTGAATCATGGGGGTGGGTTTTTCCCATGCTGTTCTCATGATAGTGAGTAAGTCTTATGAGATCTGATGGTTTTATAAAGGGCAGCTCCCCTGCACAGACTCTCTTGCCTGTGACTATGTAAGATGTGACTTTGCTCCTCCTTCGCCTTCCACCATGATGGTGAGGCCTTCCCAACCATGTGGAACTGTGAGTCCATTAAACCTCTTTTTCTTTATAAATTATCCAGTCTTTGGTATTTCTTCATCGCAGTATGAAAATGGACATATATATATATATATATATATATATATATATATATATGACATTTTCTTTATCCATTTATCTGTTGATAGACTCAAACAACTCAATAGCAAAAAGCCCAAAGTATTTGTCTAAAAATGGGCAAAATATTTGAATAAGCATTTCTCAAAAGAATACATACAAATAACCAACAGGTATATGAAAAAATGCTCAATGTCTATCATCAGGGAAATCCACATTGGAACTGAGGAGAGTGGAAATCACCTGGTGACCACTGGATGGGTCCCGGAGACAAAAACTCCTTATCTGAGGAGTTTAGAAGCCAGCAGCGACCACCTGGTGACCATCGAACAGGCCCTCCGGAGGCAAAACTCCCTACATCTGGAGAAAATCAAAAGTAATTAGACTTCCCTAGTATCTAAAGTCAGCGTCTGGTTCCAGGCCTCTTTCAACTTTTATAAGTAACTAAAATTTCTATCCATCTCCGGAATGCCACGCCAAAACTCATTTTACAACCCTAAGCTCCTGCCTTAGGTCCATAAATACCCCTAAGGAAAAATCCACTGTGGCATGCTCAGTCCTCTTGCTGAGGGGCCCCGCTGCACGCTTTTGCAGCATTCTTCCTAAGAAACTTTCCTTTTTCAAACTTATACTATTGTTGGTACTTTTTTTTTTTTTTTTTTTTACAAACCCACGAGTCGATCACTTCCCAGTGCTGGGACTCTGACCTTGCCTGGCAGAAACCACAAGGAGATACCATCTCATCCCAGTCTCAACAAAAAGGCAAAAAATAACGGGTGCTGGTGAGGATGCAGAGAAAAGGGAACGCTTGCACGTTGTTGGTAAGAGTGTAGATTAGTACAGCCACAGTGGAAAATGGTATGGAGGTTCCTCAAAGAACTAAAAATAGGACTATCATATGATCCTGCAATCCCACTGCTCGGAGGAGCTTATTTCTAAATCAAAGTTGCTGGAGTCTTTGATCGGGATATTCTGTCATATGTCTGCACCCTAGGGGTAAAGAAGGCTGAGCAAGGCAGAGGTTTGCATTCTACACTGGGCAGGAGGGCTTTTCAGAATAGAGGAACGGATTTAAACGTGAGAGGGTGTTTCCCCACTAGGGCAGCCCTGATTGACAGCTGCTTGCCATGGCAATAAATACAGGGAATAACAAGGTAGCAGGAATCACCCAGCAGCAATGTACAAAAATGAAACATTTACATTTTCTTCTAATAACATGTCACTTTTGTTTCCTGAGACCACTGGTATGGAAGAATAATGATGGATCTGATCTTGCCAAATAAAGGATTTTTAATCCCTTCCATTTTTAAAAGTCATGTTCTATTAAAATTTGGGGTAAATGTTTAAACAATCCCCAGAAAGACCTCCACGGCCCTTGCTGCTGTTTATAATCTCCAGCCCAGGACTTCCTCCCCCTTCTTACTGGTTTGTCACCTTCCAGTCCTCTAGCTTGCTTTTTACCAAAAAAAAAAAAAAAAAAAAAAAAAAAGTTGATTCCAGAATATGAAAAGAAGACTGCAGGATCAAAGCTAATCAATGTTTCTATGTAACCATATTCTGCAGGCAGTAATGTTATGTCAGCTTGTGAATTGCAATTGAATTTAACACTTGGGAGAGTCATTTCAGGTGGTGTCTGGAAACCTTTTAGTGTGTTACTAAGATGTGGAGTAAGCCCCCCCAGATTAGGGTGTCTGTATAAAAAGGACCTTCATCAAACGTTAAACCACAGGATTTTTTTTTTTTTTTAACCTGGAAACCTTTACTGTTTTGGTGACACGTAGGATAAATTAATTTTTATTTACTTCAGAATTATGGGACCTTGAAAACATATATTTACTAAGTACTAAATAGGTGCTAGATGAATTATATGCATGATCTCATTCAATCCTGACTTGATCCTTGATCCCTTTTTACAGATGGGAAAACCAGGGTACAAATAAAGGAGTAACAGGCCCCCTAAGGTTTCCTTAGAACTTGAACTGGAGCCAGAGGTCATATCTCAGGGTTTTGAGGCCCAGTGAGGAGGGCGGTTTCCCCTTAGCAAAGGCCCTGAGGCCTGCAGTTTGCATATCTGTGTTCTTCTCTTATCTGGGGTCAAAATAGAATTTGGTTTTGTAAACACTAATATGCTGGGCCTGATTATGGTTTCAGAACAGGAGTCTTAATCCCGACCCCATGGCTCTAAGAGCAATTTTGGCCTGGTTGAGAATTTCTTGTGCTTGAAATGTTCTCCATCGCTGGCCAAAATGGATACTTCTACATTAGCCAAATCAGTATTAGGATCTTTCAAGAAATAGTTTGTGACCTGTGGATGTGGAGATACGAAAGCCTCATTGAAACCTGTTCCTCGCCCCTTGGAGTGACCCATGATACCAGCTGGTCAAGGAATTGCTCAAGAGACACCTCAAAACCAGAACACAGGAGAGCTATTCTTTAAACCTAGATTCTTTTTTTTTTTTTTTTTTTTTTTTTTTTTGGTGCTAGGTTCTCACAGCCTGCAGCAAGGATTCAACAAAGCCAAGCTGATTGGCTGGCCGTTGTCTCTAGGATAGCAGAAGGGAATTTCTTTTTTTTTTTTTTTTTATTATTATACTTTTAAGTTTTAGGGTACATGTGCACAATGTGCAGGTTAGTTACATATGTATACATGTGCCATGCTGGTGCGCTGCACCCACTAACTCGTCATCTAGCATTAGGTATATCTCCCAATGCTATCCCTCCCCCCTCCCCCCACCCCACCACAGTCCCCAGAGTGTGATGTTCCCCTTCCTGTGTCCATGTGATCTCATTGTTCAATTCCCACCTATGAGTGAGAATATGCGGTGTTTGGTTTTTTGTTCTTGCGATAGTTTACCGAGAATGATGATTTCCAATTTCATCCATGACCCTACAAAGGACATGAACTCATCATTTTTTATGACTGCATAGTATTCCATGGTGTATATGTGCCACATTTTCTTAATCCAGTCTATCATTGTTGGGCATTTGGGTTGGTTCCAAGTCTTTGCTATTGTGAATAGTGCCACAATAAACATACGTGTGCATGTCTTTATAGCAGCATGATTTATAGTCCTTTGGGTATACACCCAGTAATGGGATGGCTGGGTCAAATGGTATTTCTAGTTCTAGATCCCTGAGGAATCGCCACACTGACTTCCACAATGGTTGAACTAGTTCACAGTCCCACCAACGGTGTAAAAGTGTTCCTGTTTCTCCACATCCTCTCCGGCACCTGTTGTTTCCTGACTTTTTAATGATTGCCATTCTAACTGGTGTGAGATGATATCTCATTGTGGTTTTGATTTGCATTTCTCTGATAGCCAGTGATGGTGAGCATTTTTTCATGTGTTTTTTGGCTGCATAAATGTCTTCTTTTGAGAAGTGTCTGTTCATGTCCTTCGCCCACTTTTTGATGGGGTTGTTTTTTTCTTGTAAATTTGTTTGAGTTCATTGTAGATTCTGGATATTAGCCCTTTGTCAGATGAGTAGGTTGCGAAAATTTTCTCCCATTTTGTAGGTTGCCTGTTCACTCTGATGGTAGTTTCTTTTGCTGTGCAGAAGCTCTTTAGTTGAATTAGATCCCATTTGTCAATTTTGGCTTTTGTTGCCATTGCTTTTGGTGTTTTAGACATGAAGTCCTTGCCCATGCCTATGTCCTGAATGGTAAAGCCTAGGTTTTCTTCTAGGGTTTTTATGGTTTTAGGTCCAACGTTTAAGTCTTTAATCCATCTTGAATTGATTTTTGTATAAGGTGTAAGGAAGGGATCCAGTTTCAGCTTTCTACATATGGCTAGCCAGTTTTCCCAGCACCATTTATTAAATAGGGAATCCTTTCCCCATTGCTTGTTTTTTTCAGGTTTGTCAAAGATCAGATAGTTGTAGATATGCGGCGTTATTTCTGAGGGCTCTGTTCTGTTCCATTGATCTATATCTCTGTTTTGGTACCAGTACCATGCTGTTTTGGTTACTGTAGCCTTGTAGTATAGTTTGAAGTCAGGTAGTGTGATGCCTCCAGCTTTGTTCTTTTGGCTTAGGATTGACTTGGTGATGTGGGCTCTTTTTTGGTTCCATATGAACTTTAAAGTAGTTTTTTCCAATTCTGTGAAGAAAGTCATTGGTAGCTTGATGGGGATGGCATTGAATCTGTAAATTACCTTGGGCAGTATGGCCATTTTCATGATATTGATTCTTCCTACCCATGAGCATGGCATATTCTTCCATTTGTTTGTATCCTCTTTTATTTCCTTGAGCAGTGGTTTGTAGTTCTCCTTGAAGAGGTCCTTCACATCCCTTGTAAGTTGGATTCCTAGGTATTTTATTCTCTTTGAAGCAATTGTGAATGGGAGTTCACTCATGATTTGGCTCTCTGTTTGTCTGTTGTTGGTGTATAAGAATGCTTGTGATTTTTGTACATTGATTTTGTATCCTGAGACTTTGCTGAAGTTGCTTATCAGCTTAAGGAGATTTTGGGCTGAGACAATGGGGTTTTCTAGATATACAATCATGTCGTCTGCAAACAAGGACAATTTGACTTCCTCTTTTCCTAATTGAATACCCTTTATTTCCTTCTCCTGCCTAATTGCCCTGGCCAGAACTTCCAACACTATGTTGAAGAGGAGTGGTGAGAGAGGGCATCCCTGTCTTGTGCCAGTTTTCAAAGGGAATGCTTCCAGTTTTTGCCCATTCAGTATGATATTGGCTGTGGGTTTGTCATAGATAGCTCTTATTATTTTGAAATACGTCCCATCAATACCTAATTTATTGAGAGTTTTTAGCATGAAGCGTTGTTGAATTTTGTCAAGGCCTTTTCTGCATCTATTGAGATAATCATGTGGTTTTTGTCTTTGGTTCTGTTTATATGCTGGATTACATTTATTGATTTGTGTATATTGAACCAGCCTTGCATCCCAGGGATGAAGCCCACTTGATCATGGTGGATAAGCTTTTTGATGTGCTGCTGGATTCGGTTTGCCAGTATTTTATTGAGGATTTTTGTGTCAATGTTCATCAAGGATATTGGTCTAAAATTCTCTTTTTTGGTTGTGTCTCTGCCCGGCTTTGGTATCAGGATGATGCTGGCCTCATAAAATGAGTTAGGGAGGATTCCCTCTTTTTCTATTGATTGGAATAGTTTCAGAAGGAATGGTACCAGTTCCTCCTTGTACCTCTGGTAGAATTCGGCTGTGAATCCATCTGGTCCTGCACTCTTTTTGGTTGGTAAGCTATTGATTATTGCCACAATTTCAGAGCCTGTTATTGGTCTATTCAGAGATTCAACTTCTTCCTGGTTTAGTCTTGGGAGAGTGTATGTGTCGAGGAATTTATCCATTTCTTCTAGATTTTCTAGTTTATTTGCATAGAGGTGTTTGTAGTATTCTCTGATGGTAGTTTGTATTTCTGTGGGATCGGTGGTGATATCCCCTTTATCATTTTTTATTGCGTCTATTTGATTCTTCTCTCTTTTTTTCTTTATTAGTCTTGCTAGCGGTTTATCAATTTTGTTGATCCTTTCAAAAAACCAGCTCCTGGATTCATTAATTTTTTGAAGGGTTTTTTGTGTCTCTATTTCCTTCAGTTCTGCTCTGATTTTAGTTATTTCTTGCCTTCTAGGATAGCAGAAGGGAATTTCTTAGAGCACCCATCTCCTGAAGATTGGCGGGTTGTGTAGAGGGGAGGCAGTCTCTTGCTGCCTGGATGGACAGCTGACTAGCATCAAGAGCCCAATGGCCCTGAGTGTGGGCAAGACACCACATAGCTGGCACAGTATCTTGGTGACAGAGGGAGCCAGGAGAGGAGATGAATTATGCCCACACTCTCCCACCAGATCCTGGGGAGGCAAGGTGGCCTTGGCAGGTGGAGTGGGGTGTCTGTAGTCCTAGATCAATCTCGTCTTGGAAACAGGGCAGATGGAGCTGGTTGATGCCCTTGCATCATTTTCATTTCATATTAAGTAAAAATGATGCACAGAACATGCCTTCTGCCTTTGTCCTGAAGAACTCCCATCAGACATTGTAACCACTCAGAATATCCTATATTAAAGATAATTTTTATGTGATTATGAATTGAGCTGAGCTATGGCTGACAAGCTATACTTTGTAGACATCTAAAATATTGCATTTTAGCCCGGGAGTGGTGGCTCAAGCCTGTAATCCTAGCACTCTGGGAGGCTGAGGTGGGCAGATCACTTGAGGTCAGGAGTTAGAGACCAGCCTGGCCAACATGGTGAAAGCCCATCTCTACTAAAAATACAAAAAAGTTAGCCAGGTGTGGTGGTGGGTGCCTGTAATCCCAGCTACTCAGGAGACTGAGGCAGGAGAATTGCTTGAGCCGGGGAGGCGTAGGTTGCGGTGAGCCGAGATCGCGCCATTGCATTCCAGCCTGGGCTAGAGAGCGAGACTTCGTCTCAAAAAAATAAATAAATAAAAATAAAATAATGCATTTTGTAGATTTTAATCAAATGTAGACTCATTTTAAATTTGCATTTTTCTTTTCATACTTTAAAGGCTCTGTTTTCTTTTCTTTTCGGGTCCCAAATATCTTTGGAAGCTTCTGAAAAGCTTGTGCTTATAACGTGTAATGGATAAAATGGCCCTGCCAGCAGGGGGCGTCCCTGCCCACTGGCTGCGGTTAGAACCCAAGATTTCATCAAAGTATAATGTTCAAAAGACACACATGACTCATACAAATGTATAGTCAACACGAGACACAGAATAATTTAACTCATTAATGAAAGACCAAGGAGGATGGTAGTTGGAGCTGGTTCAAATAAGAATCTGAGAAACAGCCATAGACCATCCCTGAAAGAATGTCTTGGGATAGGATTGCTGAGTTAGACACAAACAGGGTAATGTCCTACAGGACAATAAACTATAACCTTTGGTGTAATCTTTCCCACTATACAGAAATCATTTGCATTTCTAATGGGCCAAAAGGAAGCTATTTGCAACTTAATCTTCTACAAGTTAACGTGTAACTTTGCAGAGTCTGGGCCCTAATCAATAGTAAACAGTAAGTCAAACACTGGCACATTCCCCTGGAGAATCAGATAGTCCTGGGCGGGCCTGCTAGATAGGTCCCCCTATGTGACACTCACAGGAGATGCTGTCACCTTTTAGCTTTATTCCCAAGTTTTGGGTAAAAGTTCTTAACAATAGAAACGGGGAGAAAAGGGCTTTTCTGGGGCAAGTCTTTGCTGGGGTCAAGGCTCCCGGGGAAGTAAATGGTTTGGCATTTCTTCAGATCTACATCTTTCAATCTTTGTTCAATATTAATCTAGCTGGGTCAGGGAAAAACTGATTTTTCTGTTAACAAAAGCTATATACAGAAACAAAGTCACTTACCTGTTTATTTCCATGGTCACAGTGGAGTCAGTACTCAGAAAATACTCAGCAAAACATTTCATTTTGTTTTGGTTTTTGTTCCTTCCCTAGTTTCATTTGGGGATTATCCAAAAATCAGTTAGTGGAAACACAGGAAAGAGTTTTAGCTCTAGACAATGCATTATTTTTTACTGGTAAGCAGCCCAATGGCGTGAACTACTGTGTTCCTGCATTTCAGCAGAGGACACTGGGTGCCAAGCTCTCTCTGATAGCCCGTGTGTGGCACAATGTCCAGAGTGGGCAAATTCACAGAGACAGAAAGTAGATTCATGGTTGTCAGGGGCTGAGGAGTCATTGCTAATGGGTGTGGGGTTTCTTTTGGGGATAATAAAAAATTTCGCAAAGTTGCAAAATTTAGCAGTGATGGTTGCACAATTTTGTGAATATACTAAATACACTAAGTTGTACACTTTAAAAGACAAATTTTATGGTATGTGAATTATATCTCAATCAAAAAAACACTCCAGAACAGGATCAACACAACAAGGGATTTTGGAAAATTCCCTAAAGGGCCAAGTGTGGGGATCAATGCACATTTCTCCAGCTATGAGAGAAGAATTATCCTGGAAACTGGAGTTAGCACATTTGTGGTTTATTTCCATGATGTTTCAGGGTTCCCCGCCATCTAGCTGGCTCACACTCTAACTCAGCTTGGGCCGGTCCTGTCTTTAGTGACATGTTCCAGAGGAGACAGTTTCCAAGAACTGAGAGGGTCCTCTCCCCTCTACCTCTCATACACAATACATGTCTAAAAGATTTAAAATCATTTGAACACCTGCTTAGATCCACCCAGTGCTTTAGCATTTTATGCTTCCTGAGACCTAAATCTTCAAATTGGACATTTCTATAGTATTGTTCCTGGCATTGGAAGGAGTCACAGCCACAAGGAAAATCCACCTCAAATAATGTTGTTATTATGTATCAAATGCTTTTATTCATCATCTCTTAATCCTCACCACAACATGTAAGGTAGATTTTATTAAACTTGTGTAAACAAAATGGCATCTGTGGCCTCCTGTTGCCTTGAGATCTGGACAAGGTTGGTTTGATCTCACTCATTCACTACCCTCTAGGAAGACCACAGCCTTCCCAAGATTAGTGACTTCCCAAAGTATCCAGAGTCTCCTGTTTTTTCTCTGGCTCTGGAAGCCTGCCTCCTCTAGGGTCCCTTCTGTTGTGGCCTATGTGGGCCCAGATGCCAAACTCCACCCGCTTCCCAGATTCCACCCCCACTACCAAAGCCAAAATACTCATGAGTGCAATGGTCTCTCCTGGAGATCTTTGTGTAGGAGGAGAGGTGGAGAAGGGTTTACACCATATCAGTGTGTACAACTATAAAATGAACATGAGGCATTCACTTTTCTTCTAAGTGTCATTTTGGGAATGTACATGGTTAACTTCATTCTGTCTCCATCTTAGCGACTTTTATCGCTTTTCTCTTTGCTCATCCCTCCTCCTCACCACCTGCCACCCCAGACTGTACCTCACGAACTCCAAATTCTTCTCCCACTATTATGCAGATAAATGCATTTTCAGATTCATCCAGGTGCTCAACAGAACAAAGGGAACCTAGTTAACAATAAGGGGCTTTCTTTGGAAAAGGTGGTTTGGGTTATAAATAGCACAAAGAAAATGTCCCCAGTACCACCATGTCACAGATGAGAGAATGAGACTCAGGGGCCTGTGTCAGTCACCTAGATTTCCCTCTCTGGCTCAGGCTTTAGATCAGATGACTGCTCGGTCCCTGGGAGAAGATCTTGGAGTCAACTCAGAATGAGCTCTGTCCCTAAGTCTCTAAGAGAGGTTCAATTTCAATGCCCAGAGCAGCCCTGCCTTGGCACTCAAATCCTGGACTGAGCTCCAAGGTTGGTGGAGGACCTCCGTTGCTTTGGGGAGGGGGCCGCCTGCAAGGTCTTGACATTTGGAAGGCTCAGAATTGACAAGTCAAGAATGTACCGTTTAGAGTTGGGTGTGTACATCTCATGGGTGGCAACTGCATCCATGTGGGATCAGGGAAGGCTGCATAGGCTAGATCAGGCAGGGCTGTGAATGTCAAGCCAAGGAGCCAGCTCTGCATTCAAAGGTAATGAAAGCTACAAAGGCATTTAAGCAGAATAACACTCAATGACTTGCACTTTGGCAGTAGCAGCAGCTGATGCTTATTGAGCACATGACATTGTCTAAGCTCTTTGGTTGCATTGTACCAAGCCCTTTGCAGGCATGACATCCTTTGAAACCTTCCAACAACTCTGTAAGATACCACCAATTTTCCCCATTGGTGGATGAGGGAATTGGATTGTGACTTGTTCCCTCAGCTGGAATTCAAAGCCAGTCAGATAGCATGACCTGCTGGCTCTGAGATGCCCTTGGGGACACAGGGAGGTGTCCATACACACTGGACGAGGAGGGAATGAGGACCGGAAGGCTAGTGGGGAGTCCAAGAAAGGTACGGCGAGGCCTGACCTAGGGCAGTGGTGATGAAGATGGGAGGAGCGGGCCCACCGAAGACCCTTTCTGAGGTCCAAAGGCTCTTGGGATCTCTCTCAAGCACTGCAGAGAAACCCTGGTCAAGACAGAGGCAATTCCCAATCTCTCTGTATTTCTTTTCCTTTGAGGTCTCCCTGCTCTCTCCAGTTCCCCTGGAGGAGCGGAGGGAAGTGTGTGTGCAGTGTTGTCATGGCAGAGGGAAATGGAGGAGGCATCCTTGGCGGTGTGTGCTCTGGGCAGGGGCCACACCCCACCCCTACCTTCTCCTCTAGGGGCTCCCCCAGAGTAACAGGGCAGTTCTGTTCCTGAGTCCACAAACTGGTAGTATTCTGGTCAAACATGGCCTGGAAAAAGGCTTGGTTGCTTCAGTATATCATTTTTTTTAAAATTACCAACTTTTCAAAGAGAGATTTATCTAATTTGCCCTCCTCCTCTCCCTTCTTTCCTCTGTCCCTCCCTTCCACCTATCCACTTACTTTAACAGGTATACAGCATTTACGATGCCCCCAGCATCCTTCTTAGAGCTTTACAAATATTAACCCATCTAATATTCCTAATAAATATCCAAATTTATGTCTTCTCCTGAAAAATAGACTCTGGGACCACAGTCCCAGGTGGCAGCGTCATCGTCTAGCAGAGTTGCTGTGGTCCCTTTTGGCCAAGGTCGTATAAACATGCGTGCAATTGGCATGGCTGCGGTGGAGATCAACAGCAGAGACATTGGTTGTAAATTGCCAGGGAGCCTCTTCTATTTGTCTTAAGCCAGTGAGCTTTGGTGGCCCCTGAAGGCATCTGAGTTGGACCCTCTGGGATGTCTGTGATGTGTCTCTTGGACAGAGGGATGTGCCAAGGGAGGAAGTAATGAATTATTCTAGGAACAGGGACAGGGATCACTTTGAAATGGAGGTGCGGCCCAAGCTGGGACTTGAAGGATGCCTGGGAAGGGAATTCTGCTGCGGACATGACCATGGAGTGAGAGCATGCACAAGAGGCTGGGTCCTGGGGCAAGAGGGGAAGGGGAGAGTGCAGCAAAGGGGGAGGGCTGTGAGTGAGCCCGGACCGTTAGGCAGAGCCAGACCATGTGGGGTGAGGCAGTGGTGGTGGGGGTGGAACACTGAGGGGCCCACAGCCAGGCAGTGCCAAGGCCCAGATTTGAGTCTTAGAGATCTCACTGTGGGGCAGGGTAGAAAATCACTGTGGTGTATGTAGGAGACTGAAGGCAGCTTCACTAATGAGGAGCTTTAAAGAACTCATTTCCAGTCAGTTGGGGGACCCTGTCTCCATCCTGAGACCCCTGCTCTGCAGGGCTCTGGCATCAGGCAGATTTCAGGTCATATCTGGCCTGGCTTCTGTGGCGGATTAGATAGTCATTCACCCCTCACCTCAGTTCCACTGGAGAGAGAAGGGGTGGATTTACTTGCTCCATCCATGGCTTGGCCATGGGACTTGCTCTGGCTCATGGTGTGTTTGCAGAAGAGAGGCCCAGAAACTTGAAATGCATATGTGTTGCTGGGCTTGTCTCTTATGTTCCTGCCGTTTCCCAGAGAAGAACATGCCTGGGTGGCCCTGCTGGTCCCAGGAGAGCATGGGAGACACCTGAAGCAATGCTGAACCATCCCAGCAGAGCCCATCCTAGATTAGCTGCCTACAGATGAATGAGCTAAATAAATATTTACTGCCACATGCCGAGAGATATTGTGGATGTTTGTTACACAGCACTCCTGTGGCCACTCTTAGCTGATACAGCCTCTAAGAGCTGGGTGACTCGGGCAGGGCTGGCTTCCTCCACAGAGATCCAAGGAGGAAGGCAGGACTTGGTAGAGCTCATGAAGAGCCTGGGGTGAGCCTCAGGAGAAGTCTGAGTATTTCTTCTACCTACCTTTTCTGTCCTGCACTGGAAGTAGGGCATCTCTAGGAGGACTAGAAGGACTAGAAGGCACAGGTGGGATGTTGAGGCTGTAAAGAGACAATTTCTTCCCAGTGTTGCTGGTGGGAGTGTGAACATGCTTTGCCTCTCTGGAGGGCTGTTAGGCAGCATGTATACTCCACATCCAGAAAAACACTTGCAGGTACACTTATGCTAAACACACACACACACACACACACACACAACCAAAAAAACTGCACTTGCACACGTGCATGAGATGATCAGCATATCACTGTTTAAACAGCCAACAAAAGAGAAATAAATGTCTGTGGCTAGGAAGACAGCTAAACTGTGGGGTACCTACCAATACCAATAGCACGGAACACCTTCCCATGGCTAAAAATAATGAGGAAGATCTTTATGTGCTAGCATGGTTGAAACTTGAAGACATACTGTTGAGTTTGGTTCCTTAGGTGCAGTATAACTTTTCTGTTAAAAAAACAAAATAAATAAAACTGATCCAAATACCATACAGCAGACTAGGATAACAGTGGTTGCATGCAAAGAAATTGCTAGGGAAAAAAGATTGTTGGCAGGGGGTCAAATAAACTCTACTTTTCTCTGTAATGTTTCCATTTTAAAAAGAGATTGTATGTCTATTATCAGTTATGTCCTTAACAATTAATTTCAAGATAAATGTATAAAGAAAAGACTTGGACTTTGGAGACAAGCGAATCTGGCTGGAGCCCCAGCTATGCTGCTTGTTCGGGTTGTTAATTTTGGAGTTGTTAACAGCTCATGGGGATGCTAATCTCTACCTGGGATGGCTGGTCGCAGAAGAGACGAGCTGGTGGCTGCAGAAGGGCTGACATCATGTCTGGGTACAGGAAGGGGCTCGTAAAAGTCAGTGGAAAGTGACAGATGGTTTATCTGGGAGCCACGTGGTCCAGACTGCGTCCCTTTGGGGCCCTATTTCCCCGAGAGTCCTGCCAGGCCCACCAGATGCACGAGAACTCTGGCAATGCCCCAAATGGCCCCGGTGGTGAGGGCCAAGATCAGGCCAGACCAGTGCAGCAGCTTGCCCAGTGGCATCTCAGGACGTGAGAAGCACTTTGTGCTCTGTGACCTTGAATGAGGAGGTCAGGGACACGGCACTGACTTCTGCAAAGACCTCCGAAACATTGAGTTATGAGCCCTGAGGTCTGTTGACAGTTGGGGCAGTGGGGGTGGCGGGGCTCCTTCCATTCACCCTGCAGGCTTGAGGGTCCTGAATTCTCACTGGATGCTTGGAATTCCGGTGGCAAATGTGTGTCCCCAGCGATGCTTTCCTGCTTGTGTGACATGGGGAGAGCCACCTGAACTCTCTGAGCTCCATTCCCTCATCTGGACAATGCGGATGATGAACTCTCCCTCGACAGTAGTCTTGATGGCCACACCAAGCACGGGGAATTTCCGGGTGCTTTGCTGGGGCTCACAGCAAAGTCACTGTGAGTAGAATGGGATTCTCCATCCCACCCAGCTCAGCTGGGATGGGATTCCAAACCATCCCTCAATCTGGCTACCGAGCAACTCACCCACCTTGCATCTAAACTGGGTTTAAACACCACCCGAACCAGGGTACTCAGGAGCCTTTTCCTCTAGAACCTCACGGCTCTTGGGTCCACTTCCTCCCACACTCGAGCACTGCGCCTCCCTCCCAGCCGCAGCCACCCCACTTTCCACACAGCTCATTTCTTCCCTCATTCCCTTGTAACGTTTTGGTGCATGCCCATCTTTCAGGTGGGCACGAGCTTTGATTCCTTTGGGTTCCCAGATGTAGCTTGAGGTCTGCAGTGAGCAGATGCTCATAGAATGTTCCTGTCCACCCCCACCTGCTGCAGGGGACTCACGATCTGCCCCCGATCCTCCCCCTGATCTATTTTCTCCACTGGAGCCTGAATACTCTTTTCATAACACAGACCGCATCATTTTAGCCCCCTCTGCTGAAAACCTTTCAAAGCCTTCCCGTGACTCATGGGAGGAGACACAATTCCTGATGTGGTCGCCAAGCCTCCAGTCTGCCCATGGGGCCTGTTTGGGGCTCACATCCCCTAGTCTTAGTAGTTTCCCAAAGACTCTCTGGTCTCCTTCCCCCTCTGCAACCCCATTCCCCTTTGCCTAGTTAACGATCACAGTTTTTGCTTCTCCGATTCCCACTGGTGGCATCTGAGCCTGCCGGCACAGGATTCTGGACGTTGTAGTTCCCAGGCCCCAGTCCTGGCTGCTTGACTGTAAAGAGCCCCGATATTCATCACCCCCGTGGCTGTCGCTCAGGGGTTAGCAGTTCAGTTCAGGACTGCTTAGCATCATCTGCCAACCCGATTTACTACCTTCACCTTTCCCAAGTCTTCCAGCTTTGTCTTTTCTCCCCTGAAATATATATTAAACTCATTTTCAGCCGAGCAGTTCCTGTAAGCTTTGATTTACACACAATCTCTTCTCTGCTTCTTGTGAAAATTTGTCAAGGTGTGTCTTAGTGGGTTCTTCTGGAGGGTTGGAAGCTCAGAATTTCACAACCTCTAGCTTCCTCCTACCATGCCAGGGAGCACGGCTCACGGCTGACATTGCGGTGATCAAACATCATCCTCAACTCCGGCCTGCCCCCTTCCTTCCTCCTCAAAACCCTTTTGTTGGTAGCTCTGGGATTCATTCCTTGCACAAAATCCATGCATTTTCTCTTGACCTGGTTTTTACTTGTGCCTCATCCACCCACTCTCTATTGTGGGCTTGTTTGATTGGCAAGTTTTCTATTTTAAAGATACCTGTTTCTCCCACGTAAAAAAGGTGTCTTTGCATCTGACAGTTTCAGAATTATTCCACTCCAGGAACACTTACCAAGCTTCTCCCAACTACCTGGGTCTCCAGGTCCTTCTGATCAGCCAGCCCTTCCCTCATTTCTGGTGTGGCTCTTTAAGATGAAACTAGCTTCTGGAAAACGTCTTTACTTTTTGAGGCAATTTTTAATTTGGCCTTTACCCCAGCATTTTATCATGACTCTTTTTCTAAATCAAGACACCGTATGATGAAGTTTGGGAAGCATTTCCTCACCAGGAAGTTAAAAAATAAAACCGTGAGGCAGCATCTGTTTCGATAGTTTTATTGGAACACGATGGTAACACAAACATGGATTTGGGGTCCCACCACAGATGTTCCTCCTCCAGGCAGCATGCACCCCACTTCTGCAGCCAGCAGAGGCTCCAGGAGGCCTGCAGAAGGTGGAGGCAGCCCAGAGACAGACGTGGAGGCGTCTTCTGCAGTGGCGGGTGGTGCGTGGGCCCCTCGGGCCAGAGCTCTGACCAGCTGAGTCTGTGAACAGCCAGACTGGTTTGTTTTCACTTGAGGTCATGTGGCCGTGACTGAGAGACCTGCCTGCCTCAGACTCCTGGGAAAACTTCCAAGGAGGGGGATTCTGGGGATTCCAGAAGGAATTCAGCCAAGAGACTAAGCACCTCTGGGGGGATCACCAGGGCAAATCATGCCTTTAGGTTTATTGGCAGATACACTGCTGAAAGCATCTGTTTTGGCCACTCTCTGCACTCTCTTTTCTCTGATCATTCATCCAACACATATTTATTAAGCTCCTACCATGTGACAAACTCTCCTCTAGGGGTTAGACAGACAACGGTCACCAGAAACAGACAGGACCCACAGCCTGGTGAGGAGGAGAGACAGACAACGTTCAAGGAATCACGCAAACAGCCATGCCAGTGCCTTCCAAGGAGAGCTCTGAGGGGTGTGGCAGGGGGCCTGGTTTGGTGTGGAGGGTCAAGGAAGACTTCCTCAAGGAAGTGACATTTCAGGGCACTAAAATGAGCAGGAGGAGCCTTTCCTCACGGAAACAGCTTTGAGCATGGAATGGGCAGAGTGAGTTAATCAAACTAAAAGGAAAAGAACAGCAGGGCCAGAGTGAAGTGACGGAGGAGGCCTGGCGCAGGGGGAGGCTGGAGAGGGCCCAGCAGGGTCCCAGCACACAGGGCCTGAGGGCTGGGCTGAAGATGGTTTTATCTACCTGTGTGGCATGACCTGGGTTGCATCTGGCATGGCCCACTCTGGCTGTCAGGTAGGGGGTGGACTGGGTGGGGGCGAGAGTGCTGAGAAGAGGTGTTCCAACTGTCCTGATGGAGACAATGGTGGTCGGATGGAGTGACACAGAGTAGATGGGGAGAAGCCAGCAGACAGTGGAGCCAGGGCTCCATGAGGACTGAGGCAAACGGAGGTGGCAAGGTGGACCCTCAGCCTGTGAAGCCCGGGCAGGCTTTGGTCTGAGAAAGGGACCTGGGGAGCAGAGCAGGTGCAGGGAGAAGGCAGGCACGCAGCTGCAGGCACGCAGCTGCAGACACGCTGAGGGAGAGCGCCTCTGAAACTCCCAGGTGGAGGTGTTGCGGAGGCGGCAGTGGGTCTCAAGCTCCCGGAAGGAGCCAAGCCTGCAGTTATAAATCTGTGAGTGATTTCATAACCAAACCTCGTGCCTTGTAACTGGAGTTGTGGGTGCAGACGAGGTCACAGGAGGAGAGATGCTGAGTGAGAAGAGAGGACTCTGGACTGAGACTGAGGAACAGCCACATCTGATGGCAGGTAGAGGACAATGAGTTGCAAAAGGGACAGAAAAGGGAGGTCGGGGATGTCAGGGAGGGGGAAGATCATGAAGCATCTTGGAAACCAAGGAAGATTGAGTGTCAGGGGCCAGCCAGGAGATGCCACTGAGAAGCCCTGGGGGTAGAAGTCCCTCCACAGCCCCCTCTCTCTGGGGCTGGCACTACCCTATCTCTTTGAGTCTCTTTATGGATCCTGTAAATAGGAACAGGGGGCCTACCCTCTTGGACAGGGGAATCAAAAGCTGCTTAGAGTGGTCAGGAGACGTGCCCAAGGTCATACGGCCACCAGAGAGTGCTGGGGGCCAACTCCCCCATTCACAACCATTACAGTCCCTCAAGATCCATCCCTCCCTCCATGATGCCTGGCTGCAGACACTCTCTCCAGCAAGTCCACCGCATACCACTTCTTGATGACAAGCACCAGAGAGGGTCATACTGTAGCAGGAAGGGACCCCCAGAGCCTGGGGGTCTAAGCCTTGCTAGGAGGAAGGTGGCTGAGTCAAGGAAATATTTGCCTTCTCTCCTGAGAGGTGGTGTAGTGCAGTGTCAGTAGTGTGGGCTTGAGGCCTGGCTTTTCACCCGTTCTCTCATTCATTCACCCATTCAACACATATTTTTGTGTGCCTCCTATGTGCTAGGCACACTTTCTAGGTGCTGAGTGGCCTTGGGCAGGTCCCTTACTTCTCTGAGCCTCAGTTTCCATCTCTGTAAAGTCGGGGTGTGATTCTTGCTCTAAACTCATGTTGCTATAAGGGTTACGAGAGCTCATGCCAGGGAAGCACCTGGTACACAGTAGGTGCTCATGAAAAGCTATTTCCTTCCTTTCTCTGTCTTTTCCTTTCCTTTCCTTCATCCTGCAGAACCCATGAGGGAGTGAGAGGCCAATGCTTTCTTCAATACCCTCTGCCTTGCTCAGAGGTCATGCACGTCCCTACACGTATGCACCCATGCACACACATGTGCACGCATCCCCGTCTGTCCCACCGTCTCTGCTCATGACTCCCAGGGCCAGCACCAACGTGAGCTTTGAACCCATGGGATTCAGCCCACTCGGGCCCAGAGGAGTCTTGCGTGCCTGTCTGGGAATGCTGAGCACAGAATAGGCTGTTCCGCCCTAGGCCTGAGGACCCCACACCCAGCTGTGTGTTCTGGGAGCCCCCAGATTCAGTCCAGGGTGAGTCCTTGGTGGCTTTGGAGACTGGGTCCTTAGGAGCTCCAGGAGTCACATCTTGGGGACCGGGAGCGGTATCTTCAGTGTCCTGGGGCTAGGTCTAGACAGCCTCAGAGGGCAGCGTCCTCACCGCTTTCTGGGGAGGTCTCTTCTGTGGCTCCTCAGACAGTGGCTCCCCCGATAGCTCCTCCGAGGGGCCTCCCATGTGTCTCTGAAGGAACCTGAGCCCCCACAGGCTCTTGCAGCAGCTCAGGAGGTTGCTGGAGCACGTAGTGCAGGACAGTGCTGGCTTCCTGAGGAGACACAAGCACATGCCAGGCTGAGGTGGCCACAGAGCAAGGCGGGGGCAGACCAGGTTTAGCCTCTCAATTTTGCTTCTACTAAGCCAGGGCCTGGGGAGGGTGGGATGGGGTGGGGAGGGGAGGGGAACCGCCCTTTGCCACCCAGAGCAGCCTATAGGCAACAAAGACTTCTTCCCTCAACCCACAAGAAGGAGTATTCAGGAGACTTGCTTTGAAATCCTAACTCTGTTTCTAACATGTTGTGTGCCTGTGGTCAATTTACTTACTGTCTCTGGACTTCAAATGAAGATAAAAATATCCAATTCACGATTTTTGTTTTGTTTTTGTGTTTGTGGTTTTTGAGACAGGGTCTTGTTCTGTTGCCCAGGCTGGAGGGCAGTGGCGTGATCATAGCCCACTGCAACCTCTAACTCCTGGGCTCAAGGGATCCTCCCACCTCAGCCTCCCGAGTAGCTGACACTATAGGTGCGTGCCACTATGCCTGGCTAGTTTTTTAAAATTGCCTTTTTTATAGAGGTGGGTTGTCACTCTGTTTCCTGGGCTGGTCTTGAACTCCTGGGCTCAAGTGATCCTCCTGCCTCGGCCTCCCAAAGTGCTGGGATGACAGGCATGAGCCACTGCTTGCAGCCCTCACTTTTCCTACTCCTGAAAGAATTCAGTGTTACAGAATACATATAAAAGTAAGCACACACAGGCTGTCTGGTAGTAGGAGCCCCGTCAAAGTGTGCCATTTCCGAATCTTAGTGAGATGATTCCTGAGCATCTGCAGCATGCCCCGAGTTGGGGAAGAAGTTTGGGAGAAGTCTGAGTTACTCCATCTGGCATTCAAATCAGCTGTGAACACCTCGGCCACCAAGGGAATCAAGCGTACTGCTCCCTCCCCCTTCCACATAGAGAGAGGGAAGGGAACCGTCATGCCTTTAGCGTCCACCTGATGATAGCTGTGGGTTTGGAGGCCTGACTTTGTAAAGCTTTGTGAACAAGGACATAGCTGACATCTGCGCTTCCTTCCATGTGAGGGCATGTGCCGGCCAGGCCATTGCAGAAGGCCTGGGTGTGGCCCTTCCTCCCTGAACACCCCACCTGCACCTGGGCCTCAAGGTCATCCCTCTGGCATTTCAGAGCCTGTGGGCGTCCTTTACCATGTTAGCAGTGTACATATTTGACCAAGCAGGCAGGTATTTGCCCTTGCATTAACATTCCAGATGCAGCCTGTGGCTCTGAGAAGGCAACTCTCATTGCACTCGGTGAAATTATCAAAGAACAGCTAGCTCTAGGCTAGGAAATAACCACCTCCCTTCTTCTAAGGGGCCTAAAAATCCCTAAAAATAATGCTATTTTGGAAATACCGCATGTTCATAGTAACAAATTCAGACCATAGAGATTAACTAAAAAGAAAATAAACATCTCAATTCTTCCTCTATTCAGTCATATCTCTTTGTTACATGTCAATTTACTCATTAAATATTTTTAAATGAAATGCATTAAGCATCCAAAGAGACGCTATATAAAACACATATACATGGCTTAAGGACTATTGAAAAGCATACCAGTGGAACCACCTGTCAGATTAGGAAACTGAACTTTTCCAGCCCCTGATTTCTTTCAGCAAATATTTCTGTATCCCTAAACAATCTATCGTGTTGTTCTACCTGTATTTCACTTGTAGGTATATAAAATCGTGTTTTATGATCTTTTCTCTGTAGCTAACCTTTTGTTATTGTTTAACATTATATTGTTGATAGGTATAGCTGTAGCTCATTTTCACAGTTTTAAAGTACTTCAGGGCCAGGAGCAGTGGTTCATGCCTGTAATCCTAGCACTTCGGGAGGCCAAGGCAGGCCGATCACTTGAGCTCAGGAGTTTGAGACCAGACTGGGCAACATGGCAAAACCTGGGCAACATGGTGAAACCTTGTCTTTACAAAAAAAATACAAAAATTAGCCGGGCCTGGTGGCATGCACCTATAGTCCCAGCTACTTGGGAGGCTGAAGCAGGAGGATCGCTTGAACCTGGGAGGCTGAGGCTGCAGTGAGCTGAGATTGTGCCACTGCACTCCAGCCTGGGGGACAAAGTGAGACCCTGTCTCAAAAAAAAAAAAAAGTCTACTCTGGGCACACTACCTGTAGGGGTAGGTAGTCCTGCTCCATAAGAAGCAGTTAAAAAACAAACACACAAACAAACAAAAGATTGGGCATAAGTTGATAACTATTTACATCTGTGTGAGGGGTTCAGGGAGCCTTACTATGTATATGTTTAAAATGTGCCATAATTTTTTAAAAAAAGGTATTTCATTGTATGAATAGACTTCAATTTATTTATGCATTTATCTGTTGAAGGACATCTGGATTGTTTCGAGTTTTTTACCATTACAAGAAATGCTGCTTAGGACTTCACTGGACCTGTCCCCCGGTGTATAGGTATTTGAGTGCTAGTTGAATTCTCTATCCTTTTCCACTGGTCTATTTGTCTATTCTTGCAGCATTACCACCAAGGACTTAATTGCTATATCTTATTTTTTCCTGTTTGGAAAAGACTTGGCTATTCCTGAGCCTATTCTCAACCATACAGATTTTAGAATCAGCTTGTCCATTTCTATGAGAACACTGTTTGGATTAATGGGAATTGTTCTGAACATACAGATTAATTTGGCAAGGAGAAACATCTTTATAATATTGAGTCTTTTCCTCCAGGATCTATGAGTCATTTGAATTAATGTTAGGGTATAACAAGGGTATTGCACATAAGATCAGTATACAAAATTCAGTTGCACATATGGAGTCCAATTCTCTATGTATCAGAAAGAGGTAGCAAGAAAATGCAATTTATAAAAGGATACCACACTTACAACAACAACCAAAATCACAAGGCACCCAGGTACTCATCTAACAAAAGACATACTAGATTTTTATGAAGAAAAGTATATAATCATTGAAAGATTTATTTAGCTCTTCTTCAATGTCTAATTTTCTGATTGTTCTTATAAGTGGTAGTTTTCAAAAGTTGACAATGTACGTTGATTTTATGTCTGGCAATGCTGCTCAACTTTCTCATTCATGACAACAATTTGTAGATACTTTTTGGTTTCTGTATAGAGGATGGTTATTAGCTGTGAATAGTAATAGTTTTGTTTTCTCCCCCTTATTTTTTTAAATTTATTTTTCTTGTCTTACTGGACTGATCTCCGGTAATATGTTGAATAGAAGTGTGATGGCCAGCTCTGCTCCTTATTTTAGAAGTGGTTTGTTAGTGTTTCCTCAGGTTAAGGAAGTTTCCTTCCATTCAGAATGTGCTCAGAGATTTTGTTTTGTGTTTCAAATCGTGAATAAATGCTTAAACTTACTCAGTGTTTTTTTTTCTGCTTCGATTGATATAATATTCACAGAGTTTTTTCTTCTTTAATTTGTTGATGAGCTGAATTACATTAGTAACATTTCTAATATTAAAGCAACCTTCTATTTCTGTATAAATCTAACTTGGTCATGAGGAATTATATTTTTCTTTTAAAATATTGCATGATTATGTTTTCTAATGCTCTGAAATTTTTGTAAGTATGTTCATGTTTCTGATTAGCTTGTAATTTCCTTTTTGATACTTATTTTTGAATCTGCTCTCATAAAATAAATAGGAGAGTTTCTCTCTTTTTCTCTCCTCTGAGAGAGTTTATATAGGACTGCACAGTGATCTCTTTTCTTTGAGTGTCTGGTAGAACTCATTTGCAAAACCAAATACTATTGGTGTTTTATTCATATTATGTATTTATTTTTAAAATATGGAATTCTCATGAATTTGCATGTCATACTTGCACAGGAGCCATGCTAATCTTTTCTGTATGGCTCCAGTTTTAGTGTATGAGCTGCCAAAGTGAGCCTGCCATTTTATTTATTTTTAATGGTTATATGGCAATTCAGGTTTTCTATTTCTTCCCAAGTCAGTTTTGGCAAGTTCTGTTTACTTATTCACTTCACCTTAGTTTTTTCTTGTTTTGGGCATAAAATTGATCATAATGTTCTTATTATCTTTTTTGATCTCTGCAACATCTGTATTAATATCTCCCCTTTATTATTCATAGTCTTTACTTATGTTTTTTATTCTGTTATCTTAACAAGTTTTGCCAGAACTCTTTAAAGTACTAAAGTTTGGTTTTGTTGCTCTTCTCATTATTAAATCTTTGTCTTCTGTTTCATTAATTTCTTCCTTTGTCTCTACTGTTTCCTTTCTTTAATTATCTTTGAGTTTATTTTGTTGTTCTTTTTAACTTCCTAAATTGGCTGTTTAAATCGTTAAATTTCAAATTTGCTTTTAAAAATATGAGCCATTATGGCTATATATTTCCTTTTGAGTAGCGTTTTAGTGGCATCCTATAAGCTTTGATGTGCAGTATTTTCATTGTCGTTTACTTTAAAATGTTTTCTAATATCCATAATTACTTTTTCTTCATCCCATGATCTATTAAAAAATGTTTACAACTATGTAAGAGTTTTGTTATGATTTAATTTTGTTGTAGTCAGATAATTGTTCTGTATGAAGCATATTCAGTGCCTTGAAATATGCTGATACATACTTCTTAACCTAACACATGGCCAGCTTTTTAAATATTCCATGTGTGCCTGAAAGGAATAGGTACTCTCTAGTTATTAGTGACAGTGTCCTAAGCGCTTTGTGTTTCCCAAATATTAATTACTAATTTTTTACATGCTTAGTCTTTAAATTTTGATAGAGGTATATTATACATTTTCTGCTGTAATGATTATTTGTTAATTTCTCTTTGTAGTTCTGTCAACTTTACATATTTTTGAAGCAGGGTTATTTGGTACATACAAATTTAAAATTTATCTTTCTGGTGAACTGAACTGTTTATCAAAATATGGTGATCATATTTATCTTTAAAGATGGTATATTTGGTTGGGCACAGTGGCTCACGCCTGTAATCCCAGCACTTTGGGAGGCCGAGGTGGGCGGATCTGAGGTCAGGAGATCCAGACCATCCTGGCTAACATGGTGAAACCCCATCTCTACTAAAAATACAAAAAAAAAAAAAAAAGAAAAAATTAGCCAGGCGTGGTGGCGGGTGCCTGCAGTCCTAGCTACTCAGGAGGTTGAGGCAGGAGAATGGCGTGATCTTGGGAGGCGGAGCTTTCAGTGAGCCGAGATCGCGTCACTGCACTCCAGCCTGGGCGGCAGAGTGAGACTCCGTCTCAAAAAAAAAAAAAAAAAAAAAAAAGATGGTATACTTTTTGCTTATAGCTACTCAGATTTCTTTCAGTTAGTATTTGCTGAGTATATCTTTTTTTTCCTTCCTATGCTTTCAAAAATTATGTTCTTTATATTTTAAGTCTCTTGTAAAAACATTTGTTTGGATTTAAAAAACCAAGCCTGACAATCTTTGTATTTTTTTAATTGGCCAATTTATTCCATTTATATTCACTGTAATTACTGATTTATTTTCATTCATTTCTTCCATCTGTTTTTGTGCTTTAAATTTGTCCCATTTTTTTCTAAATTTTCCTCCTCTTTTCTTGTTTTAAGTTGATTTCTTTTTCTCATTCTCTTTCCTCCATACCATATGGAATCTCTACCTTCTGTATTTTAAGTGATTATCCGAGGCATTTTGACATGCATATTTAGCTTTAAAAAGCCCAGTGGCAGGAGCCCCTCTCTCTCTTACTTGCCCCCCATGCCGTGCATAAGCTGGGATGAGACACCAAGCTGGGATTCCCATGCTGTGTAGACTCTAGTACAGATTACCCTTAATGGCAAAAACCGCAATTACTTTTGCACCAACCTACCACTTGCAGAGATTCTAGTAGGTTTAATCTTCTTCAACCCCCTTCACGGTCCCACGGCCCGTCTTTGCCCTGAGCCAGAACACTGGAAGCTATTTTAGCGGATGTTAACGGGGTTCTAGGTGTGTATAACGCGATATCTGCCGAGCAGTAAGTGTTTGTGAGAAACACCTCGTTTTCACATTTCCATCCTCAGTTCCCCTTCTCATGCTAACAGCACCTTGATTCTTCTTCAGAATTCGACCTTCCCCACTTTTTGTCCTTGTAGATTAGGTGGAGTTGACCTATTTCCCTTTGCCCTGGCTTCAGGGTTGGGCACGTGACAGTTGGTTGAGGGATAGACACATGACCCAATCCAATGAAACCAAAGCCTGGAGCTTTTTGTTAGAATAGTAGGAAAGGGACATACTTTTCCCTTGGGTCTGCAAAGATGTTAAGATAGAAGCTTGGACCTGCTGGTGGCTCTATGGGAAGACTCCGGCTGAGGATTACAGCGGCAATCCGAGCGGGAAGCCGAGTTGAAAGTTGGAGAAAGACAAATTCCTGAGGACATTTGAGCCCTTGGGTCCGACCATGCTTGAAGCTACTCTTAGTCTCTTCAGTTCTATGAGTCAGTTACCTATCTCCCAAACCCCATCCTCTTTTAACTGGGTTTCTGCTCCTTGCAGTTAAGAGAGCTCAGACTAATCATATTCCTAAATAAATGTCATTTGAATCTGACTCCCGTGTTTTTACATGGACCGTGTTATAATATGTTCAGCCACCAGGGGACAGGACCCAGTTTCAGAGCTGCTTGGGTAGCTTTGCTCAGCCCCGCTCTGAGCCTCGGTTTCCTCATCTGTGAAATGAGTTAATAATAACGACCTCACAGGGCTAATGTGAGGACAATGGATGATGAATGCCAGTGCCCCTTCCCATTTCCCTCCACTGCTTATCCTACAAGTGATCAGACAGAACCACCATCTGTATGTGTTATCCTGCTATTTCTTGCATCTGTGCTTTTGCACAGATTTTTGTTATTCCCACTGCTTTAAATTCCTGTATTTTCTTCTTTGCTGGTCAATTTATCCTGTTTTTCTTTTCTTTTCTTTTTTTTGAGACAGAGTCTTGCTCTGTCGCCCAGGCTGGAGTGCAGTGGCACGATCTCAGCTCACTGCAACCTTCGCCTCCCGGGTTCAAGCAATTCTCTTCCCTCAGCCTCCTGAGTAGCTGGGATTACAGGTGCATGCCACCATGCCTGGCTAATTTTTTTTATTATTTTTAGTAGAGACGTGGTTTCACCATGTTGGTCAGGCTGGTCTCGAACTGACCTTGTGATCTGTCTGCCTCGGCCTCCCAAGGTGCTGGGATTACAGGCTTGAGCCACTGTGCCAGGCCAATTTCTCCTGTTTCAATATTCTGTTCAGTATCATCTCCTCTGGGCAGCTGTCTCTGAGGTCTCCCAGAATTACTGGTTCCCTCCTGGCTCCTGCAGCCCCTTTGCCGAGGCACTTATGTCCCTGGGTTAGGTGTCAGCTTACTTGTCTGTCTCCTGGACTAAACAGGAGTGTCATAAAGGCAGGCATTGGATCTTTCATCATCTACCTTGTCCAAGTTTATAGTAGGTGTTCATGTGTGTTTTGGATAGTGATTCTCCTGTCTTCTAACTTCCCAAATTCACAGATGGTCAGAGGCAGTCCAGCTTCTCCCCGGCTGTCTCCGGTAGCCGGTACCCACTTTCTGGCTTTATTTCACCATCTACCTTCTCACCGCCAGCCTGTAAGAGCCTTGTGGGCAGGAACCCTTGAGGGAGACAGTGAGGGAGGTTTACCACTTCAACAAATATCTGAGCAGCAACTGCATGCTAGGAGTGAATAGGAGGAGGTGTGAGATTCGGAACCAGGAGTTCCGCGTTCTGTCTGAGCCTTCCTCATCCCCTGCTGCTGGGTCTCACACAACTCCGTCTCTCTCCATTCTTCAGTCCCTCTCCACATCTGTACAACAGGGACAGTCCTGAAGAAGAGGCTGTCAGAGCCATGAGATGAGATGGGAGAAGTGGAATGTTTTGAAATTTCAGGGAATCCTCCTTCTCTTTCTCCTCCTTTGTAAATGCTTTGTCCCTGAGGGTCCCTAAAAGCTGACAGTAGATCACGCCTCTAATCCCAGCACTTTGGGAGGCTGAGGCGGGCGGATCACGAGGTCAGGAGATCAAGACCATTCCGGCTAACACGGTGAAACCCTGTCTCTACTAAACATACAAAAAATTAGCCGGGCGTGGTGGTGGGCGCCTGTAGTCCCAGCTACTCGGGAGGCTGAGGCAGGAGAATGGCGTGAACCCAGGAGGCGGAGCTTGCAGTGAGCCGAGGTCACGCCACTGCACTCCAGCCTGGGCAACAGAGTGAGACTCTGTCTCAAACAAACAAACAAACAAAACAAAAACAACCGACAGCAGAGGGACTGGGTGCTGAGGCTCTGGGCTGATCCTGTACTGAACAACACACAAGAAACCCCAGACTGAGAGCGTCAGTTTCACCTGCATCCTGGGAACTGGCAGGTCTCTCCTTTAAGAGGAAATGGAAGCGGAGGAGGTTGGGGAGGAGAGGGGATGGCTCCTGCCCTTGGGGCCAGCCACAACCCACCTCACAGGGGTCTTTCTCATTGCCTTAGGCTATTGCTAAAATTGGAGGCGACCCTTTTCTCTAGGCCATACTTATTTTTTGGTTGTTTTAAAATACGCCATGGTGGAAATTTCAGGACAGAAAGTCACCTGGAGACCAATCACAGTGTTCTTTTCATTCCCCCTTGTTTTCTGCCACAAACCAACATTACCCAATATGCCCAAATGACCACACTTCAGCCCTCTGCCCATGAAAGGAATTCTTTTCTCACGGCCTTCTCCCCACACTTCAGCCCTCTGCCCATGAAAGGAATTCTTTTCTCACGGCCTTCTCCTGGTTTTCTGGAAGTAAGCACAGAGGGTTTGCCTGGCCCAGGATCTGCTTTGAAAGAGACTGAGGGGCAGTGCGAATGGCAGGGATGTCCCTTCAAGGCAGGGCTCACTTCATCCTGCGCTAACAGGCAGCGTGAGCAGGTTGCTGAGCAGGCCGGGGAGACTCCCAGCAAGGGCTTTGCAAACACTCTGGGTTCGCTTTTGCACCCAATGAGGTGAAATGAACCCCGTGGGACTTACTTGAGATCAACAGTTGTCAGTCACAGGCCTTAACCCCTTTTACATTTTTTCCATGACAAAGGGAAAGTGTGGGTCTGGGAGCTTTAGGCCCATAAAGGGAATTTTGATAAGGGAGCTCCTGGGACACATATCCCTGAACACTCATGAGCTATAGCCTCGGACCTGACCGGGAGGCTGCGAGACGGAGGGGGTTGGCTTTGACTCTAGCAGGATCCCTGGATTTGCTGGTGAATGAATAAGCGACTGGCAAGAAGTAGCATTTACTAAGTGCTCGTGTTCTGGGGCCTGAGCTGGGTGTTTTGCATCTTTTTTTCTGTTTAACTGTCTCAATGGCACGATAAAGCGAGAACAAGTGTGTGCGTTTAACAGACCATGAACGTGAGGCTCCACGCAGGTAAGAGCTGCCCCAGGTCACACAGTAGCAACGCTCAAATCTGAACCCAGGGCTATCCAACTTCAAAGCATGATTCTCTCCCACTGTGACATGCTGCTTCCTGTGGGGCAGACTAAATGGATTAGGCGAAACGGCACAGACGGATAATACGAGGGATACGGAGATGATCTGGGCAGGGCTGCTGGTCTCCAGCAACTTAAGGGTGATAAAATGTTTGGGTTAATTGCTGCAGTGTAAAAACAAAACTGCATGTGTGCATAACGTGAGCCTGTAAGCGAGCGTGTGCAGGTCGGTGTGCCAGTGTATGCACAGGTGTAAACTACACACAGGGGCAGGTCTGCTTGCACGCAAGAGCGTGTGTGCGCTCCAGTGCCTGAGTGTGCATGGGTGTGTTGCCTGTGAGTGTGGGTGGGCATGCACCAGCAAGATTGTATGGCCATTTCTGGCTCTGGAGTTCACAAGAGGCTCCATGGAGCAGGTGGCATTTGAGTTGGGCCTGTTGCCATGAGGGGTGTTTGGGGAGGTGGACAAGGCTCTTCAGGCAGAGAGCAGCCTGAGCTGTGGGATATGCTCTGAGAACAGGGAATGGCCTATCTCAGCTGAAGAGGAAGAAGTATGGGGCTGAAGAGATGAGAAAGGCAGAAAGGGATTCTGTAGTCGGAGTATGAAGGTCTTGATTGAGGAATTTGTATGTGATCTGGCAGGCACCGGGGAGCTACTGAAGGCTGTAGAGCAGGGGAGTGTCAGGAATTGAACAACGACTGGACTAAGTCTGTGACCCGGACAGCTCTTCTTCAAATTCTGTGACTGTGTGGGGTGGTGAATACCCCAGCGGGGGAATGGGGAAGGGAGCTTGCCTCTCTGGCAAGGCATATTCACTCACTGCTGGGAGAGATGAGGCTGCAGGGGGTGGGTCTGGGCAATTTTCATGGGCATCCTCTTTTTTTTTTTTTTTTTTGAGACGGAGTCTCACTCTTTCGCCCAAGCTGGACTGCAGTGGCGCTATCCCGGCTCACTGCAAGCTCCGCCTCTTGGGTTCATGCCATTCTCCTGCCTCAGCCTCCCGAGTAGCTGGGATTACAGGCGCCCACCACCACGCCCGGCTAATTTTTTGTATTTTTAGTAGAGACGGGGTTTCACCGTGTTAGCCAGGATGGTCTCGATCTCCTGACCTCGTGATCCGCCCGCCTCGGCCTGCCAAAGTGCTGGGATTACAGGCGTGAGCCACCGCGCCCGGCCGGGCATCCTCTTTAAAGGTAAAACTTCAGGCGAAATGTGTGACTCAGCACTGTCTTTGAGCATGTAGTGTGTGCTCAGCCTGGGACCCCTCACCCCCACCAGCAGTCATGCCAGCGGGGGACTTAACAGAAGAGGGGACTGGCCTTCCCTGGGGTTGAGCGCCCTGACCGAGGTCACACAGCTGGTGAGCAGGGAGACCGGGATCCTGCCACCTCCGCTAGGTGCAAACCCTGTGCTGAGCCCTAAGAGCTACCACGGGAGGCCACCATCCGCTGAGCTCCTGCTGCACTGCGGCCCGGCTCTAGCATTTTCTATGTCTTAACTCAGTTCCTTCTCACCCCAACCCCATGGGGCGGTGCTGAGATTCTCCCCGTCTTATAGAAGGGGAAGTTAAGGCAAGGAGAGGTTAGAAGAGCCAGCAAGGGGGCCACACGGCCAGTAGGCGGCGCTGAGTGTGTTGCAGCAGGTCCCACGGAAGAAGCAAAGTTGTGGGAGCCCTACTTCCTGCGGAGCCCCTCCCCCACCTCCCTGCCATCCACTTCCTGCTGCTGACCTAGGATTGCTGGCAATAAAACCGCAAGAGTGTGCATGGAGGAGGCCCTTAACATCCACACTGTCACTTAACTTTTACAACCTCCACATGATCGATATGACAGATATTTATCCTGTTCTTCTCTCTAACAGATGTGAGGGAGTCTTGGCCCAAAGAACTTCAGTCACTTGCCCGGGACTCACAGTGAGTTGTGGAGCCTTGAGAAGTCCAGGGTGGCCCCACGGCAAAGTGGGGGGCTCCCTGCCTTATAAGGCACAAGGCGGAGCTCAGAGGGGGCCCAGAGTTGGCCCACACTGCTCCAGAATCGGGGTCACACTCAGGTCTCCCAAGTCCTGGACTGTGTTCACCCTGCCCTGCTGCTCGAACTTTTCAATAACTGCCACTTTGAGATGGGCTGACTTGACGTACCCTCTCCTTAAAACTGTGAAATGTTTTTTTCAAACTGAAGGAAACTCCCAGGCCCCTGCCCACTCATGCCAACGGTGGCTCACACACAGGTGATTCTCAATGTCAGTCACCATCCCTCATTACATCCCAGCCCTGTGAGGCAGGCAAAGTGTCATGCCCATTTCATAGATGGGGAAACTGAGGTTCAAAGAGGCCTGCTGTTTGCCCCTGGGCATTTAGCAGTGCCTGGCAGAGCTGGGAATCACCTGGGCTGTTGAGCGCTGTGTCTTGGGTGTAGCCCCTGAATCGCCGTGCCAGTTTCTTTGGTTTGAGACCTTTACTGGCTCTGTAGCCTCTGACTGGCTCAGGCCTTGGACCTGGGCACCTCTCAGATGGTTCCTCCTCAGCCCCTTCGAAGACTCCTCTCCCCTCTTCCCTGTTCCCTGGCCCATCCTTAAATGCTGGTGGCCCCTTCTCCTTGAGGTCTACACCCTCTGCCTTAGTTTGCTGCCCCCGCAGCACTTCTAGGGCCCTCTTGCTGATGTGGGTTCGAGGAACTAATAACCTTCCGATGTCGCTGGCAGCAGGGAGGCCCCCACAGCCTGTCTAGAAAACAGTGAGGGGAAGTGTAGCACAAGGCTTCATATACCCCTCCCCTTTAGCCAGTAACTGTTTCCAGAAATTCCGTTTCTAGGGAAATAATCTGAAAGAAACAAAGTGTTCCCTGCATGAAGATGTTTATCATAGGGTGAAGAGGAGACAACAGCCAGATGCAACAATAGGGAAGGGTTTTCTCCTACCTACTCCTGCGCGAGCTGGTGACCTCTGGGGCTCACTGGGTGCCGGACACTGTTCTCCAGCCTCTATATTATTCGCTCCTTTAATCCTTGTAACAACTTTTTGAAACAGGTACTAGTAACATCCCCTTTGACAAGTGAAGAAACCGAGGCTTGGCAAGGTTAATCAGCGTGCCCAAGGTCAGCCAGCTCCCTGAAGTCTGACTCTACCAGCCTCAACCGTTACCAGGGCGGCGATGGTCAGCAGTCACAATTACCAGGTAGTTGTTGGGAGAGGGTCAACGTGCTGGGCAGCATGAGATGCCTGTCAGGTGGGGCAGGCTGGGCTGGACTTTGCAATGCAAAGTCCAGAAGACTGCATGGCTCCTGGCCCTGGCTTGTCTGTGTCATCGGCACGGGCCCCGCCACTCAGGCAGCAATGGCAGGTGAGGGCAGAGACAATTTCTGAAGTCCCAAACAGAAACGGTGGAGAGAGTGTCAATGTGCATTAGGTTTGCAAGAGCCCCCGTGAGCCGTTCCCCACCACCCAGGGCGGAGGTGGCACCACCTGAGGAGTGGGGTGGTAGGCTGAGTCAGATGCTAGGCTGGGCCCTGCTTCCTACCCCCAACACTCTCCTGTTGGGTGAAAACCCAGATTGCAGAGGAGCTGGGGTCACTGGAAGGTGAGTTTGGGGGGTCTGAAAGCACAGAGGCTATGCTCCACTTCCCATCCAGAGGCTCAGAACAAGGCTGTCTCAGAGGAAGGGGCCCCTGTAGGGAAACAGAAATAGCAGCTAGGAGGCCTCATGCTGCACCCCAGTTCCTCTTCCCTCTCCTCCACAGGGGCTGCAGGAGATCGTCAAAATCTCGCAGAGCCTACGGTGAGCCTGAGCACATGGCTGAGCCTTGAGGACTGCCTGCTAGGGTGTCCTAGGGGTGGGGGCCCATAGCAGAGGTCAAGGCCTGCAGGGGGATGTAGCTGGCTTTGGATAGGGCCAGGGAGAGCCCAGGAGCCGGCCGACTATGTCCACGCAGGTGCCATGGATAGAGAAGCTGACAAGACAGGTCTGGAGTGGCCCAGAGAATGCCACTGGGGCCAGACAGCCTCCGGGGACTTACACTGGGGGGATGCAGGTGGGGAGGGGAGAGAAGCCTGTGCGGACTGCATGCCGCTTCCAAAGCCACCATGTTTACTACTGGAAGTGGCTGAGCTCCCTGACCTGGAAAATTTAAGTTTTTCCATCATCTGTGAAGTGGTGGCCTATGAGGTCCCGGAGCAGAATAAAACAAAGTATCTTACACCTGGGCACAGCCAGGTGTGTGCGCCAAGCTCCACTCCTGGGGCAAGGGCACTCACTCAATTGGTCCTTCCCCAGCCCTGGGAGGGAGGCCCTGGAATGATCAGCCCCATTTTTCAGATGAAGAAGACACAAGAGTTTGAGAGAGAGGAAGTCACTCGCTCCAGGTCAGCCAGCCAGCAAATTGGGGAGGTCAGCCTTCAGAGCTCTGGCAACAGACCACTGCCATGTCACAAATAGCTTCCCAGCTTGCGAGAGTGTCTGGTAAGGGATGAGTGAATGGGGGAGACGGCAGGAAACTCAGCAGCCACAAAAGGGAGAGATGTGCAGCCTGTTCAGGAACGAACACCAGGTGGAACAAAAGCGGGGCAGAACAAGAGCATGTGCATCCTCTTACCACCATGACATTAAGGCCATGTCTGCACCCGGACCAAGATGGGAAGGGAGCACAGAGCTGTGACTTCAGGGAATAGGAAGGATGGCAACAGACATGGGGTTCTCTATGACTTTCCATTTTATCTTCCATTTTCACAGTAAGTTTTAAAACTCTACGTCTCCAGATTCAGCATGAGAAGGAGAAGTTCCTTGAATCCTCTGGGCACTGGGGACAGCCAGTCCACCCACCCTGGGTAACAAAGGGATGTGGTCAGTCCTCACGTGAGGAGGGACTGAGTGTCCTCCATGGACCTGCGACGTCCCGTCTGTGAGGCCCTCGCTACTTTCTGCAAATTTCTACATGGATCAGAGACAGGAGAAGCAGGCACACTGATGGTTGTCTAGCACCACGTGCCAGTTTTTGGCAGTCGGGACCACCTCGACTTCCTGTCTCCAGGCAGGGTGGGGAGGGAATGGTCCTTATGCCCCAGGAGAGCCTCAAGGGCTGTGCACACCCTGCAATGCAGGCACACCCCCTTCCACCCTCTGAATGCTCTGCCACAAACAGCCACTGCGAGCGTAATGAAGCCCCCAAAACAGGGAGCCCTGTGACTCACCACTGCTGCTTCAGGGACAGGGACAACTGCCAGAATTCTTAGCTCTCTTTTACAGATGGGGAAATTGGGACTCAGAGAGGGATGCGATCTCTCCAAGCTCACACAGCCAATCTGTGGCAGGGGAATGAGAAAGTCTGGTCTGGTCTCCTCTCCCCATGGCTGGGGCTCTCTCTGCAGTCCCGCCCTATGCCCAGCCTGCACCCTCACCTGCCCCTGGCTCCTGGACTGGCAACTCAAGTCGTGACACGGACACGCTTTACCGAATTTGCCTCCACACTTTGAGCGACTCATTAGTATAAAAAACACGTTCCTCACCACCCTTGCCAGAAGATTCTTGACACAACACAGTTGGGGGGTTGGCACGCTCTCTCCGTTGTTAAGTATTTATATATAGTTAGTATTGGAATGGTCCCCGGACACCGATCCAAGTCTCCCGTTTTCAGATGGGGGGCACCAGGCTTAGGGTCAGGACCCCCCTGGAACAATTCAGTAGCACAGCTGAGACATAAATCCACAGAGCCTGCCCTGAACTTTCCAGCTGCTCCTTGGCAAATGGGCCATGGGGAAAAAAAATAAATAAAGGCTGCCACTTACTAAGCATTTGCTCTGTGCCAGGCACTTTGCATAAATCGGTGCTAAATCTTATCCTAATTCTCTCAGGGAGGCATTTTTATCCCCATTTTGCAGATGAGCAAGCTGAGGCTCAGAGAGGGCAAGCCACCTGCCCAAGGTCACAGAGCCAGGGGCTGGAAATGGCACACATTTCTTCCCCCACGCCAGGGTTGGCAAATGATAGCCCATAGGCAAATTGAGCCCACCATCTGTTTTTGTTGAAATGGTTGAAAAATAATAGAATAACATTTCGTGACCCTGTGAAAATGATATGCCGCTCAAATTTTTGTGTTCATAAATATACAGTTTTATGAGAACACAGCCATCTCCATCCATTTATGTACGGGCTGTGGCTGCTTTCACCCTACAAGGGCAGAGTTGCAGCACTGCAACAGGGATTGAATGGGCTGCACAGCCTAAAATATTTACTATCTGGCCCTTTGCAGGAAAAGCTTTCTAACTCCTGCCTTTTGCCGGGCTGTCTCCTGAAGGGTCTCAAAAGTATGCAGCCCCCATACGGTTGTGTAGGCCGTTTTCTGCACAAAAGCATCAGGTGAAGGGGTCAAGGGCCTGCAATCAGCCCTCCATCTGCTTGCCAGGCTGTGCACCCTGGGGCCGGGTCCCCTGGAGGAAGGGCCTTTTCCTCACTTGTTCACCTTTCTGTGCTCCTTTTTTTTTTCTCTTTTTTCTTTTTTTTTTTGAGATGGAGTCTTGCTCTGTCACCTAGGCTGGAGTGCACTGCAACCTCCGCCTCCCAGGTTCAAGTGATTCTCCTGCCTCAGCCTCCTGAGCAGCTGGAATTACAGGCACATGCCACCACGCCCAGCTAATTTTTGTATTTTTAGTAGAGATGGGGTTTCACCATGTTGGCCAGGGTGGTCTCAAACTCCTGACCTTAGGTGGTCCACCTGCTTCAGCCTCCCAAAGCGCCGGTATTACAGGCATGAGCCACCACGCCCAGCCGCTGTGCTCCTTCTTAAGGGTACAAATGTACTAGCAGTGGCCCCAAAGTCATGGTGCCCCTTCCCGCCCCATCACGGTCCCTGGGAAGGCAGCGCCTTCAGACTTGCTCAGAGGGAGTCAGGAGGTGTAGATCAGGGCAAGGGCAGGGCAGGGGAGAGGAAGGAGGGGTTCACAGGTAGAAGCCAGAGCCTCCAGTGGCTTCCAGTCACCATCCCCAGACCCATGCAGGAAGGTTCTCTACCTTTCAATGACTCCTGGGGGGCCACGATTTATTCTCCTTGACTTTTGAGGCTGTAAAGGGCTTCCCACCTCCTCTCTGCTCTCCTTCCCCTGACTTCCTCTCCAGGAGTGGGAGGGGCTCTCACTCCCCAAACTCTCTGAAGAGACAAAGAGGAAGAGGATTAACTGTGAGCTTGCGCCGTTGCTCCGCGTGGCCGCGTGGCCGCTGTGCAGAAGTGCAGGCCCTGAGAAGCTGGGCGGGCAGGGATTTGGGCTCCGGCGGCCCACGATGCAGCCTCAAGCTCTCCACCCAGGGCCTGCAGAGGCCATGGGCTGCCCTAAAGCCCAAACACGTGGGGAAGGAAAAATGGGCCCTTGGATGGAAGAAAGGGAAGGAAAGAGAAACAGACGGGAGGGAAAAATCACAGCAAAAAGGATGGAAGAAAGGGACGAAGGAAGAAAAGACGGAAAATAAAGATAGCACCGTGGCAATGTTATGCTAAGTGAGGGGAGCCAGGCACAGAAGAGCACCTGTTCCATGAAATGTCACACAGGCAGATCCAGAGAGGCCGAAAGCAGATGCGTGGCCACCTCGGTGTGAAGGTGCAGGGAATAGAACGCAGGGAGTGTGGGGGTCAGCTCAGAGGTGCAGGGTTTCTTTTGGGGGGCGATGAAATGCTCTAAAACGGATTGTGATTGTGGATGCACAACTCCATGAATATACTAGAAACCACCCAACTGTCCACTTTAAACGGGTGAATCCTATAATATGTCAAATGTAGCTTGATAAAACTGTTATAATAAAATGGAAAGAAAGAAAAAGGCAGGCAGGCAGGCAGGCAGACAGACAGGAACAAGAAAAAGAGATAGATGGTGAGGAATGAAAATTCTCGTTTGCTGAAGTACCTGTCACATGCCAGGAATGATGCTAAATGTCTGCGCCCCTTACACCTTTTCTGATTTTCCGTGGAAGCCTGATGATTATCAGCATTTTACAGTAAGGAAGCTGCAGCTCAGACTGGAGAGTGACTTGCCTGAGGTTATCAAACCTGTAAATGGTGTGGCCATGGCTCATACTAGGCAGACCCACCCTCCAACACCCCAGGAGAGCACCCCCAGCAGCTGTGAGATGGGGCAGCAGCTTCACAAGGCAGCCAGCAGGTTCCCGAGTGGCGGGGCCAGCTGGGGCCCCTGACTGTGGGGTGAGCTGCCCTGGGTGTAATGCAAAGTGCACTCATAGAGGCCGGGCAGGAACGCTGAAACCATGTGCTAAAGGGAGCATTTCACTAAGCTGGATGTATAAGTTAACAAGCTGGGGCTCTTGAAGGGGTGAACACATTCTGACCCTTAAGGAAACTGATCTTCTGGGCAACAGCTCTTCTTCAGAAGCGTGTGTATCAGACACATGGTTGCAGCCTCATCTTCTGAGATTGGATTTGGAGCAAAAGACAAAGTCAGCCTTGCTCCTCAAGCTGTGCCCCTGACTTCTGGCCAAACCAGGACACGCCGTGGTGATGCTGTGGATGCAGTCCAGGTTGTTGGGAACTCCGGATTCCCATCCTGACTCAGAAGCTTGCTGTCTGTGCTATTGGGCAGAAGTTGCACCACCTTCCCGCATCTGTGCTGGAGTTGGAGAGGGGTTAGTCTGTTCCCACCCCGAGGTTCTATGATTCAGAGCTGGTACTGGATTCTGCCAGGAAGCCTGCCTCTGATGCCAGTATTTGGAGGGAGACTTATTGTGACATCCAAGCTAAAAAGGGGAAGCAGGAATCTCTGAGTTCTTACGAGGTTTCTGGAACTTCCCTCTTACAGATGTGGTTTCCTAATCTCTACAGTGGGGGTGGGTTCACTTCTCAGGGTTCCTGGGGGCCTATAACAAGACATCCACTCATTCATTTATTCAATCAGCAATATTCCTGGGCCTGTTCTGTGCCAGGCACAGTGCCACGTGTTAGGGTCCAGTAGTGAACAACACAGACAGGGACCTGTCCTATGGAGCTTATGATCTAGGGGGAGCAGACGTTAAACCAATAGGATAAGTAAGTCAAGAGGGGGAAGAAGGGGGCCTGGGCTGAGGGGAGCCTGCATGGGGTTAGACACCATGTGGGCTGAGGGGGGCCAGAGGGGCAGGAGAGGAGGTCGTGGCAGGGCAGGGCCTTGGAGACAGGGATAAGAATTTGGTGTTTTACTCTAAGCAATAGGAGAAGTGGAGTATAATCCAATTTATGCCTGAAAACCTCTCAGACGGAAGGAGAGCAAATTCAGAGAGCTAGTCAGGGGCCAGTTGGGATGCTGGGCTGATTGAGGGACAGAAGAAGAGCTGGAAGGAGTGGGGAGGCACCAGCTGTGACTGGAGCCCTCCAGGCATCAGGAGTATTGAAGCCACAGGCAAAGGCCCAGGGACTGTGCAGGCATGAGGAAGGGCCACGCCCGGAGACTGGGATAGCCCAGGTGCTAATGAATATTATCTCCTGCCTTGGGAGATTACCATGAACAAGAGAATGGGTGGGGAAAGGGCTCAAAGAGACCTCGGCAGGGGTCCAGAAACACAGGGTTCTCCTCCCAGCCTCTCCTGAGCTTGCTTCACACCTCAGACGGGTCACTTGCCTCCCTGTGCCTCATTTTCCCTATCTGGTATCTGTAGGGCTAGCACTGGGGTGATAGTCAAAAACAGGACCAAGTTCAAATCCAGACAGCATTTCGTCCTAGAGTCTAGGCTTTGGGATCAGAGAGACTCGGGCTCAAATCCTAGCTCTGCCACTCATTAAGGCTGGCGGCCCAGGCCAGCTCCTCTGTTTCTGGGAGTCCCCTGCTGGCGGGGGCCACGCCGTGACAACGCCTGCTGTAGAGTAACATTCCTATGAGAAGAGGGCCTCAGCCTTTCTCACTGCTCTACTGCAAACAGTGCTGGCAGGTGGCAAGTCCTTGGTAAATGCTTCTCACTGAGCTCTGGGTGGTTTATTCTGGCTGGGGCAGAGGATGGTGGCTGGGCCTGGGGAGGTGGCAGGAAAGGCAGCAGGACAGGGGGCAGGGACCAAATCAGGACGGGCCAGAGGGTTGGGACTTGTGGGAGGCTGAATAATGGCCCCCAAATGTGTCCACATCCTAATCCCTTGAGAACGTTACCTTACGCGGCAAAAGGGACTTTGCAGTTTCGATGACATTATGGAATTTGAGCTGAGGCTCGAGAGTAGCATGGGTTACCCAGGCGGGCCTCCGTGCAATTGCGAGTGTCTTTCTAACAAGGAGGTAGAGGGAGAGAGCTGACTACAGCAGAGCAGAAGGTGACGTGACCTTGGAAGCAAAAGGCTGGAGTGATGTGAGAGGGGCCCTGAGCCAAGGCATGCAGGCTGCCTACAAGTGGGGAAAGGTAAAGGAAAGGGAGGCTCTCTGGAAGCCTTCAGAAGGAACCAGCCCTGCTAACACCTTGATCTCAGACATCTGGCCTCCTGAACTGCAACGGAATAACGTGTGTTGTGTTTGGCCACTAGGCTGGTGGGGATGTGTTATGGCAGCCACAGGAAATGGACACAGGGCTACCTATGTGCAGGCGGCCGTGGGAGGCAGAGGAGGGTCCTGAGCAGGGGCACTACACTGAGATTCATAATTTAGGGAGCTCACTGTGAGTGATGGAGCAGACAGGGAGCGGCTGGGAGCAGGGGTATCTGAGAGGAGGCAGGGGAGAGGTGATGAGGGGTGGACAGTAGGGGTCAGGAAGGGGCGGATGGTGTCTGCCCATAAGGCAGCCAGCAGGTTCTCGAATGGTGGGACCAGCCGGGGCCCCTGACTGTGGGGTGAGCTGCCCTGAGTGTGCTGCAAAGAGCACTCATAGAGGCTGGGCAGGAACATTGTGGGGTGGCTGCTGGTTGGCCACAGGGAAGGGAGGACCAGCCAGCTTGGCCACTCTATCTTCTGGAGTCACCCCTTGGCCGACGGTGCCCCCACCCCACCCAGGGCAGGCTGGCTCCGTTCCCTTCGGAATTCTTGGCTCAGGCAGACAGCCCAATCTTGGCAGTGATAACGGCTCTGGGTCAGTGCGGGTTTGTCCCCAGACGGAGAGCTGGAGGACATGCTATCAGCCAGCAGGGAAACTGGCAGCCGAGCTTATCGAGGGACACACGAGGCCCTGATCGCCCTGGCAGTCTTGGTGGGAATATCAACCTCTGGCTGTTCTTGGCTCCCTCCGCCCTCCATGCCCTCAACCACAGTGTGGGGCCCTCTGACTGGCTCCCCCACCCTTCTCTGCCAAAGCCCTCTGCCCCTGCTCCTGGGGGCTGGAGGACAGACCATAGCCGTGATCTCCAGGAGCATGGGCTCTGGACTCGGATCTGGCCCTGCCTCCACGGCTGCATGCATGACCCTGGGAGGCACCACCTCTCTGCTGGCCCTGGTTTCTTCACAGCCTCCCACCCAGGGTGCCCACGAGGATCAGAGCAGGAGATGGACACTCATACCCTGCAGCATGCCGGGAGCCTGGAGGACAGTCTGCGGCAGGCGCTGCTATTTCTGTTGTTGCTCAGATCGCAACTTTGGGTTGTATCCCTTGGGGCAGTTTACTTGACTTCTGTGTGCCTCAGTTTTCCCACCTATAAAGTGGAGATTAAGCAAGTCCCTGCTTCACAGGGTTGTGTGGAGGATGAAGTGAGGCCCTGAGTCTCAAGGGTCCAGCCCTGCCTTGGATGAAAGGGTCTTTCTCGTTTGCATTTAAAAGCTCAGAGGTCTCCTCTCCGGGATGGGCTCCCGGGCCCATGCGCCAGCCCCATCTGGGCTTCAATCCTTGGCATGTGTGGCTCTGAATCTGACCAGTCAGCTTCTTAACTAGACCATGAGCAATTGCAGGTGGCCGAGGGTGGCACAGGGTGGAAGATGCTCTATCTCACTTTGTGCCCTTAGCACTTGGTGCAGGGGTGGGAGTAGGATGCCCCTGAAGAGCAACTAATGCCTAGAAACAATGTCAGACATCTGAAACGGGCCAGTAGTGGATGCTCAATGAATGTTAGCTATTGTTGTTAAGTGCTTATTGAATGAATAAGTTCCCTTAAGGACTCAACTGAAAAGGCGGCTTATTAACCCAGGGCTCAAACAAGTAACGGCAGCACAAAGTGATATACAAGACTAAACCCAAGAGTGGCAACCACCTTCTAGCTGAACCACATCCCTGTATTTTTTTATACTTTGTGAACTAAGTCAGCTTTGCACTCCAGCTGCCTCCTGAATAAGAGATTGCGCAAGGATATGGTAGGTGGGCGTTTTACCCATCAGGACTGGAAGCGGAAGTTTCCAGGTGTGCACTTGGAGGGTGGATTTGAGGGGCAGGGTCCAGGGCCCGAGGCCACAGTTCAGTGCCGGAGCAACCAGGCTTGCTTCAGATGGACAGTGGTGAAGGAGCAGAGGGCCCAGGATCCAAGTCTATGGAGGGACACTCCACCCCTGGGAATGGGGGTGGCAGCTGCAAGGACCAGAGGGAATATGTAGGGTTCTCACTAGGCAGTTTTGCCTCCACAACTCCAGAACCTGGAGCCCTTGTTGGTGGGTCTGCAATATCCACGCAAGCTTTTCTTGAGTCTGATGCTCAGCGCTCCAGCGTGGACTTATGTCCTATTGGGAGATGGCAGAGCATGTTCATGTCCCTTCGCTCATGTGAGCTTCAGGCAACTCTGGAGGGCAAGTAGGAAGCCCGGTGAGGGAAGACCAACTCTCTATGCGATGAGGAAACTGAGGCCTGAGATGGGGAGGAACTTGCTCAAGATACAAGTTGAGTGACGGCAGAGCTGAGACCAGGGCTGTGCCATTGATTTTCTGTAACTTCATCACCATAAACCCAAAAAATCTCATTTCTACATCCCCAGTATTCATCATAATTCCTGGCATGTGGTGGGAATTGGATGAATGTTTGCAAATGAATGAATGAACAAATGAATGAATGAATGGGTCAGTTCCACAGACCAGCATTCTGGAAGGCAAAGCCATGGTCTGTGGGAAGAGAAAGGAAAGCAACATTTATTGAGCAACTTCTATGTGCCAGGTATCCTCTGAGCATTCTTTCATTTGCTCTTTTCAGCAGCTAAAGCCCAGACCAGTAAGCTGTCTCTCCTCACAGCGAGCTTCCTCGGTGCCACTCAGGTCTTTGGTGTGGTTTCCCTTAAGATCCTGCATTGGCTTTGTCACCAGTGAATTTATCCAAATCTCATTCTGATTCTATACATCTTTTCCGCCTGGTGCCCTCTGGGAGGGGAAATCCTGTTGTCCTCCCTTGCATCTCCCGCACTCTGAACATCCCAGAGTCTGCAAGCTTTTAAGATCTATGGCCTCCTTGATTTTGCTTTCCTCTCTTTCCTCTCTCATGAGTCAGTGCCACAACCCCCTCGTCTACAGTCTCATCCTCTGGTCCACATCTTAGGGGTACCCAGAGCCCTCTTTCCAAGGCATAGATCTGCTTAAGTTACCCTTTCCCTTGCTTCTAACTCTTTCACCTTTCCTAAAATCTACAGTATCATGCCCAAACTCAGCCGCCTTCAAGGCCCCACCTTTCTGACTCCACTGGCCTCTTTCCCCACCAACTTACACCCCCCCCACGGTAAGAGCTGATGCATAGCAGGTGCTCAATAAATGCTGAACTGAGCTGAGTTTCTCATTTAACCCCACAACAGGCCCGTCAAGTGGCAGCATTGGTGACATGGTTACTTGAGTGCTATCCTGGAGGGGTTGGTTGAACACTTACGACTCCTCAGTGGCAGTCAGGCTTCAAACATAAGACTTCTAATTGTAAGGACCACGTAGCTGGGAAAAAGGGCTTGCGAGTTCCGAAGTCAGGTGACCGCTCTTCAGGCCCCAGCTGTGCGGCCCTTGCCAAGTCCTCTGAGAATTTTAATGTGCTCCTTTTAAAAGGGAGCTAAGTTCTACCTTTGGGGGCCGTTGGGAGGATTAAGCAAGAGGGTGTTTACAAAGTGCTCATGAAGAGTTCCTAGAACATAAACCAGCACCACCTAAACAGCAGCTCCCTTAATCATTCCCATCAGTAGCATCCCCTCCCATTGCCCCCATCCTGTGCACCAATGGCTAGGGCTATTACCTGTCTGTGGCTCCCTGGGGGGCCGTGACTTCTGTCCCACTCCACACCTGGAGCTTCAGGGGTTTCTCTTCCTGTTGCCTGGGTTCTCGGCTTTGGGTCCTGGACAGCTGAGAGGCGTTGGACCTCAGAGAAGTTTTGTGGGAGTTGCGGTTGGCCAGCCTGCAGCAGAAGAGCTGTTGGTACCCGGTGCGGAAGTCTCTGTTCAGCGCAGCATACAGGATGGGGTTCAGGGCTGAGTTGGCATAGCCCAGCCACAGAACGATGGCTTCTAACACCTCATTGATGGCATCATCCCCTCTCAGCCCACGGTACACAAACGCGGTGAAGTAGGGAAACCAGCAGATGATGAAGGCCCCCATGACGGCGGCCAGTGTCACTGTGGCTTTGTGCTCCCTGATGGTGGCTGCCTTCCAGGAGCTAATGTGATTGATCCTCTTGGCCTGATCCCGGGCGACCTTGAAGATGCGGTAGTAGGTGATGCACATGATCAGTAGCGGGAGGTAGAAGGTGACCAGCCCATCCACCAGCCCGTACACTTCATTGACCTGGACTTTGCACTTAGAGGTGGTATGATTGCCCTTGCTGGTCTCGTTCCTGCTGTTCCACCCCAGGTGGATAGACAGAAAGGACAGGGTAATGGAGATGACCCAAATTAAGACCAGAGAGATGGCGACCCGAACTGGGGTGACCAGCACAGGGTACCGCAGTGGGTCCATGACAGCGCAGTACCGGTCGAGGCTGATCATGAAGAGGTTAAGAATGGAGGCTGTGCAGAGCATCACATCCAGGCTGGTGTAGATATTGCAGAAGACCTTGCCAAAGCTCCACTTGCAGGACAGCTGGTAGATGGCAGAGAAGGGCAGCACCAGGAGGCCGAGGAGCAGGTCAGTGATAGCCAAGGACACGATGAAACAATTGGTCAGGTTGCGGAGCCGGCGGTTCAAGCCCACGGCCAGACAGACGACCACATTGCCAGCAACGGTGATGAGGATGAGGACCGCAAGGACCACGGTGATGGTGATCTTGCATGCGGTAGAGTCCAGGCAAAAGGAAGAGGCTGTGCCATTGGGTGCCATCCTGGGACTCTACGGCTCAGTCCCCTGATCAGGGCCCCTGGTTGCTTCTTCTCTGCTCCCAATGTGACAACTATGCCAACCACTGGACTCCAAGCTCCCAACAGATCCAAAATGTGTCCAGTTTTTTTTTTTTTTTTTTTTTGGCCAGGGGGTGGGGAAGGCTTCAATGACTGACTCTGGGCTGCTTTTCTAGAAATAAATTAAGCAACACCTTCTAAGGTGTTGGGAATGAATATGAATGAAGAAGAGAGAAAAGCAAGGCCTCGAAGCCAGGTTCATGGATCAAACTCCAGTCCTCAGACGGTCCCCTGAAGAGCTAGCTTCCTCCCGGGGCTGGGGTAGGTCTCCGCTTCCCAGGTTTTGCATAGAATCCGAGGCACTGTCTGGCGGTGGCTTTGGTGTCATGCAGGATGGGTCATGTGGAGACGCAGCTGTATCCCTCTCCATAGCTGGTGCCTGCTCCCATCTGCGTGATGGAGTCAAGTACTGGGGATCTCCCTCTCTGGAGTCAGTGGAGGGCAGGAGCTGAAAAGGCAAAGGTTGGATGTTAAGCACCTTGAAACCAGATAGAAAGCATGACCCAATTCAAGATGTGTCCTTCTACTAGATCTCAACCTCTTGGCAAGACCCCAGGAAGTATGGGACCAGTTTGGATACCTCTTTTTGGGAGGGACTTGGGCAATCAGGATACATACTGGGGAGGCAGAAGGGAGGCAGGATGCAAGGGGCTGGACACTGAGACTCGTGAGAAAGAGTTGGAAAGGCTGGAAGTGCTTGTACTGAGAAAAGAAGGATCTAGACACAGACTTTCAGCTCCACAAGAAGAAGGCCTGCATCTGTTTGTTCTCTGCTGGTTCCTGGTGCCTGGCCCCACAGATAGACAGTAAGCATCTGACGAATAAAGGATAAAATGAATGAACGAATAAACAAATGTAATGAATCTACTCCTCTGAAGTGCTGAGAACCATATCTGGTGCTGCTGTTTGGCAAAATGTCATCATACTCTAAGGCGGTGGCCGACAAACTTTTTCAGAAAAGGGTCAGGTAATAAACACGTTCTGCCTCACAGCCTGTGACGGCTCGGCTCTGCCTTTGCAGTGCGAATGCAGCTATGCAGATGACGTGCCGACAGAAGAGCGTGGCTGCACTCCAACAAAACTTCAGTAATGAACACTGAAATGTAAATTTCATATCATTTTCACGTGTCATAAAAATCTCCTTTTTTTGATTTTTTTCCAAAATTTAAAAATGTAAAAACCATTCTTAGCCACGGGCTGTACAAAGCCAGGCAGAGGGCCAGATTTAATCGGCAGTTCGTCACCTGTCATCCACGCCACCCCTGCTCCGAACGCATCTCTAAATCTTACTGGTCTTACTTGGCAGAACACGTGATCCCACATCCAGGTCAGCAGGGACAGAACTCACTCATTCCTTCTAATGGTTGCATAACAGTCTGTGGGGAGGCTCACCATGAATAGGTTTATCCTATCATCCCCACATCACCCTCTCACGGGCATTAGGGTGGTTTCTCCTTCCTCCCTTCCTCCCTTTGCACTATTGAAGTAGTGCAAACACTACGTCAATAAAGTAACTGCATGTGCAATGCCTCTTGATTAAATAAGAGCCCCTGGTCACTAGGTAATCTCCAAGGCTCCCTCCCAGTGGTGGCTGTATATGATTCCAACTGGCGAGAAACAAGCTGAGGCCCTGTTCCACGCCCCAGTCCTTCCCTACCAGCTCCTCCTGGTTTTTCAGAGAGCAGGCAATCTCCTGAGCTCTGAGTGTGTGCAGAAATCGAGTTGATGGCGGAACCCCCTCTCAGAAGCAAGCTAATCTCCATAAAACATAAATTAAGCCTCTCCCAGGCTCTTGCCTGGAGCGGTTTGCAACCTGAATATGAGAAGCATCATTTAATCACAACGATTGTGTTCGTGCAGGGATCAGGGTTCCCGATCACCTTCTGCCACGCTCCCTGGCTCAGCCACCAGTCCTGGCAGCTGAACCTCCGGGTACTATTTTTAGCAGAGCTTTTCATTACATAAATAGCCCAAACAGCATGGGTCTCACCGCCACACTTAATTAACTTTGGAGGGGGTAGCAATAAGGGTATTTTTTTGGAGAATCCCTATTTCTCATCAAAGTTTTTCTGAGTTACCACAACAGCCGGGTATAGGTATTTTGGCATCAGGCTGACATTTGAGTTCATGTTTGGATGAGGGGTCTTCAAATCTGAGTGGACCAGCCTCTCTTATAATTAGAAAATCCTTTCCTTCTCTCCTCTCCCGCCCCTCCTTCCCTTCCTCAGTCCTTTTCAACACATATTTCTTTGAAAACCCACAATGTGTCAGATGCTACTCCAGGTGCTGGGGGGACAATGATGACCAAAACAGCTGTGAGTCCTTTCTTCGTAGAGTTTTCAAAGAAGCACCACTTCTGCTGTATTCCTATTTAAAGCCCAGCTCCCGTAAGTTCTGGTCACCTTTTTCGAGGGCAGGGGATTTTGTACGGCGCTCTCTCTCCCTCCCATCCTCTCCTGTCCCATGTGGGCAGAAGGATTGCCCTAGAGGGCCACGTCATCCCCTTATGGAGCAACCTTCAATGGGTTCTCTTTGCCTGTGAGGAAGAATCATGTCACCCTTGTCACCGTCATTGTCACCATCATAGCTAACAAAAAATAGTCTCTCAAACTGTCCTTTCAAACTTCCAAAGTGATGACAGGCTTATTCCAGTAAGCCAAATATCCCTGAGGTGTACAGAAAGGGCCAAAAATCAGAGCCACCACACACCTGAGCCCCTCCACCAGGAAGTGACTGCTGCTGACTGTTTGGTATGTGGGGGCCTCCTGGGTTTCTCATGCCTCTGCATGCACAATGGGCACACACTGGGCACTGCCCGCACACAGCATACATGCTACTCAGCAACTGCCTCTCCTTCACTTCTTGTAAAATTCCCAATATGTACTGGATGGCCCTCTAGGTCACTTAGATCGAAGCCATTCTTTCGGGAGCCCAGCCCGTGGCAATGCACCTGCTCTCATGAGGATATGTGCACAAGGATGTCCGTTGGCAGACGTGCAATGGCAAGAATGGAAAACAACCTAAGCTGCCAACTGCAGGGGGAAGAAGGTTTAATGAACCACGGCACAACTGTCCTGCTGGATCCTCCTGGGCAAAGCGATACCATGCATAGTAAACAAAATATCACTGAATCCTCACGACCCCACGAGTGAGGAAAATCATGTCTCCATTTAACGGTTGAGGAGACTGAGGCTCAAAGAGGCCAGGTGATGTCACACCCCTAGAAAGTGGCAGAACCTGGATTCAAATTCAGCTCAAACTCCTTTGGCCTGTACTTAATACCCGTTCTTTGATCAGACTTCAACCTGTCTTTCCAACAGGGTCTCATCCAGCACTCCAGCATCTGCCTGTTAATTTCACAGACACTCAGGCAACCGAGCATGTCCCCAGATGCAGCACACCTTCTCCCTCCTTCCTCTGCCTTTGCATCCCCTATGCCTGGTGTGTCACTCTTTCTTGTATTCACTTCAACCACTCTCCTTTCAAGGCCAGCTCAGGTAACTGTCTCCTTGAGTCCTCCTAGATGCCTAAAAGCAGGAGTAATCTCTCTGCACTTTGTACCGAGTTAGATTGTACAGCACCTGCTGCCTTGGAGTGTTGATCTGGCTCTGCGGCATTTAATTCTGAAAAGTGCCAGGCCCATTCTGATTCTGTGCCTTTGCACATGCTGTTTTCACTGCCTGGAAGGTCTTTCCTTACCTAGAGAGCTCTTACTCTTTTTTCAAACCCTGGCCTCCTCTGTCACCTCCTCCAGGAAGTCTTCCAGAGGTAGGTTCTCCATCCTCTCTCACTTCTACCTCCCTTGTACTCACCTCAGGCAGAGGCTTGTGCTTTCTGAGGTGGACAGAAAGGGGGTGTTTTTTTAATCCCATTGGGCAGAGTTTTGAGTTTTCAAGGCCCTGGGAGCACTCTCTTCTCAGTGGAGTCCTTGGTGATTCACCATGAGAATGTGTCTCCCCGGGAACTGAATTGTGGTGAGACACAAAATACCACTTTTCTCTTCTATCCTTCCATCTGGTGGTGAAGAAGATGAGGGCTTGGAGGGTGAAGATTTCCACAGAAAGAGGTAGAACTTGGCAGACAGCCCCAGGTCTGCCTGATGCCACAGCCTCCCTCTCACTGCCCCCAACTCATGAAACCCCAGAAGAAATGCCACTGGTATGCATGCAGTTAGAAAACCAGAGGGGCGAGACCATCTAGAAAAGCAACCAAGCTGGTGACTGGGATGTGCTCCCCCTCCACGTTTATGAAATCAAGTCCAATACTTTCTTTTCCCTCTTCAGCGGGAAGTGAGACACCTTTTGCTGTTTAAGTACTTAAACCCCAGACACAGCCCTGTGGGAGCCTGGCAATTGCACACAAGCGGCCAACAATTTGGGGGAATCAGTTAAGGCTTGATTGGGCTTCTCACTCGGCCTGAAAGATAAATCTGATTTTCCAGGCAATAATGTACAACAGGAAAAGAAAATCCTGCATCCACGCAGCGACCGCTGTGCCCGACGCCCCTTCTGGGCGAGCGTCACGGCAACCCTGTGAAGTAGGTGGTTTGATCCTTACTCTACAGAACGGACACTGTGAGGAGTCAAGGGGAGCCGCCGGGCTGAAAGCAAGGACTTGGACATTGGACAGATCTGGGTTCTAATTCCAGCGCTGTTGCTGAAATAGCTTTGTGACCTTGGGCACGTGACTTCCAACTCTCTGAGCCTCAGTTTTCTCATGTGTAAAATGGTGATGCTACTACCTTCTCTTTCACTAGACGGCTGTGAAATGAAGGCAGTAAAGGGACGGAAAAGCCTTAGTGCCCGGCACGTGGTAGGTTCTTACCAATAACACTTTTGTCATTGGCTAAAGCTGCATGGTCAGCAAATAGCATTCATGTGCATGACACATACCGAGCAGCTTCCGGGTGAAGACACTGTGCTGGGGACTGGGCTACAGCAGTGGGCACAGCAGACACATCTGGAGCCCCCATCACAGGGGTGGGAGGAGACAACATCCGGGACCTACTGTGGAGCTGCTTATTTATGGCAGCCGTGCTAAGAGTTATATAAAGGGAAATAGCACCGCCAGAATGTATCACGGTGTAGGTACGAAAGGCTTCCCCAAGGAAGCGATATTCGAGTTGAGATCGGTACAGATGGGAACAAGGTAACTGGGTGAACATGGGACCAGCTGATTCCAGAGAGAACAGCCACGGTGAACGTTTGGAGGAGAAAGATGGTGGGTTGTAGCCCAAGAACCCTGAGACGCCTCCGGCAGGTGGAGGGGAAGTTCGAGCAGAGGGTGATGTGATTGGAAGGCGGGAAAAGTGGCGCAGGGTCCCTGACCTCCTGCTGCAGATCAGGATTCGAGGGTGTGGCAGCTGGGGGTGGGCCGGAGCAGGTGGCTGCCCGGCACCGCCCAGTTCCTCATTCTCATGAGCTATTCGTTCTCAGAACTTTTCCCCTGTCATCGACCACTTCAAATGTTCCAGGTGCCTCCTGAGGGTATCAGGAAGTGGCCCCAGCATCAGCACCCAAGGAGCAGCCCAAAATGGGCTGGGAGGGGTTATTTTGGGGTTGCAAGGAAGCAGGGAGTTATTTTAGTGTTGCAAGGAAGACAAGCCTCTCCAAGCCCAGAGTGGCTGCCCCGATACGAGCTGCGGACCAACGTGGCTTCAGCCCAGACAGTCAGAGCTGAAATGATCCCTGGCCTTCCCAGGGAGCCCTTTCTTCCCACTTAACATGGCAGAACAGCTTCATTTAAGAAATGCTGACCGATACATCGAAAAGATACCTGAGCTCATGTTTTTCACAGCACTATTCACAGTAGCTAAGATATGGAATCAACCTACATGTCCATCAGTGAATGACTGCATAAAGAAAAAGTAACAGGGCGCAGTGATTCACACCTGCAGTCCCAGCATTTTGGGAGGCTGAGGTGGGAGAATTGGCCAGGAATTTGAGACCAGCCTGGGCAACGTAGTGAGACCCTATATCTACAAAAAGTTTAAAAATTAGCTGGGCATAGTTGTGCACGCCTGTAGGGCAGGCTACTCGGGAGGCCGAGGTGGGAAGATCGCTTGAGCCCAGGGGTTCAAGGCTGCAGTGAACTGAGATCATGCCACTGCACTCCAGCCTGGGCAACTGAGTGAGAACCTGCCTCAAAAAAGAAAGAGAGAAAGAAAAGAAAAGGAAAAAAGAAACAGAAACAGTGGTATACAGACACACACAAAATGGAATACCATTCAGCCATAAAAAAGAATGAAATCTTGTCTTTTGCAATATTTGACTTTCTGTGTCTGCCTTGTTTTAGTTAAAATAATATCCTCCAGTGCAACTGGAGTCAAATATTGCACGTTCTCACTCAGCAGTGGATGGTAAAAAATGTGTACACATGGACTTAGCACACAGAATGCCAGGCAATGGAGACTCTGAAGGGTGAGGAGGTGGGTGATAAGAAATTACTTAATAAGTACGATATACATTATTTGGGTGATAGATATGATAAGCCTTGACCACTATGCAATCTATGTACGTTACATAATTGCACTTGTACTCTATAAATTTATACAAATTTTAAAAAACCTGGAAAAAACTGCTGACGGCCCATTATGTGCTAGGAGTTTGGGCTCCTTCTTGCCTTTGCCCAGGAGCCGGAGACGAGCCCTGGGGCAGGGGCTGGGGATACACAGGAACAGGGTGTGGTGGTCCCAATCCTCTAGAAGTTCAGACACAGGAAGAGATGGCTAATAAGAGCTGTGGGTGGAGGCCACACAGGTGTGGGAACTGGGACACTGGAGCTTTGGCTCTGAGGGCGGTAGCAAGCAACAGCTCTGTGTGTGTGCACGTGCGGGCGTGGATGTGCGCATACCAGAGTGTGTACTCCGGCACACACATACCTATTTGTGGAAGGAAGCATTTTCTTGGGTCTGGAAAACCCCGTTAATGTTAAAATCACTCAGACTACTGACCCAGCAGTTGCACTTCTAGGAGTCTGTCCTGTGATTCCCCAAAGCACTGCTTGTGTAGGCAAAGTCTGGGAAGTGTAAACGTGCACGTGACAGAACGTGGTGAAGCCGTCCAAAAGACTTAGATTGTCTGGGCTGATGGGGGGGCCTCCAAAAGTGTGCCGATGCTGAGTGTGATATGCACAAGGGAGAACACACGTGTGCGTACCCACGCATCTACACATGTTAACACTGGTCAAGGAGTGGCTCAGGAGGGCGGCAGTGAGAGGGTAGGGATGGCTGCCTCCAGGGAGGAAATGGGAGCTGGGACAGGATGGGAGAAAGGCTTCTTTTTCACCATGTGTCTCTTGGGACCTTTTCAATCTTTCCACCTTGTGTATGTATCACCTACTCAAAACCTAATAGATGTAGAGTTTGACAGGTGGAGAATGGAAGGAGAAGGGTATGCTGAGCAGAGGGAACAACACACAAAGGAATGGAAGCTGGAGGACTAGCTCATGCTTAGGAGTGAGACAGGGCCATATGGCTGAGATGGGCTCCAGGCTAGGGTTGGGTGAGGGTTGATGCTTGGTCCACTCAGTCCAGATGCCCCTTTATAAAAAGTCCTCTACCTCCAAGCTCATAGCCCTCAGGGCCCATCCTCTCCTCTCAATCATTGCACAGGTTTTGCAGTCCAACTGTCCTGGTCTTTGAGCATGCCACGGCCTTCCAATTCCCCTCCTGTTGTTAGGATAAAAATGGCAATGCCTGCTATGCCCTGTGTGATTGGCCCCCGCCAACCTCTTCAGCTAGTTCTCAACAGGAAAATGTAGCTGGGGATGGAGTGCTTGGGAGTTTGGACTTAGTTCTGAAGATAATAAGGAGTCATTGAAGGTTCAATCATCAGCCGTAAGATCACCCAGGGAACTGGTAGCAGATATGGGACCCCATATCTCTTGATTTCAACCCATGAGAATGATACTACTACAAATTGGCATATAAAGAATGCTTACTTCATGACAGGCCTGCCATTATCTCATTTAATCTTTACCACAACAATGTGAGGCAAGAGATTTTTCTTTTCCCCATTTTACAAACACAGACGCTGAGGCTTAGCAAAATTAAGGAAATTGTCCAAAGTTTCAAAAACAGTAAGTGGCAAAGTCAGGATTTGAACCGAGGTCTGTCAGCCTCCAGAGTCCCTGTTCTCGGCCTCCACATATTTGGCTTTGCAGGTGGAGAAAGGACTTTGGGCTTTTAAAAGAGATGGCATGATTGCAGTTGTATCAACAGCACAAGACACTTCCGCCCTTGTGATAACATACAAACATCTTGCATCTTTGTGGTTGCAGGTGTCTAACTCCTTCCTGGCAGGACATTTGGTCAAAGCCCATAGGCAGGAAAAGACTTCTGGCTGTGGCTGTTCCTTGGAGAGAAAGCCCCCAGCTTCCCAGGAGCTTGAGTCCTGCCCCTTTATTTCTTCTCAGTCAGGAGGGGTGCAAAGGCATGACTTGTTCTTGCTTCTGTCTTCAAGCATGTCTTGTCCCAAGCTCTGCAGCCCCCAGCGGGACCCCTCTGCACAGGCTGAAAAGTGAATGGATCTGAATGTTGTCTGGAATTTGGAATTGGGGGCAGGTTCTGTAACTGGTGTTGTTGGCACAGACTGGGAAGAGTCTCACTACCCCCGAGACGTGTGTCCTCCAGCTCAGCGCTAGATGGTGGGGTCAGAGTGGACACTTTATGATGATGAGTGTCATCCCCTAGGCATCATAGTGAGGGAGAGGGGGACCTGGACTTGAAGCAAGGACCCTGGCCACTTCCATTTCCCGAGCACCTACCACGTGCCGGGCACCTGACAGATGATAATAATAGTATCTGCATAGCGAGATTGTCATGTTCCCATTTGATAGATGGTGAAACTGAGGTTTGGAAAGCTCACTTGTCTGGGGCCACACAGCCAGTAAAGAGGCAGGCAGGGCTTTGAACGTCCATATCCCCAGACCCCCCCTGCCGCAGAAGGCATGAAACCAGCCTCGGCACTGATTTGTGTGACCAGTTCTTGTGTGATGTTTCCTTATCAGTGAGAGACTCACACCATTTGCTTGGCCTCTGCCAACAGCGGATGTGGGAACCTGAAGCTGCCATCTGATGACAAAATTCCTTAGTTTTTGTTTGTATGGGAAAAGCTTTATTTATCTTTCACATTGAAAAAGAAAATTGAGGTGGCTGGGTGTGGTGGCTCACGTCTGTAATCCTAGCACTTTAGGAGGCAGAGGCGGGTGGATCACCTGAGGTCAGGAGTTCGAGACCAGCCTGGCCAACATGGCAAAACTCTGTCTGTACTAAAAATATAAAAATTAGCAGGGCGTGGTGGCGGGCATCTGTAATCCAAGCTACTCGGGACGCTGAGGCAAGAGAATGGCTTAAACCCAGGGGGGCGGAGGTTGCATTGAGCGGAGATTGCGCCACTGCACTCCAGCCTGGGTGATACAGCGAGACTCCGTCAAAAAAAAAAAAAACAAAAAAAAAAAACTGAGGTGAAATTCACATAACATACAATGCACCGTGTTACAGTGTACAGTGTTGGGGAGCATTCAGTACCTTCACCATGTTGTGCAACCACCACCTCTCTCTGGTTCCAAAACATTTTCATCACCCCAGAAGCAGTCCTTGTTCCCATTGTCAGTCGCTCCTGCTTCCTCCCTTTCCCTAGCCCCTGGCAGCCGCCGACCTGCTTTCTGTCTCTGTAGACTTGTCTTTTCTGCATATTGTGGGCACAAAGTGGATATAAATCATGAAGTGAGGGGCTAGAAAAGGACCCCTGATTCTTTTTTCTAACCTGCTCCTCCCCAGCCTCCAAACACCTGGTTGCTCAGGCTAAACACTTAGGCATTCTTCTTGATTCCCATCTTTCCTTCATCTCTGACATCCAACCCATCAGCAAACCCTGTCTGCCTGTGAAACGCGCACATGCATACACACACGCACACACACACATCTACTCTCCTTTGCAGCTGCCCCCGTCCTAGTCCTAGTTCGAGCCATCACCCTCTCTTGCCTGAAGTTTTGAGACAGGTCCTGACCAGCCTCCCTGCTGCTGGCGCTTGAATCACTAGCACCTGCCTGCTTCTACCTCACCAGTTTTGTCCTGTTACACGCTCTTACCACTGGCTCAGAAGGCCCCTTATGATCGGCATCCCCTGCAACCTGCTCCATCTCCTCTTTTACCACCCGAGGCCTCAGTGGGTGCACACTGGCCCCCCTAACCTTGCTCTTATTCCTCGGATACTACACACCTGCTCCTCCCCAGAGCTTGGTCTGTGACCTGCTGATGACCTGGACATTCCCGTCTCAGTACACACATCAGCTCTGCCGAGGGGCCTCCTGGACCCCTCCAAGGCAGCTCAATTCACCCTCTTTAACATCCCCCACCCCACATGGCCCTCCTAGCATTTCGTGTGTTTCTCTATTGGTTCACTATTTGTGTCTCCCCACTGGAATGAGAGCTTGGCGAGGGTCAGGATCCAGGGTCCAGGATCCACTCCACCTTGCTCCCCAACAGGCACATAATGGGGGATCTGTTAACACTCAGTTGGCTAAACGCACTTGAAAATAACCATCGTAACAATATCATATCCCATTTATTGGGTACTTTGAAAGTGTCAGGTAATCTTTGAAATATTTTACGTACATTATCCCATTTAATCTCTTCAACAACCCTATTATGTGGGTACCACTATTCATCTCTATCTTATAGATAAGAAAATTAAGGTTTATGATGTTTTGTGACTTGGCCAAAGTCCTCCATCCGCAGTGGGCTGGCGAGCGTGGCAGAGGCCTGGGGAGGGAGTTTTCAGGGCAGGGGTGAGATGGGATGGCTGAAGAGTCTGCCTTGGTTCTTGGGGAGGTGAGATGTGGATCGCCAATGTTTTCAGAGAAGCCCACATCCCTGCCACCCAGGGGCAAAACTGCTCAGGGGCAGGAGCTGGGGTGGGAAGAACACTGGGCTGGGAATCCGGATCCTGAGTTTGTGTCTCTGGTGTGAATCTGACTTGCTGTGTTACCTCAAGCAAGTTTCATATCCTCAGTTTCCTCAGCAGAAAATTGTGGAGATGGGCTTAGAATATTTCAAAGGTCTCTTCCAGCAACTGTGTGTGTGTGTGGAGGGGTGAAGGGAAGGAATCATGAGCCCTCCATAGTAAAATAGGAGAGCTCTGGGTGGAAACAAAACACAGTGCTCCTCATGTTCAGGAACCCCTTCTGTAGCACCCCAGAGAGGCAGTCATCCCGGCTCTCCTTGCCCACCTCCATCGATGCGGGGCTTACTATCTTACAAAGTGTTTGCCAATGAGTCACAGCCATTTAAGGACATTTACAGAGCTCTACACCCTCTTTCTTTTGGAGGTCATACCTCACTGCATAATAAATACATTGCAATTTATGCACTTTCCAAAGAAAATATAATTTGTATATGGCTATTTGACTTAGGCAGCTGACTTTGACCAGCTGGCATAATGTTACATTTGCGGATGTTCAATTGAACATTTAATACTTGCAATTTTGTGGGTTTCTTTTTGTATTTTATACCTGGCACTTTGTATGTATGTATGTGTGTTTGCAAAGTTTTTTGTGTGTCTCTGAAAAGCTCTGAGGTTCAGAGAAGAAGTCCAAATTCCTTTTTCTAGGCTGGCTGTGACCACCATCATCACCATCACCTCCACCATCAGTAGCAGCTGTGGCCACATGAACTGGATACCAGCACTGCCACTGACAACACTGTCTCTTCCTCCCTCTCTATTCTCTCCCCCAGCCTCATTCCTTGGAGGTTTTGCCCTTCTGCCAAGGTACAACTTTCTCTTACAGGCAGAAGTCCTGCAACCAGCTGGGTCACCTTAAAGATATCAGCAGCAAACAGATAACACTTGCCAGGAACATTTATACCCGTTGATTATCTTATGCAACCTCTGCTCTTCTGAGAAAAACCAAGCCCATGCGGTGCCCCACAAACCCTTGGGCAATCCACCTGGCTCCTGGGAACTTTCTAATATGAGTTCCCAACTTCTCTTTTCCTCACTCAGAGGCTTCTGTGCACAGAACTGTCCTCCAGTTCCCCAAAGCACTGCCCCATCCCCACGCAGCACTCTCAACAGACATTAGACGTCTGGTTATACATTCTTGGCATCCTGTACTTCCAACATGGCACTTAGCATACCTTGTTATTAACCCCATGTGCGCCATTCTTTCTTTCTCTGTTGGCCCCTGCCGGGTGAGTATAAGCGCCACAGGGCAGGGCCCATGTCTGTGTGCCCACTACTGCATTCAGATGAGGCTTGTTAAGCATTGTTACAGGCCCAAATCTGGATATGGCCTGGCAAAGCAAATCAAGAACCAGCCCAGGCAGCTGTCTGCCTGGAAGGGATTTTCATCATCCTGATGTGGCCAGTCTTTGGCCAGCAATGAGGGTAGGGATTAGGATTAATCATGTAGACTCTCCAAGGGTCTCTGGTGGGCTCAAGAGTCTTGAGGGTTCTGCCCCAGGCAGGTGGTTGCATTTGCAGCCTGGCTGTGGCGGTGCTCTCAGGCACACTGCTGGTCCGAGGGGAGGCTGTGGGATTTCTGAATCATCTATTAGTAGGACCGAGGACAGGAAATAGCCTAGTGGTCACTGTGAGTGGAAGAGTCCCTGTCCAGCATTTCAGATGGATGGCCAGGCTACCTCTCCTTGATTACCTCCAAAGATGGGGAGGTCATTTCCTTCAAACAACATGTGTCTCCCCTAGTTTCAAAATTTTTGGACAGCAAAGATGGAATCAATGGCCACAGGCTGAATTCAGTCTACTGAGGAGTGCTGTTGGGTTCAAACAATGTTTATCAATTTTTTTTAAGAAGCAACATTTAACAATCAGGAGATTTCATGTAAAAAGTCTAGATTTCCAGTTACTTTAAAAAAAAAATTTTCTTTGAGGCAGGGTCTCACTATGTTGCCCAGGCTGGTCTTGGACTGCTGGGCTCAAGAGATCCTTCTGCTTTGGCTCCCTGAGTAGCTGGGATTACAGGCCTGGCTCCAATTACTCTTGAAAAACAGCCCTGGCCCTCGTTCCCACCTGTCCCCTTTGGATTGGAGCCTGGTGCTAGAAGCCTGACCAGACACAGGCCCACCAGGGAGTGACACCGAGCAGTGATGCCCCCTGCCTGGCCTCAGAAGCATCAGAGTTTGTCACCCCGAGGGGGCTGCTCCTGGGTTAGTAAAATTTGGGCTCCTTGGAAAAGCAGCATCAAGTCACAGAAGTGTCCAGTCTTCCTGTTCTCTTCAGTCCATGAACGGTAAAGGCAGGATTCCTTTAGTGGAGCTCTAGTGCTCTTTGAAAGCATTAAAAGGGACCTTGCTTGGATCCTGATGTGAACATAATCGTGGGACAAAGGCATCTTGAAGCAATCAGGGAAACTTGAATGCGAATCGGGTGTTAGGTTATGTTAAGGAATTGTGTTCCTTCTGTCATTCTGTTAGCTGCAGCAATGGGAGGGTGCCATGTGCTCGTCAGTTAGAAATAAACACAAACACTGAAGCTAGGCACCGTGGCCCACGTCTGTAATCCCAGCACTTCGGGAGGCCGAGGTGGGTGGATCGCTTGAGGTCAGGAGTTTGAAACCAGCCTGGCCAACATAGTGAAACCCCATCTCTACTAAAAATACAAGAACTAGCCGGGTGTGCTGGTGTGTGCCTGTAATGCCAGCTACTCAGGAGGCTGAGGCAGGAGAATCACTTGAACCTGGCAGGCGGAGGTTGCAGTGAGCCGAGATTGCACCACTGCACTCCAGCCTGGGCGACAGAGTGAGGCTCTGTCTCAAAAAAAAAAAAAAAAAGAAAGAAAGAAATTCTTACAAGCACAGTTCCAGGATGCCTTGGATTTTCTTTAAAATATTCACATGAACGAACAAAAAATATTATACGGTGGCAGGGATGAAAGACGATTGGCAAAATGCTGAAAATAGTGAGGCTGGGAAAAGGGGATGTGGGGTTCATCATTCTCTCCTCTCTGTGTCTCTTTGGAACCTCAAAAACAAATGCATTTAACAAAGCAGGGGCCAGGTGCTGTGGCTCAGGCCTGTAATCCCAGCACTTTGGAAGGCCGAGGCAGGAGGATCGCTTGGGCCCAGGAGGTGGAGGCTACACTCAGTCATGACTGTGCCACTGCACTCCAGCCTGAGCTGGAGGAGACCCCATCTCACAAAACAAAACAAAAACCAAAGCAGGGACCTCCTGAGGAACTGCACGATTGATTCTTTGTGGACATTGTCACACTTTGTTCCGTGATTCTGCACTGAGTGAGTCCTGCCCTCAACATCCCTTCCATGCTGGGGAGCTCCCCTCTCCCCTGCTTCTCCCACCCTCTTTCTGGATTTGGACAACTCTGCCATGACCTTGCTGCCCTTCCCTAAGAGTCTTTGAGTGCCTGTCACCCTCGCTCTGCTTCTGGGAGCACGCGATTGTTCCTGGACAGCCTGCAGAATGGCTGGACTCCTCCTCACTGACCAGCCTGGGCCCTTCCTCCTAGCCGGCCCCTCACCGCGACTCTCATCTCAGTCTCCAGGACCTGATGAAGAAAGGCATCCTTCACAGCAGCTGCAGTGAGTTCTAGTTCAGCTCTGCTGCTACCAGTTAGTCAATTTTGGCCAGATGACTTTGCTTTGAGCCTCAATTTCCCTTACTTGTAAAATGGGGCTAATAACCCAGCCTCACAATGGAGTTGACACGTGTATGGGGTCAAGATCAAGACCCTTCTAGAGCCAACTTCCTGAGTAATATTCCCCTGCACCCCCACCCTGCGAGCAACAGCTGGGGGGGTCTCTGCCTCAGAATTCTCAACTGGAGGAAGGAAATCCCTGCAGTCCCCCGCTGTCTGACTGCTGTGCGGAGTCAGTGGGTAAATGTGTGCCAAGCCCCAGCACTCACTACTTTGTTCACACACCGTGAGCATAAATAGCGCACATGTGTGATGCACAAGCCCACACCACAGTGCTTGGCCCACACTGGCACCTGCCTTCCTCCAGCTCCCCAGGTGCCTGTGCCCTGCCCTGGTCCTTCCCCTTCCAGAACCTCATCCCCACACAGTCCCAGCCCTGGAGCACCAAACCATGGCTTTTCAGCACCTGGCCCCTGCTTTGTTAAATGCATTTGTTTTTGAGGTTTCAAAGAGACACAGCAGTAGAGAGGAGAGAATGATGAACCCCACATCCCCTTTTTCCAGCCTATTTTCAGCATTGTGCCAATCGTCTTGCATCCCCGCCACCACTTAATATTTTTTGTTTGTTCATGTGAATATTTTAAAGAAAATCCAAGTAGGTGGCCCACTTTCTAGGGATGCTCACTCTGCCCAATTAGAAATATACAGAACAACTGTAGGTATAACTGTATTCTCGACAATAGGCAATATTGGGAATGACCTATATGTTCAAAACTAGAAGAATGGTTAAATTATGTCACAACAAAATTACTACAGCTGTTACTATCACTTCTTGGAAACTATGAAATAATGAGGGGAAATGCTTATATTTAAGTCAAAAAATAGCAGGATTCAAATTGTAAGGAGACAATGATTATAACTATGAACTCCTAATCTGTTAACTTACAGGGGATGTGGGGGGACAGCCAAAACCAAATGTATGCCTGGTAGGACAGACTGGATGGTATTAGTGGTTTTCTTTGGGTGGTCGTACTGGTTATTTTGTCTTCTTTGCACATTTCTTTGGCTTTTCCTTTTCTTTTTTTGGGGGGTGGGGGGAGGGACGGAGTTTTGCTCTTGTCACCCAGGCTGGAGTGCAATGGTGCAATCTTGGCTCACTGCAACCTTCACCTCCCAGGTTCAAGCGATTCTCCTGGCTTAGCCTCCTGAGTAGCTGCGATTACAGGCACCTGCCACCACGCCCAGCTAATTTTTGTATTTTTAGTAGAGATGAGTTTTCACCACGTTGGCCAGACTGGTCGCGAACTCCTGACCTCAGGTGATCTGCCTGCCTCAGCCTCCCAAAATGCTGGAATTACAGACATGAGCCACCGCACCCAGCCAGCACATTTCTTTATTCAAAGTTTTCTACATTGAGAGTTAAGTCTACAGTGACTAAAAAACAACACGTAAGGTACAAAATAGTATGTATAATATATTCCCCTTTGGGCCAAAAATAAGACTATACATTACATATATATATATATGCCTTTATTTGCAAAAAGAAAACCTGGGAGAATAAACCACAACAAATGAACAAAAGAAACCCCTTCTATTTTTTGAGCAGGGATTGGACAGACGGTGGCCAGGGTGCAGTGAGGCCTTTCATTGTGTACCCTGTAGATTGTACTTTTGAACCACATGAAGGTCTTATCTACTCAAAAAGGGAAAAGAAAAAACAACCATTTAATCAGTCTTTAGAAGAAGGCAGTATGGTCCCAAATGAGCTCTGTGGATATTTGTTAAAGGTGCTACTTCAAAAAAAGGAATCTGGAGGCCGGGCGCAGTGGCTCATGTCTGTAATCCCAGTGCTTTGGGAGGCAAGGCGGGTGGATCGCTTGAGCCCAGGAGTTCAAGCCCAGCCTGGGCAATATGGTGAAACCTTGTCTCTACAAAAAAAATACAAAAACTTAGCAGGGTGTGGTGCTGCATGTATGTAGTCCCAGCTACTTGGGAGGCTGAGGTGAGGAGGATCCCCTGAGCTGGGGAGGTCGAGGCTGCTGTGAGCTGAGATTGCACCACTGCACTCCAGCCTCAGTGACGGAGTGAGACTCTATCTCAAAAACCAAAAAAGGAATCTGCGCCTGAGTTCAAGGGTGAGTCACATCAACTGGGGTCTCTGTTGCAGACTTAACTGAACTCGTCATCCTGTGCTGTGACTGAGAGGGGCTGGGGGTGGCAGGGCTTCCAGAGAGCCCAATGACGCCCCAGATCCCACCTCCACAGAGCCTTCTCTGAGACTGTCGCTTCCAGGAACACAGTCTGGGGACTGCAGGGCAAGAAACTCCCACACTGGCTCAGCCTCTAGGTAGCAGGGCAGAGACAGGGATGAGGCTGGTCCTGGGGTCTCAGATCCCAGGGCCTCAGGGCTCAGGCAGGCAGGTGAAATGTGGCAGGCTGCACCCACAGTGGGGGTGCAGTGCCCAGCTGGATGGGGAGCCACTACACAGCTGTGGCCACTATGGGCTCAGTGCCATCAGAGCTCCACATTCTCCAGAAGCTGGAAATCTGGATGTTCAGTAAAATCTTCTGGGTTTGAAATAAAATGTCCTAACTTTTCAATGAAATCTCATTTAAAACTGTTGGCTCTTTTTTTTTTCCCAAAAATATCTTGTGGTCTCTGCAAAAGTCCTCTGCCAGCTGCCATCTATGATCTTGGCATGTTCCTGGTGTTCTTGGAGAGCCAGGTCGGTTTCCAGGATTTCCTTCTTCCTTTTCTAACCACTCTTGCCCATTTTATAATCGCTTTGAGAGCTTGGCCTCAGTTGACATCACATTCACTGGTCAATTGTTTGGGGGAATCTGCCTTCTGCCTGTTTGACAATCAGACTGACAGGCACCCATCTCTGGCCCTGGGAGTGTGGTAAGGTGTTGAGAACTTTCTAGCTCTAGCAATGGGCTTTCTCAGGGCAGCGAGTGCTCTGTGCCTGGAAGCAACAGTCAGTGGTCTTGTAGCCAGGACCCCTGCTCTGGGTTCTAACAGCCCTCTGATGCCAAGCAGGGATGCCCCTCCTGCCCACTCCAGCCTCAGTTTCCCCTCCCATCTTGCCATTCACACCCTCTGTGCTCCAGGCATCCAGGGCCTCTCACTGTTTCTTTAACTCTCTTTAATTCTCACACTTCTGTGCTTGTGCATATCCAGATCCTGGGTCCGGACCTCCCTCTCCCGCTGCCTCTACTCCCCCTCTCCAGCCACCTGGAAAATGCCATGCTCAAATGCCAGCTCCTGCAGCTCCTGTACCTCCTCGGTCGTAGCAGGAACCCCGGGAGGCTGGCATCAGCTGTTCCTGTGTCATTCATTACTTAGATTCCTTCCTTTCCTTCAACCCATACCCCCTTCAGATGATTCTACCTCTCAGCTTTGAAGCTGTCCCTTCCTCTCCAGCTGCAGAGTACTGGCCTTCATCCCTGCACAAGACGAAGAAAAAGAGCCAGGCCATCCTGATTAAGTTCCTGGCCTCCTGCTCTCTCCTCAGCCCCACCCTCCTCCGCACTGTCTGGAGAAAAGGCATTTTAGAAAATGCAAACCGGATCGCCTCTATCCTCAGCTGAAAATCCTTTTGTGCGGGCCGTGTGCGGTGGCTCACGCCTGTAATCCCAGCACGTTGAGAGGCCACGGCAAGAAGATCTCTTGAGCCCAGGAGTTTGAGACCAGCCTGGGCAACATAGCGAGCCCCTGCCTCTACAAAGAAAAAAATAAAGCAGCATGCATGGTGGTGGGGCTCTCCTGTAGCCTCAGCTACTTGGGAGGCTGAGGTGGGAGGACTGCTTGAGCCCAGCAGGTCGAGGCTGCAGTGAGCCGTGAATTCGCCACTGCACTCCGGTTTGGGTGACAGAAAAAAAAAATCCTGCCGTGGCTCCCACTGCCTACAGGACAAAATCCAAACACCTCAGCTTGATGCTGAAGACTTTTCAAGGTCTGCGCCGCTGATTCCTCTACTGCCTGCCCCCACTGCCCTGGGGTCTCAGGTCAAGCCTAATCATCCTGAATGCCCTGAACACCCCTGGACATTTTGCAGCTCTGTTTCCTTGTGCACGCCCTTTCTACATCTGGAATACCCAGACGCTCTGTGTCTATCTGCTGCATTCCCATGCACCTGTCTGCTTTCCACACTATGCTGGAATCTTATCAGGTGTATCCATTGCTGTATCTTCAGTGCACTGCCCAGGACTGAGCACAAGCAGGGCCCCAGGAAGCATTTGGTGAGTGACTGAATGTGTGAATGAATGGCCCTCATGTTAACAGAGGCTTTGGCTGTTAGATCATTCTCCCAGGAAAAATGGGCAATTCTAGAGCCCAAGGTGGCCAAAGTGTCCAGTCCTTGCTGGAGCTGGAGGTGTTTGCAATCCTCCCTCCTGTTCTTGGAGGTTGGGTGGCAGGTCAAAGCTGCCACACGCTCCTGCAGACTGTCCCCATGGGGCTGGCAATAATCAGCCACACTGCCTGCTCTAGTCCGTGACCAACTTGGCTCCAGCCACACTTCTCTCACAGCAATGGCGCCAGGCCCGCACCCTCCTGGCATTGCTGTCACACGGCATCAGATAGGGGCAGAGCTGGAAAGGCCCTTTGCAATCAGCCAGTCCCACTTCTTCTGGTTTTCAGATGGGGCAGCTGAGGCTCAGAGAGGGGAGGTGGCTTGCCCAGGGTCACACAGTAGTCAAAGGTGTAGTCACACCTGGAGTTCTTCAAGATCTTATCAAACAGGAAAATACGATCAAAGAAAACTTGAAGTGTGCTAGAGGGGGGCTGGAGAAGTGTCCTTGAGACTGGGAGGACAGGGAGGGCCTCTCTGGGGCTGATCCTTGAACTGCTGTGCAAAGGGCAAGCTGGGCAGAGGAACTGGCAACTACAAAGGGCCGGTGGGGAACGAGCTGGCCCTTTTGAGGCTTTGGCTAGAGCCGAGTGAGGAGAAATGCAGACAGTGCACGGGCAGGGCCTGATGGAGGGCGCCTGATAGATTTCTATGGAGTTAGCATTTCAGTCCAAGTAAGGGAGTGACGCATTGAAGTTTAAAAGGTGACTCTGATCTGAATAGACAGTTCTCCAAAGAAGATACACAAATGGCCAACAAGCACACTGAAGGATGCTCAAAGTCATTAGCCCTCAGGGAAATGTAAACCGAAACCACAATGACACGACTTCACACCCACAAGGATGGCTAGAATCCAAAAGACCTAAGAAGCTTTGGAAAGGACTGGGACCTCCGTGCACTGCTGGTGGGAATGTAAGACAGTGCAACCTCTTTGGAAACAGTTTGGCAATTCCTCAAACAGGCGCCAAGTCAAAGCTGCATCACCATGTGATCCAGCCATTCTACTCCGAGGCATATATTCAAGAGAAATGAAAATATATGTCTCCCCAAAAGCCTACATGCAAACGTTCACAGCAACATTATTCATTATAGCCCCAAAGCAGAAACAACCCAAATGCCCATCAACTGATGAATGAAGAAAATGTGGTCTATCCATATAATGGAATATTATTTAGCCATAACAAGGCATGAAGCGCTGATACATGCAACAACATGGATGAACCTTAAAAACATGCTAGGTGTAAGAAATCAGTCACAAAACCTATTGTATGATTCAGTTTTTGTGAAATGTCCAGAATAGGCAAACCTATAGCGAGGGAAAGTAGACCTGTGGTTGCTGAGCCTTGAGTGGGAGTGGGGAGTGGATAGAGGGTGAGTGCTAATGTGGACAGGTTTCTTTTGGGGATAGTGAAAATGGTCTGAAATCACATAGTGGTGATGGCTGCACAACTCTGTGTGAATATCCTAAAAATTATGGACTTGTCATTTGAATTGGTGACTTTTATAGTATATGAATTATGTCTCTATAACGCTCTGCTCTTACGTTAAAAAAGAAGACCACCTTTGTTGCTTGAGGGGTGGGGGCAGAGGGGAAGCAGGGAGGCCAGGTGGCCAATAGAGCAACCTCAGGCTCAAAGGACCAGTGCTTTGAAGGCCCTTGGTAAACACCTGTGGCTACCTGAACCAGCTGATCCCTGGTCAGGAATGCTCTTCTCTTCCAGCCCAGGGTTTCTTAACCTCGGCACTATTGACATTTGGGACAGGATAATTTTTTGTTATGAGGGCTGTCCCGTGTATTGTGGGAAGTTTAGTAGCATCTCTGACGTCTACCCACTAGACGCCAGCACTCCCCCTCCCCAAGTTGTGAAAATCAAAAATAGCTCCAGATGTTGACAAATGTCTTCCAAGGGGCAAAAATGTCTCCAGTTGAGAACCATCTTTCCAACCTCCCTGGCTCACCTGGTGAATTCCTGCTTATCCTTCCTGATCTATTTCAAATATTATCCCCTCTGGGCAGTCTTCACCCTGCATCCTCTGAGGCCCCACAGTTTCCTAAACACCCCCTATCAAAGCCCTGAGGACCCTGCTTACACACCACTCTCGCCACACCCCACTGTCTGTAAGCTCCCTGTAGCAATGGCTTTTATTTATTTATTTATTTATTTATTTTTTGAGACAGAGTCTCACTGTCACCCAGGCTGGAGTGCAGTGGCACAATCTTGGCTCACTGCAACCTCCGCCTCCTGAGTTCAAGAGATTCTCCTGCCTCAGCCTCCCGAGTAGCTGGGACTACAGGCGCCTGCCATCACGCCTGGCTAATTTTTGTGTATTTTTAGTAGAGACAGGGTTTCACCATATTAGCCAGGCTGGTCTCGAACTCCTCACCTTGTGATCCTCCCGCCTCGGCCTCCTAAAGTGCTGGGATTACAGGCGTGAGCCACTGTGTCCAGCCTGAGATGGCATCTTTTATATGCCTAGGTCCCCAGTATCTGGCACAAACCCTTGCACTTTGGAGGTCATTGTGCCATTTCTTCACCTCTATAGTGCAGAGATGCATTGCTTTTTACAGCATCTCTGTGATCCCTGATTAAATGTTGGTTGATTGAATCTGTCAGCCCTTCCTGACCCTGATTAGGAGTGTAGGCCGTGGATTTAGATGGCCAGTGTTCGAATTCTGTTAGATACTGGGCAAGTGGCTGAACGCATGTTACTCTTAGTTTCCAATCTGAAAGTGAGACCCATAGGGTTATCATGGGAACATAGTAAGAATACAACAAACAACAGATATTATTGATATTAATAATTTCGTATTTCTTCTAAGGGGCCTGCCAGGCCTTGACATAGAGGTGCCCCTATTACTGACAAGCCTTCATGTGCCAGCCCCATCCTGGGTGCTGGCAAGGAGGAGACATCCTGTGTGCTGGCAACATCATCCCCATCTTTAAGGAGCCCTGGGGGAGGAGCATACCTGTAAACTGTGGGGTCCTAGAAGATCTGGTTTGAATGGAATCTTGAAGGATGAGTAGGATGGGGTTGCTAAGCAAAGGAGGGCATTGCAGGCAAGAGAAATTCCAAGTGGGAAGTTTGGAGGTGGGCAAGAACATAGTTAATTCAGCCAGCTGGATGTGGATTGTTGTAGGTGGACCAGCAGAGGGTGGGTGGGTGGGGTAGCTGGAGGCGATAAGGCTGGCCAGAGACTAAACCATCATGAGCCATGTATGCCAGTCTAAGGACTTTGGTCTTGATCCATTTGGTAATGAGGAGTCTTGGAATATTTTTGAGCAGGGGAGGAGTAGTCTCAGATCTGTATTACCAAATTGACAATAGGATAAAGGATGTATCAGAATTGGAGGGGACAAGATAAGAGACAAGAAGATGGTGAAAACTTCAATCTGGAAAACACTACTTGAACCCTTTTAGAGGCAATTCAGTCTATATTGTAGGCCTGAGACAGGGCACACTCAGATACGTGGCACCCATTTTACTGAACCGTAAGTTACCTTTTTTTCAATCAGGCACCCTCCTCCCTGCTCTCAGAACTCGAAGCCAGGTAGTCCACTAATTATTAAAGAACATGCTCATTGCATAAAATCTGGAAAGTCAAGAAAAAGTAGTCAGGGAACAAATCTCCCACAACCCCACCATCCATGGGCAAACACTGTTAACCCTCTTTAGCCTATTTCCTTCCAGTCTTTTTTCTAAGCTCTTGCCACATATTTGGGACCCTGCCATCTGTATGCCAATGCAAAACATGTTTCCATTCATTAAAAACTCTCAACTTTTGGTGGTCACATGGGCGTTCCATAATTTTGATTCCCTACTGTTGGACATTTAGGCACTTTCTGACTGTTGATGAATATCTCTGCACGTGAAAGAGGCTTTGTGCATATCTCCATCCTTTCATTTGGATGATCTCCTCTTCTTTAAAACATTTTTTGGCAAAGGAACCTCTCTAGCCTGCTGGGACACCCTTTTCCCCATCATCAGGGATTTCTTCCTCTAGTCTGAATTAAACCCTTGGGATTGGAACTTAATCCTGTTTCCCTTACTTTGGGGTGTTGGCAGAGATGGACCACAGCTGGTCTTGTTTTTCCCACGGACGCATCGCCTGGGAGGGTCAGTAGTTAATCATCAGCCTAGGATGGAGAGTGGAATGTGCCTGTGAGCTCAGGAGAATCGGCCTAGGCTGAGATGAATAAAGACAAGGTTAACCGGGACAAGGTGATGGAGGAAGCAAAGAAATTGGTGGGCTGGGGTGAGTCAGTCTGATATCGGCTTCCTATGTAGTACTGAGTAGTGACCTTCCTTCCTTCCAGACCCTTAGAGAAATCCCTTGGCAAGAGTACCCCAACCCTGCTGCCAGGCTTCAGGCTCACTTTCTCCAGTGCTTTGTAGCAGTCCTTCCTATGACACATGGAACAAGAAGCCAGTGCTGATCGCGCACGTGCCAGGTGCCAGGCCCTGTGCTATGCCGCAACTTATACAGTCATATTTTGGGGCCAGCACGATACAACCAGAAGCACCCTGGAGGCGGGCAGACCTGGTTCCAGTCTCTGAACAGGCACTTCCTACCGGTGTGACCACATGGCAATCATTTACCTCTGGGAACCTCAGTTTCCTCATCTGTAAATTGGAATTTGATGGCACCAGTTTCCCAGGAGTGCTGTGGTGACTGTAACCAACGCCGTACTTGTAATGCACCGAGTACCAGGCCTGCAAGGAGCAGGTTCTCGAGATAAGTTATTTTCTCATGATATTGAATTCTCCTTATATCCTAGCTCAGATATAAGGAGAAAATGCCACCATCCAGACCCAGAGATGTCAAAAAACGTAATCTATCCAATTGCCTTGGATAACCTCCAGGGACAGGAAACTCATTAGTAGGTAGGAATTTATTAACTTCCTTTTATAAATAAGGAAACTGAGGTGCTGAGAGATTATGCCAGGAGTCTTCACAGGACAAAAACTGCCATCTGAGAGACGTCATGTCTTACAGGAGCATCAGCCTCAGGACAGGTGTGCAGTGGAGGCTGAAGCTTCTGGGCCCCCCACATTCCCTAGGCCCTGCCCTGCTTCATGCCCAGCCCGGCCACCACCCAGCTTCACCGATTGACCCTCTCTGGCAAAGGGCACAGAGGGGACCTGAGGCATACAAATGACTTCCCAAGAGGCAACCGCCTCCAGGACTGGGCCTATCTGATCTAGGGCATGACAGCTGCCACTGGGGGACACCACAGCACTTTCCTGCCCCACCTCTTTCGCCTCACAACACCTCATGGACGGGGTGGGGGATTAGCATGGCCCTGTTCATGGAGGAGGAAACTGAGGCTCTCAAGCTCAAGGTCACTGCCCAGATTGGGATTCCTATCAGAGGCCACTTGCTCTGCTCATCCCACAGGCAAATCCACGTCCAGATGTCCCCAGCAAGGACTCCCACCCGCTGAGCGCTGCCTGTTGTGGCTCCGGTCATCGGTCATCCGGCAGCGGGCGGCAGCCCAGCGGGATGAAGGCAGGTCGTTCTGGTTTCCTGAGACATAGAAGCCTCCTCCCCAGCAGCCCCCGCTCTCCGCTGGCTTCCCTTTAGCAGAAAGTTGCTCCATGCTCCGACAGACACATCGCCGCGAGAAAATGCCACCACCCAGACCCGGAGACAAAACGGGGACTGTTTCGGCGCAAGTGCACTTTCCAAATCCACCCTTCGCGGGCAAAGGGGATATAAAGCCGACCCGCGTCCCGAGCACTGCTGTGCACCGGGGCTGCATCCCGAGCTCTCAACGCCCCCTTGGGGAAGGCACGACCCCCGCGGTCACAGACAAGGAAACTGAGGCTCGCAGGCCAGGCGGAGGCACCTGCCCAAGGTCAGGCACAGCCAGGGAGCGGTGGGGCCGAGGCTCGAACCCGGGTTCGGGGCCACGACGGCCGCCGGGGATCCCGAGCAGCCCCTCGGGCGGCTCCGCCAGCCCACGCCGGGTCCCCAAGCCCGCCTGGGACCCCACCCCGAGCCGAGGCCCCGCGGGGAGGCGGCGGCCGCGTTACCTGGTGCTGCTGCCGCGGGTATTGGCTCCGCACCCGGTTCGCCTCGGTCCCGCGCCCGCGCCGGCTGCGCTCCGGGCAGGGATGCAGCGGGCGGCGCGCGCACGGCCTGCGCCCCGCGCCTCGCACCCACTTCCTCGTCTCCGCCCCCAACTCGCTCCTCCTTGCTCTCAACGCTCCTTCCCTTCCTTCCCTCTCCAAGTCTCTCTCTCTCTCTCTCTCTCTCAGCGCGCACACGCCCACATTTTCTCCCCCAGTCTCCCTCTCCCACGGTCTCACCCACTTTCTATTTTCCTTTCTCCTACACCCTCCCTCCTCATCTCGCCGACTCTGACACTTGCCCCTTCCTCTTCCTTTCTGCCACACTGCCCCCTCTTTCTCTCCCTTTTCTCCCTGGCTCCTTCCCTCTCCCCGCCCCGCAGATTGTGAGCCCGCCCTTGACCGGGCAACCGCCACCTGTGCAGATATTGGCTGAGTGGCCACAGCTGGAGGACCTGCCCCGGGTGGGCGCTAGACCCAGGAGGTCAGGTGACATCCCTCACATTGGGCGCCCAGGACCCAGCTAGAGTCAGGCTAGAAGGGGGAAATAGCTAGTTTTGAGGGAAAAGCTTGAATAATTCTGGAATCTGAAATCTAGAAACACAAATGCAGAAATTAATTAGTCCAGGGGTTATTAATCACAAAAAAAAAAAAAAAATCAGGAAACTTCAAAAACCCTACAGTGGCTTTGTTTTGGTTGAAGGAACGGATGAAGAGAGAGAAAAGTAAGGAAGTGGGCTTTGGGAAAAGGGGTTTTGGGGGTAGGGAGAATAACACCCACCTTCCAGATGAGAAAATGGAGGCTCAGATGGGAAAAGCCGTCTCCTAAATATCAAGATATCAAGGCCACTGTGCTAACCACACAGATCTCCGTGGAGGGAGCCTGGGTGGGCAGGATGGTGAGAGATTTTCGCCAGGCCTGGACAGCAGCCCAGTGCAGGGGAGGCAGGCGGTCAGCTGGGCTGCCCCGGTTTGCTTGGGGAGCCTGGTGTGTGGAGGGGGATTTCTGTGGAAGCTTGGCAAAGGATGGTGAAAGCGAGGAGGGTTCAGCTAGCATGCGTTTCAGACACATGCCACTGCTGATTGATGCACCACCTCAAGCCATTCTGTCACCATGGACCAGCCCTGTGCCAGGGGCTGCGATGCAGAGGATGAGGGGCCATGGTCCCCTAGGTCTCAGTTCACACCTTCTGGGGAGGCTATTATTGCACGTGCATCCAAGTCATTGTCATCTTGGAATGACAAGAGCCTCCGAACTGGTCTTCTGGATGCCTCTCTTGCTCACCTGCAATTCACAAAGCAGCTCAGAGAATCTCTGAAAAGTGTAAATTGGATCGTGCCTTTCTACTTCCCTGCTTCCAGACCTCCTGTGACTTCTTGCTGTAGTTCAGGTAAAATCCAAGTTCCTTGTCACTGCTAAGAGGCCCCACCCCACGTGGTTTGCAAGAGCCACCTGTCTGATCTCATCACTCACCACTCTTTACCTCTCTCTCTGCACCTCAACCACAGTGGCTTCCTCCCCGTTCCTGGAATAGGCCAAGCACACCATACCACAGGCCATTTGCACAGGTTGTTTCTTCTGCCAGGAAAGCTCTCCTCTGTTCCCATAGCTGCTTGAGCATCACCTCTCCAGTGAACCCACCCCTAACCAACTTATCTAAAGGAATCACCTTCTTGCCTATAGTGTTTTTCACAGAAGCCCCTTTTATTGTAATTAACACATTTATCACTGTCTAAAATTATTTTGTTTTCATTTTTCCTTTATTTTATTTATTTATTTATTTATTTATTTATTTATTTATTTATTTATTTATTTTTTGAGATGGAGTCTTGCTCTGTCGCCAGGCTGGAGTGCAGCAGTGTGATCTCAGCTCACTGCAACCTCTGCTTCCCAGGTTCAAGCAAATCTCCTGCCTCAGCCTCCCGAGTAGCTGGGACTACAGGCGCCCACCACCACGCCCAGCTAATTTTTGTATTTTTAGTACAGATGGGGTTTCAGCATATTGGCCAGGCTGATCTCAAACTCCTAACCTTGTGATCCACCTGCCTCAGCCTCCCAAAGTGCTGGGATTACAGGTGTGAGCCACCACGCCTGGCCTATTTTGTTTTTCATTTGCTTATATGCTTATTGCCTACTTTATCTCACCAGCATACAACTGAGGAAGGATTGAGACCTTACCTGTATTGTTCCTTGTGTCTTTGCAGAGCCTAGAATGGTACCTGGTACATAGTAGATACTCAATAAATGTTCACTGAATGAGTGAATGAAAAAAATGCTATAACAAAGAGGTTTAGAAAATGAAAAAGTTGATTGAACCTGACAAAGGAAAAACAGGATTATCTTCAAAGAGATTACTTTACAGCCCAATCCTAAAAGGAAAGCAACATTTCACAAGCTAGAGAAGAGGGGAAGGGCTGTGCAGGTTGAGGTCACAGCACAGAGAAAGGAACTGAGGCGTGAGGTTCAGCAGGGCTGCAAGCCAAGGTGTGGGGAGCACAGACAGAGCCAGGAGACAAGGCTGGAGAGGCCAGTGGGAACCTGATCGGGGGAGGCCTGAAGGACTCAGATGACAGTTTGGACTTGATCCTGTTATCAATAGGGGGATTATGGCAGGTCTTTAAGCAGGGGAGGGCTGGAAAGTCTGGGATGTATATCCTGGAGTAGAGAAGGCTCCAGTGACCTTCATCTCTATGAAGGACCTCTGTGCAGAGGGAACAGATGAGAGAGCAGCACTGAGGCTAATGGTAGAAATAGAATGAGATGCATTTCCACTCAGTAAAGAATGTGTTTTTAAAGGAGCTGAAGAGGAAAACGGGCTCCGGGGTGATGGAATCACCATCCATGCATCTTCAGTGACCCTCCCGGAAAGAGGATGATGTGTCTGGGACTTGTGTGGCTACTGATGTGCTGATAGAAATGATGTGTATTTCTTCTGAGGAGAGGCTTTAGGGCCAGCGAGTGCCTGCCACGTTCCTTTCCTGTCTGCCACAAGACTGGAACCATTCAGGCGTTGTGCCAGGGGAGAGGCTGCTCCATCACCTGGGTCCCAGAGTGAAACTGCAGAGGCCCAGCCGGCCGCCAGTGGACATGTGTAAGTGAGAGATACTTACATTACACGTTGTAGGCCATTGCGGTTTCTAGAGTCATCTGATATTGCTGGATAGTCACGGTCCCTTGGTCTGCCTTAGTGAGTCACAAGCTCAGCCAGGCTGGTTCCAATACTCACTAGCTGTGATGGATTTTCAAAGACAAACCTGGCAATTCAGCCCAGGCTTCTTTACAATGGAACAGCACCTCCTATCAAGAGGTGGAGTATATTTCATTGCTCCTTGAACTTTGGACTGGCCTTGAGACTTGCTCTGGCCCATAGAACCCAGTAGAAGTGATGCAGTGTGGCTTCCAAGGTTATGCCTTAAGAGACCTGGCAGCCTTAGCTTTCCCCTTCTCCGAAAAATACCCAAGACCACCATGCTGTGAAGCTATCTAGGATGAAAGGCCGCACGGAGAGAGATGCCCAGCAGTTGCAGCCCTCACAGCAGACCACTAGCTGAATGCAGCCACGTGAATAAGCTCAGGTGGGGCCAGCACAAGAAGCACTGTTTAAAGCTAGTGGAGTGGTTTCAAGTGGTTTAAAGCTAGCTCGAGTGGTTTGTTATGCTGCAGTGAATGACTAGGTAAGTGGCGTTGGGAGAATCAGCACCCATCTTGAAGTCCATTTCCTTGACCATAAAATACGCATAACAGTAACATTAACCTTGTAAAGAGACAATGTCTGTTGTAAAGTGTGTGGATGAGGCTCAGGTTTTTTTAAAGAAAGGATATAAAATTCATTTATTCATTCAACAAACATGTATTGAGTACCTACTGCGTATGTGTCAGGCACTGGGTCTACTCTGGGATGCAGCAATGAGCAAAATAAGCAAGGACCTGCCACGCTAGAGGTAGATGAAATGAGCCCAATAATTCCAGCTACAGATAATTGCTTTGGGGAAAGCCAACAGGGTAATGTCATGGAGGGTGACTGGGCTAGCACTTTGTTTAAGATACTTGGGGAAGGATTTTCTGAGCCTGTGACATTTGCACTGAGCCAGGCATTTGTTGAGAAGGGGGAGCAGCCTCCTTTTGAAGGACCAATAAGTGCAAATGCTCTAGCGTAGGGCAAGCTTGGCCTTGACAAGGAACAGGGACAAAGTCGGTGTGGCCGGGTGTATGAAGAAGAGGGACAATGGCCAGAGATGGGGTTGGTGCAGGGTCTTGTAGGCCGTGGTAAGGTGGTGGATTTCATCCTAAATGCAATGGAGCTGTAGAGGTTCTAATAGGGTAGTGATATCCTTCACACACTGTAAAGTGATTTACTGCTGGAAGCAGTTCATGGTTGGCCACCCATCTGATCAGGACAGCACTGTTGACCCTGTCCAGCTCTCAAAATTTCCAATTCTGTACTAGATCTGAAAACCTTTGGAAGCTCCTAAGCATCTTCATCATAAAAGGAGTCTTTGTTGTTACGAATAACCAGAATTGAGGCTCCCTGCCTTGCCGGAGGGCTTTGGGATCTGATGGCCCGAAATCCCTTCTGGCTCTCTGTATGTAACAAGAACCATCTTTCAAAGGAAGCCGGAAGAGGCCTCTCATTCTGAGGAAATCCAAACCACTATTGGACCAAAATAGAAAAACGTACTTTCTTTGGAATGAGTAATCCCTGCTGAGTCTGACTGCTTGAAATCGGAAAACAAAACAAAATAACAACCACCAAAAAAACCCATAAACCCAACAATTAAGATACTGAATGACATGGTATGGTAATAACTTTTACCTAAGTGGTCTGTGGAAAATTCTGATAAAAACCTACTGGTTTTTGTCATTGGTTATTTCTTGTCTGCATCCTGTGCTGTGTGGTAGCTCTGGGTTTGTGGTAGGGCACCTGAACTGTGGTTGGGCTGTGTGGGTGCGGATTTCCTGGCTGTCGTGTACTGAGAACCTTGAGAGAGGCATTGGAAAGGTCTCGGGGCTGGGAGTCCCTAGATGGATACAGCTAATTCCTGCCCCACCAGTGCTACTCCGGAGACCCCAGGCTTGGCTGCTTCCCCCAGCATCTCTGAAATTGCACAGTGACCCAGTTTTGGCTTGCAAGGGGAGGAGGGAACATCATTTTTTGACTATCTGCTGTTTTCTGTATACTGTGCTAAGTTATTTGGGTACATCATCTCTTGTAATTCTCACCACAGCTCTGTGAGGCAGATACTCTCATTTCCTCCAAGTTACAGATAAGGAAACTGAGGCTCAGAAAGTCAGATATGTCTCCCAGGTCCCACAGCTAGCTGGGGGATTCACTTCACCAGGTTTCTGCTTTTAACCACTCTGCTCTCCCGGTCCACTCCAACAGCAAAATAGACGGTTCTATGGGAACCTAGAGTAGAGAATGATTCAGCCGGGGGTGGAGAGGGATCCAGGAGGCAACTTTCATAGCGGATCTGGAAGCATAAATAGGACTTCGTTCATGGGAAGGGCTGGGAGGGATGTTTCAAGCAGAGACAAAGCATAGAAAGAAGTAAGTATGAGGTGTTAATAGGGAAAAAGGGACAGAGGTATTGCTGAGTTATGGGATAGAGAGGTGGGTTGGGGTAGAGCATAGAAGCCCTTGAACATTCTGCTAAGAAGCCTGGGCTGCATCCTGGTGGCAATAGAAGGTGGTCAGTGCAAGATAGAATGTTCATCTGAGAGATGGTGAGCGGGAGAGCATTCTCCCTGGTGTTTGATAGAAGAAAGAACAAACTCAGGCATCTTCTGATTTCAAGGAACAGAGATGCCTGGAACTGGCTCAAGCATGCAGGACTTTATGGAAATGAAATTCAGGACGTCATGAGAAAAGGCTAGGACACGCAGCTTGGTCTCACAGAACCTGGACAATCTTCAGGCAACATCTATTCCTTTTTTTCTGCCTCTCCTGGCCAATCATCTTCTTTGTCTCCTTGAGCAGACGCATGTCCCCAATTCCAAATCCCCTGTAATTTTCACTTCCGTGGTACTGCTACTGGGGCCCTGCTTGGGCCTCAAAGCTATGTGACTCACAGATCCATGGCCCAGCACAAGTCGACTATAGCTCTTGAGTCTCTTAATTCAGATCATAAGAAAGACAAGATCTGAGGGAAGTGATTTGTAAAGTACCTAAGAGACAGGGGAGGGAAGTAACATTTTCTTGAATGCTTACTGTGTGCCAAGTGGGCACATGGAATATCTCAGTTAACCTCACAATAGCCTCACTGAGCAAAGGGTACAATCTCCATTTTTACAGGAAGGGGAGTGATATGGTTTAGATAGCTTCCCCTCCAAATCTCAGGTTGAAATATAATCCCCAATGTTAGAGGCCTGGTGGGAGGTGTTTGGTTCATGCGGGCAGACCTCTCATGAATGGCTTAGCGCTCTCCTCTTGGTGATGAGTGAGTTCACATGAGATCTGGTTTTTTAAAACTCTGTGGACCTCCCCTGACTTGTTCTCTTGTTCCTGCTTTTGCCATGTAATGTGCCTGCTCCTGCTTTGCATTTCACCATGATTGTAAGCTTCCTGAGGCCCTCACCAGAAGCTGAGCAGATGTTGGTGTCATGACTATACAGCCTGTAGAAGCATGAGCCAATTAAACTTCTATTCTTTATCAATTACCCAGCCTCAGGTATTTCTTTATATCAATGCAAGAATGACCTAATACAAAAAATTGGAACTAAGGAGTAGAGGTTTGCTGTAAAGATAGCTGATGGGGAAGTAACTTCAGAACTGGGTAATGGGCAGAGGCTGGAAGAGTTTTGAGGGCTCAGAAGAAGACAGGATGATAAGGGAATGTTTGGAACTTAAACTGGCTAAATAGTTGTGACTAAAATGCTGATAGTGATGTGGATGGTGAAATCCAGGCTGATGAAGCCTCAGTTAGAAATGAGGAACCTGGCCAGGCACAGTGGCTCACACCTGTAATCCCAGCACTTTGGGGGGCTGAGGTGGGTGAATCACTTGAGGTCAGGAGTTGAGACAAGCCTGGGCAACATGGTGAAACTCTGTCTCTACTAAAAATAAAAAAAATTAGCTTCACTAAAAATAAAAAAAATTAGAGTGTGGTAGCATGCACCTGCAGTCCCAGCTACTCAGGAAGCTGAGGCAGGAGAATCTCTTGAAACAAAGAGGAGGAGGTTGCAGTGAGCTGAGATCATGCCACTGCAGTCTGGCCTGGGCAACAGAGCAAGACTCTGTTGAAAGAAAGAAAGATAAAAAGAAAGAAAGAAAGAGAGAGAGAGAAAGAAAGAGAGAGAGAAAGAGAGAAAGAAAGAGAGAAAGAGAGAGAGAAAGAGAGAAAGAAAGAGAGAAAGAAAGAAAGGGAGAAAGAAAGAGAAAGAAAGAAAGAGAAAGAAAGGAAAGAAAGAAAGAAAGAAAGGGAGAGGAGAGGAAAGGAGAGGAAAGAAAGGGAAAGGAAAGGAAAGGAAAGGAAAGGAAAAGAAAGGAAAGGAGAAAGAAATGAGGAAACTATTGGGAACCAGAGCAAAGGTCACCCTTTATATGCCTTAGCACATAACTTGGCTATATTGTGTTAATGCCCTAGGGAACTGTGAAAGTTTGAACTTAAGAGTGATTACCTAGAGTATCTAATAGAAGAAATTTCTGAACAGCAAACCCTTCAAGATGTGACCTGACTGCTTCTAACAGCCTATGCTCATCTGTGGAAGCAAAGAAATGAGTTAAGTTGGAACTTATATATAAAGGGAGCATGAAAGTTTGGAAAATTTGTAGCCTAGCCATGCGGTAGAAAAGAAAAGCCCATTTTCAGGAGAGGAATCCAAGCAGGCTGTGGAGCAACCACTTACTAGAGAGATTTGCATGACTAAAAGGGAGTCAGGTGCTGATATCCAAAACAATGGGGAAAAGTCCCTGAAGGCATTTCAGAGCTCTTCTAGGAAGCCCCTCCCATCACAGACCCAGAGGCCTAGGAGGAAAGAATGGTTTCCCAGGCCAGGCCTGGAACTTCCATGCACAGCAGCAGGACACTGCTCCCTGCATCCTGGTAGCTCTAGCTCCAGCCTCAGCTCAAAGGGGTCCAGGTACAACTTGGGCAACAGCACCACAGGGTGCAAGCCATAAGCCTGGGCAGTTTCCATGTAGTGTTAAGCCTACAAATACTCAGAATGGAGGCATGAAGGAGGCTTTGTGGCTTCCATCTACATTTCAGAGGATGTATGGAAAAGGCTGGGTGCCCAGGCAGAAGTCTGCTGCAGGGGTGGAGTCCCCACAGAGAGACACTATTAGGGCAATTCTAAGGGGGAAATGTGGGGTTGGAGCCCCCACACAGAGTTCCCACCATGACACTGCCTAGTGGAGCTGTGGGAAGGGGATCACTGGCCTCCAGCCCCCAGAGTGGTAGATCCATTGGCAGCTTGCACCTTGACCCTGGAAAAGCTTCAAGCATCAACTCCAATCTTTGAGAGCAGCCATGTAGGTTTACACACAACAAAGCCAGAGGGGCAGAGCTACCCAAGGCCTTGGGAGCCCACCCCTTCACCAGCGTGCTCTGGATATGGGACATGGAGTCAAAGGAGATTATTTTGGAGCTTTAAGATTTAACAAATGCACTGCTGGATTTCAGATTTGTGTGGGACCTGTTGCCCCTTTCTTTTGACCAATTTCTCCCTTTGTGAATGTTTATCCAATGCCTGTACCACCATTGTATCTTGGAAGTAAATAACTTGTTTTGATCTTACAGTCTTGTAGGTGGAAGGAAGATGAGTCTCAGATGAGACTTAGGACTTTGAACTTGATATTGGAATGAGTTACAACTTTAGGGGACTGTTGGGAAGAGATTATTGTATTTGGCAGTGTGAGAGGGACATAGGAATTGGGGATCCAGGGGTGGATAAGATGGTTTGGATATTTGTCCCCTCCAAGCCTCATGTTGAAATGTAATCTCCAGTATTGGAGGTAGGGCCTAGTGGGAGGTGTATGGATCATGGAGGCAGATCCCTCATGAATGGCTTAGCACCATCCTTTTGGTGATGAGTGAGTTCACACGAGATCTGTTTTTTTAAAAGTCTGGGACCTTCTCCTCTTGCTTTCTTGCTCCTGCTCCTGATGCACCTGCTCCACCTTCATCTTCCACCATGATTGTAGGCTCCTGAGGCCCTAACCAGAAGCCAAGCAGATGCTGGTGCCAGGCCTGTACAGCCAGCAGAACTGTGAGCCAATTAAATCTCTTCCTTATCAATGACACTGTCTCATTTATTTTTTTATAGCAACACAAGAATGGTCTAATATAAGAAATGACTTGTCTAGGGCCTAACAGCAAGGAATTAGCAGAGCATGAGAGTTAATTTTATTTGTCACCTTGGATGGGGCCATGATGCCCAGATATTTGGTCAAACATTATTCTGGATGTTTCTGTGAGGATGCTTCTGGGTAAGCTTTCCATTTATGTTGGTGGATTTTGAGTAAAGCATATTGCCCTCCATATTGTGGATAGACTTTATTCAATCAGTGGAAGAGCTAAACAGACCAAAAAGACTGATCTCCCTCAAGCAAGAGGGATTTCTTCTTACAGAATTTGGACTTAAACTGCAGCATTAGTTCTCTCCTGGGTCCCATATATATCCTATTTATTTTAATTCTCTGGAGCACCCAGACAAATAACCAGAATAGGAACTCTTAGTCACCTACTAGAGCGAGAATGGGAGAGAACATTTTGGGCAGCTGGGGGACATGTTGACTGACACAGGCATCCCAGGACTGGGGACTTAAGTAAGAAACTAATAGCCCAGAATACAGGGAAAGCCAGGTCCAGGGATCAGCCTAGGATGAGCCCCTGGGAGCCTGGCTCGGTCATTAATTAGAGTCCTATGAGATAAGGGGCTCAGAGGTGAGGCTAAGGAGGTGAGCCTAAGGCCCAGCCAAAGAAGTCTTGGGCAGCTTGTTCCCGGTCTAGGCAGAGGCAGAGAGCACTGATGTTCACTACAATGATTCCCAACTCCCTTTACCCCTGCTCTGTACCCACTTCAACTGCTGGAAATTTAGAGAACAGTTTTCCTAGACTCTGTTGCCACTACGGGTTGTCATGTGACCCAGTTTGGCCAATGTGATGGAGGGACGAGGAAATTTCCTCTTATAATAAGAAAGACAGACACCAGGCACACCTTCTCCTGCTGCCCCGATGGCTTATCCCATGACCTCCTTCCTTTGATCCTGCAGGTGAGGCAGCCATATTGTGACCATGAGGGAAAGACCATGAGAACTGAAGGGAAATGGACTCAGAACCCAGATATTGTAAGGCTCCTGGAGAAACCCTGGAAACATCTACTTCTCAACGTTTTCGCTTGTGAGCTAATGAAACACCCTATGGTTAAGCTACTGTGAGTCAGAGTGTCTGTTATTTACAGCTGAACACATCCTGATTCAAGGAGGAAATATATAAATGTGCAGCAGATATGACTTCATCTCCAATTTGCTGCCCCTTGAGAGTATGGCGACCCAATTTTCCTCTGTTAGGATATTCTTTCTCTGCATCCTCCACATGCTCCCCTCTGAAGCTTAGATATTGTCTTCTCTGGATAGCCAACTTCCAAGTCCCAGGCTGGATCTCACACCCCTCCACTGAACTGTCTTAGTCCTGCATACACCTGCTTTCATAGCATATGTCACATGGTCTTGTAATGGCAACTTTTCCACAAGATGTGTGCTCTGTGAGGGCAGGAAAGAAGAAGAGAAAAGGGAGTCAGTGATATCAACCTCCTCAGCAGACTTTCACTTTTATCTCATTGCCCAGACCTACCACATGGTAGGCACCCTAGCTGCAAGGAAGGCTTGCAAAGTGACGATTTCACCCTTCCAACTTCTATAGTGGAAGACACGCAAAGGAGAAGAGTACTGGGAATGGAAGCATGGGTTGGCCACCAAGCAGCATTTGCCACAAATGACAAAATATTTTAAGTTCTTTGATGTTTTAGCCATAACATTATTTTTATTTTTTTCTAAATGGGAATATTTTATTATTTTTTCCTAACTCTAAAAGCAACGAAGCTTGTTTTAAAAATTGAAACCTTATGGGTTATGGAGTGAGGTTCCTAAAATCTTTTTCCTTTAGATATAATCTTATGAACAATTAAATCTATGTATTATTTTGGCATAAAATATTTTTTGTCCAAGCATAAAAATATTTTAGACACTTATTTGTAAAAGTGGGTTATATAACATATACTGTTTTGTTATCTACTTGTTTTTTTTTTAACTTAAGACTAGCATGGCCATTGTACATAGTTATACAAATAGAGATGACTTAACCTTTTTTAACAGTGGGATAATTTCAGTATTAGTTATCTATTGCTATATCATAAATTACCACAAACTTAGTGGCTTATAACAACACATATTTATTATCTCACAATTGCTGTGGGCCAGGAATCTGGGCTTTGCTTAGCTGCATTCTCTGTTTTAGGGTCTCTCATTAGACTGAAAAGTGTCTTCCAGGATTGAGTTATCTTCTGAAGGCTTGACTGGGGAAGAAAGAATCTTGCTATGGTTTGAATGTCCCCTCCAAAACTCATGTTGACATTTAATTGCCATTGTGATGGTATTAAGAGGTGAGACCGTTAAGAGGTAACTAGGCCATAAGGACTCTGCCCTCATAAATGAATTAATGTTATCATGAGAGTGTGTTTGTTATTGCGAAAGTAGGTTATTGTAAAAGCAAGTTTGGCTCTCTCTTCCTTGCTTGCTCTCCCTCATGTGTGCCCTCTCACCCTTCTACCTTTTGCCATGGGGTGATGTGGGAAGAAGGCCCTTGCGAGTTGCTGGAAATTTGATATTGGATTTCTCAGCCTCCAGAACTGTGAGAAATAAATTTCTTTTCTTTGTAAAATATTCAATCTATGGTATTTTGTTATAGCAACACAAAACAGACTAAGACATATCTGCTTCCAAGCTCACTTAGATAGTCAATAGAATTAGTTCCTTCTGTGTTGTTAGACAGAGAGGATGAATTCTTCCATGGCTGTTGGCCAGAGGCTACCCTCAGCTCCTTTCCATGTGGTCCTCCCCTACTTCATCAGATCAGCAAGGGAGAGAATCTGCCAGCAGGGTGGAAGTCCGAACCTTTTGTAATTGAATCACAGAAGCGATACCCACTCAATGCTATAGTATTCTATTGGCTGGAAGCAAGTACTAGGTCGTACCCACACTTAAGGGGATGGCATTACACAAAGGCCTGGACACCACGAGCCAGGGGTGGTGGGGGCTGCTGTCTGCTGTGGTGTCCCACTTGTTCAACTATTTTGCTGAGGCATGCTAAGGTTGTTTCCAGTTTTTTCACCAGTATAAACAATGCCATCATCCTTGAACTTGTATCTTCATGAACTGGTTCAAGATTTTCTTTTTTCTTTTTTTTGAGATGGAGTTTCACTCTTATTGCCCAAGCTGGAGTGCAATGGCGTGATCTCGGCTCACTGCAACCTCCGCCTCCCAGGTTCAAGCAATTCTCCTGCCTCAGCCTCCTGAGCAGCTGGGATTACAGGCACGTGCCACCACACCTGGCTAATTTTTTGTATTTTTAGTAAAAATGGGGTTTTACCATGTTAGCCAGGCTGACCTAAAACCCCTGATCTCAGGTGATCTGCCCACCTCAGCCCCACAAAGTGCTGGGATTAGAGGCGTGAGACACCGTGCCCAGCCTGGTTCAAGATTTTCTTTGGAAAATTCTTCATGGTGGAATTTCTTGTTCTAAAGGCAAATATATTCTTGGGTAAGTGGCCTCCCAAAGGCTGACCAAATGTGTATGCCCGACATGTGTGTGTGAATGTGGACTATTTCTTGTCACGCTCACTAATACAGCATTTAACAATCTGTTAAACCGGCCGGCCATGGTGGCTCACGCCTGTAATCCCAGCACTTTGGGAGGCCGAGGTGGGCAGATCAAAAGGTCAGGAGTTCGAGACCAGCCTGGCCAATATGGTGAAACCCTGTATCTACTAAAAATACAAAAATTAGCCGGGGGTGATGGTGGGTGCCTGTAGTCCCAGCTACTCAGGAGGCTGAGGCAGGAGAATCGCTTGAACCTGGGAGGCAAAGGTTGCAGTGAGATGAGATCGCACCACTGCACTCCAGCCTGGGTGACAGAGTGAGACTCTGTCTCAAAAAAACAAAAACAAACAAACAAAAAATCTTAAATATTCTTCAATATGATAGATAGAAACTGGTATCTTTCTGTTTTAGTTTGCAATTCTTTGTTTCTCAATAAGGTTGAAAATATTTTCTTGTTACCAGCTACTTGTTTTGGTCAGGATTGTTTGGTTATCACGTACAAAAATAGCCTTTTTTTATTTTTTAAAAAAATTTTTATTTGTATTTTTTTGAGACAGGTTCTTGCTCTGTCACCCAGGCTGAAGCACAGTGGCATGATTACAGCTTGACCTTGCAGGCTCAAGCAATCCTCCTGCCTCAGCCTCCTGAGTAGCTGCGACTACAGGCAGACAGCACTATGCCCAGCTAATTTTTAAATTTTTCTTTTGTACAGGTGTGGTCTCACTATATTGACCAGGCTGGGTTCAAACCCCTGGCCTCAAGTGATCTTTCTGCCTTGGCCTCTGAAAGCCCTGGGATTATAGGTGTGAGCCATTGCACCGTGCCAAAAAGCCATTTGAACTAGCTTAAGTATAACATAATGGAAGAGAGTGTATTTTGTAAGGACACAGAAAAACTTTATAAGCAAATTACTGCCTTGCCTTTATTGGATGCAGAATAACTTCCATCCCAAGTTCTTGAAGTCACTCCCTTCATTGCTCGCTCTCTGGGGACCCAGGGGATGTCATCTCTTTTCTCTCAGCCCATCTGCTCTCCTTTCTTCTCCTTCTTTGCTGGTCAGCTCTTCTGCTTAGAGGGGTAAGCTCCTCATGGCTTTCTTTTAGTGTCCAATACAAAACACATCCATTATATAAAATTTGGTTAATGTAGATGTGCATAGAGCCAAATGTAACAATGTAATCCTCACCCTAATCTCTTCTCTCAGTGATATTGACAATGAACTATGTAAAGAGTACCTTTTTCTCCACCCTCTAGAGGACGATGATGATGGTGATGGTGGTGGCTACCAGTTACACAGCATTTAGTATGTTCCTAGCATTGTTCTAGGAGTATTGCATGCTTTAATGCTCCTTAAAACAACCATTTGAAGAAGACACAATTCTTTTTTTTTTTTTTTTTTGAGACGGAGTCTCGCTCTGTTGCCCAGGCTGGAGTGAAGTGGTGTGATCTCGGCTCACTGCAACATCTGCCTTCTGGGTTCAAGTGATTCTCCTGCCTCAGCTTCCCAAGTAGCTGGGATTACAGGTGCGCGTCACCACGCCTGGCCAATTTTTGTATTTAAAGTAGAGATGGGGTTTCGCCATGTTGGCCAGGCTGGTCTCGAACTCCTGACCTCAGGTGATCCACCTGCCTCGGCCTCCCAAAGTGCTGGGATTACTGGCGTGAGCCACCGTGCCTGGCCTATTTCTCATTTTATAGATGAGAAAACTGAGGGATAGAGAGTTTAAGTAATTTGCTAATAATGCCAGGTCCAGGATTCAAACCCAGGCAATTTGAATCTTCAACACAGAAACACACACACACACACATGCACACACACACTTTAAAAAATACATTAAAAAATAAAAAAAAAATCACACTGTGCAGTTTCTGCATTTTTTTCTGTATAAAATGTTTACCTCATTGTTTTTAATCACTGAATGGTATTCCCTTGTAGTGATGAACTGTAATTTTTAGCCAGTCCCCTATTGAGGGACATTTTAGTTGTTCCCAATCCAGCACTTCACAGGCACCCTCAACAGTAAGCCTGACTTGATGGCAGTGACTCTGGCCTTTTCCTAAAATGACCTTTCAGGTTGACTCCGCGCCAGCTGACAGCTCTGTGACTCATCTTTTCATTCAGGTCTTCTTGAGAGAGGATCTGATGGGTCCTGGACCAGCAAATGAACACATATGACTGCCCCTTCCAGAGGCAGGTAGCTCTGAGAGGCAGGTCCTTCGGAAAGAACACTTTTCTTTCTTTCTTCCTTTTTTAAGTACAGGGTCTCGGTGGTGCCCAGGCTGGAGTGCAGTGGCACCATCATGCCTTACCACAGGCTCAACCTCCCCAGGCTCAGGTGATTCTCCCATCTCAGCCTCCCAGGTAACTGGGACTACAGGCACTCACCACCACACCCAGCTCATTTTTAAAAATTTTGGTAGAGACAGGGTTTTGCCACATTGCTCAGACTGGCCTCGAACTTCTGAGCTCAAGTAATCTGCCCGCCTCAGCCTCTCGAAGTGCTGGGACTACAGGTGTAAGCCATCACACCCAGCCTGCAATTTTTCTATAGGACATTCCTCTTTTCCCCACTGACTTCTCACATATTTTGCAAATTATATCTTTCCATTTGTCTTTATGCCTTTTACAATACAAAAGTTTTACATTTCAACATGGTTAGACCTATTGGCCTTATTTCTCACTTCTGACCCTCATGGCATTCTGAGAAAGGCCTTTCTCAACTCAGGCTCATAAAACCTTTCTTTCTTTTATTTTCCCTATGACTTTAACAATTTTTGTCTTATGTTATTTGAATATCAAATCCATTTCAAATTCATTTTTACAATCAAATTAATCATCTCTCGAAGAATCATCTCCACACCATCGCTTGGTGAGGCCCTCCTTTCCCCACTGACTTGCCTTGACGTCCCACCTGCCACTGTCTGTGGTGGTTACTGGCAGGGACATTTGAATGGGACACACTTGGGTTCTGGGTCCCGCTCTGCCACTTACTGGCTGTGTGACCCTGAGTAGGTTACTTAAGGTCTCTGGGCCTGTGCCTCCTCCTTGTAAAGTGGGGATCACCAGGGTTCCAGACTCAGGTGATTGCTGTGGAATGAATTGATGCAGTCCCTCCCAATCACCAGTAACTGTCCTCATGATTACTGTTTCCTAATTCCCCCCAACCCCATTTCAAGAACCTATGCCTGGGCTGTCACTGGTTCTCTCTGTCTGCTCCACCCCAGGACCACACCATTTACACCCTCCGGTTCTGTAGCACGTGTTAGTATCCTCCAGTCTGTAAGCTTCTTGAGGACAACTATGGTGCCTCAGAACCTGGTATATAGTAGGTGCTCAATGAATATCCACAGAAAGAATGACTGAGTAATGTGAGCTCCCCTCCTTGTTATATTTCTTAGACATTTTCTTGGCTATTCTTGAGCATTTTTTTCTCCCTAATTAATTTTAATTAATTTGTCAAGATCTTCTCCCGGGTACTAATGGGATTTTTATTGGCATTACAGCAAATTAATGAAGTGATTTGAGGCGAATTGGCCTTACAGCCCCAGGAACATGAGCTGCAGTGCATTTACCCAGCCCTTCTTTCATGAGCTTAGCTGCATCGTTTCCTTGTTATTGGCCTGGCCTGTTTGCCTGCATGTTTATTCCTAGATGTTTTGCTGTTTCTCTTGCTTTTTTGAAAGATGTCTCTTCTCCATTGTAGTGGCTGAGCAGTTAGCATCTTGGGTGGAATCAATATCCTACCTCTTTCTGGCATCAGTGGTTATGAGCACACAGCTTCAGAGTCCAGCAGATCTGGGTGTGAATCCACTTAATAAGTGCATGACCTTGAGAAATGACCTTCCACCTCGAGTCTCAGTTTCCTGGCCTGTGACAGAGAAGAAGTAACATATGTGCCACAGTCTTGCTGTGAATATTAAATTAGATACTTTGAGTAAAGCTTTTAGCGTGGTACCAGTACAAATACGCAAGAAATGTCTTCTATTATGGTTATTTAGTAATATCACTGGCATAAATATTTTATAACTCTAAACAATGTACTATCATGCTGGGCGTTTTGTTATTACTATACACAAAAAACATTTCTGATGCCACACCCCCGACCCCATCTCTTTGGTAGCTAGGGGACGGCACTATTTTCTTAGTGCTCTGCCTAACGATCTTTCAGATTCTTGAAAGCAATGTGGATGTTGAGTGTGGAGATGCAGACAGAGAAAGAGAAATTGCTCCAAGACCAGGTGGAGACTGAGGATGGGGACAGGAAACATTGAAAGGCATGAGTGAAAGTAACAGGAAAGGGTTCTTGGGGGGAAAGAGAGAGAGAGAGAGAGAGAATGAGAGAGAGCAGGATGGGAGGAGACAGTAGAGAAGTGTCAAATGTGATGAGGGCTTGGGAGGGAAATCCTCAGGCCTCTCCACTGTCTTTGCTCCTCTGACTTTCTGGCCAAGCAAGGAAGTTCTGAGCACCGCCCTCCCAACCCAAGACCTCTGCCTGGGTATCTCCAGGAGGCCCTTGATCCTCAAGACAGAGCAGCTGGACCAACAATCTCAGCACAGCAGCTGCCCCCAGTGCATCTACGGAGGCTGCAGGTCCCCTGCAGGGCCCCAGATTCCCAGGCCCCACAGAGGCCTGAGCCCACTAGAAAGTGATGTGCCTCCCAGTTCCTCCGGGAGGAGGCTGGCAGAAGGATTGGGAAACCAGCCGTGGGGACCTATATCTGCTGCAGGGCGTGGGCGTGGAGAGAAAGGCCAGCAGGCTCCCTGCCCCCCAGCCCTTCCCAGCTGAGGCTTCTCTAGCAGTCTCAGCATGTTTCCCTACCTCCAGGTGGGATTCTGCAGGGCTGGAAGGGTTCAAGCATCCTTCTTTGAAATCCAGCGCTAAGGTCTTATGACACCATTTATTACCTATGAACACTGTGCAGGAATGAGTGTATTCTCTCATTCTGGGCCACCAAGTAAATTTCCTGACACAGCCCCTAACACAGCATGTTAGAAACCGTCAAGGCAGGAAACAGTGCACTGCAAGTGGGTAATTGGAGCAGTACATGAGAGAGACTTTTTACAAAGGTGCAGGCAGGCTGAAGAGGAGCCACAAAAGTCAGTGCCGCACCCTTGGTGGTCACAGCCAGGCATCTGTACCCCTAGGGCTGAAGCGGGAAGGGGAGAGTGCAGAGTCCAGCACCTGGACACAGAGAGGGCTAGGGAGGAGCAGCCATCATCAGTCAGAGAGGCGGCCAACCCAGCCCCCAACCTCACTCCCTGCTTCCCTCCTGGCAGCAATGCCTGTTGGCTGAACACAACAGGAAGCCAGGGGACGAGGGAGCTCTTTGATGTAGCAGGCTTTTGCAGTGGAGAGAGGGTCTGGAGGGACAGATGGACATTACCCATCATGGCAGGGAAGCCCTACATCGCTCTCCAGGAGAGTGATGGCAGACGTGTGTGGCAGGTGCCTGGCTCTGTAACAAGCCCTTTATCTGTATGAATTTATTTAATCCCCACCACAGCCCTTTGAGATAGGTGTGATTACTAGCAGCATCTTTACTTTGCTCACAGGGAAACTGAGGCCCAGAGAGGTTAACAACTTGCCCAAGTTGCCCTGCTACCGAGAGGCAGAGCTGGGACCTGGATCCAGGTCGCGTAGCCTGGGGTCTGAGGTCTGAGGCACTCCCCTGCACTGCTCCCTGCCCCTTGTTGGGGACCCCCAGAGGAGCGCCTCCTGCACGTCACGTGTTAACCACCTTCCCATGAGGCTCTGCCCTGTAGAATGTGCTAGGTTGGCACGCATCCTATGTTAAGGCAGAGCCTCAACTAGGACAGAATCCTACTCAAGCACCTTACTCAGGGGGATCCACTGGAGCTGTATTGAGCTGGCAGCAAGTGACAAGAACAATCAGGTCGCCTGTGACAACCGATGGCTGGAGGTCCTGTGTGTGTTTAAACCAGCATCTCTGCTCTCAATCCTAGTGACAGCCTTGGGTTTCAGCCTCGTCCTGTGTCCCAGAGTCAGACAGGTAGCCAGGCCCTTGGCTATACGTCCCAGCTCCATCACTTTCTAGCCGGGTGGCCTTGAACTCACCTCACTCTTCTCACCTGCAAATCGGGGAGATAACAGTCTTATCTCAGGGGATTGTTGTGAGGCTGAAAAGAGTAAATGTGAGTAATGATAGCGGTTCTTGGCACATTGTGTACACTATGTGTTAGCTATTTTTGCTGGTGTTCATCATCATTATGATTAGACAGAGATCAGCCCTCTCATCATAGGCCTCCAGTGCAGAGCTTCTCAACCCTGGCTGTGCATTAGGAGCTGCTGGGATGTTTCAAGGATGTGTGTGCCTGGGCTGCCCAGCAGACAACTCAATCAGAATATCTGCTAACGGCCGGGGGCGGTGGCTCATGCCTGTAATCCCAGCACTTTGGGAGGCCAAGGCGGGCGGATCACGAGGTCAAAAGATCGAGACCATCCTGGCAGACATGGTAAAACCCTGTCTCTACTAAAAATACAAAAGTTAGCTGGGTGGCGCGTGCCTGTAGTCTCAGCTACTCGGGAGCCTGAGGCAGGAGAATTGCTTGAACCCAGGAGGCGGGGGTTGCAGTGAGCCGAGATTGTGCCACTGCACTCCAACCCGGGCAACAGAGCAAGACTCCCTCTCAAAAAAAAAAAAAAAAAAAAAAAGACTATCTGCTAGCAGGTGAGGGGGGACCCAGGCAAGGGTAAGAGATGGTTCCAGGAGCTGAAATCTAGCAGGGAGCACAAGAGGAACTGCATGGCTGGGTTGGTTTCTTCATTTGAATGTGAATGGTAAGGAATGTCGAAATCAAGGGCATATTTCACAAGGGAAAGGGAGTGAATTTGAACAGCTCTGAGGACACATTTTGCAGGAGAGAAAAGAGGTGGGCAAACAGTTGACAGGACAACAGCAAGAAAGTGGAAGGTGCGTGCCAAGGGCCACGACCACTACCTTGGCCCTTTGCTAGGGCTGGGCATAGGGATGGCGCATGGTAAGCATTTGTTTAATGAAGGAATGAATGAAGGAGCCCACAAGTCCTTTAAAACATTGCGTTCACAACCCTAGATTTCTGTGTATTCTGTTTCCTAGGGCTGTGTAAGGCTGTGTAACAAAATACCACAAGCCAGATAGCTTAAACAACAGAAGTGTATTGTCTCACACTTCTGGAGGCTGGAAGTCCAAGATCAAGATGACAGCAGGGTTGGTTTCTTCTCAGAGTCATGAGGGAGAATCTGTTCTGTGCCATTCCTCTAGCCGCTGGTGGCCCCCTTGGATTGTAGATGACATTCCCCCTGTGTCTTCACATCTCTTCCCTCTATACATGTGTCTCTGTGTCCAAATATCCCCTTTTTATAAGGACACAGTCATACTGGATTAGAGCTCTCCCTAATGACCACATCTTGATCATCTTCAAAGACCCTATTTCCAAATAAGGTCACATTCACAAGTATTGGGGGTAAGGACTTCAACATCTTTTGGGGGGTACACAGTTCAACCCAGAGCATTGCTATTTCAGCCACCTTAAGAGCTTAGACATTTATTCATTCCCTTTATACCTCTAGTGAACATTTAAATGTGTACCGTGCCCTGGATGTTGGAAAAGAAAAGGCTGGGAGCACTGGTTCCCTGGCATCAAGCAGCTCACAGCCTAGAGGGTCAAACTGAAAATAGGTAGAAGGGAAAGGATCCAAAAGGGGGAGGACAGGGGAGAGAGTAGGGCAGGGTGCAGGGGGTAGGGGTTGCTGAGAATAGTCAGGCTGTTCTCAGGGCTCGGTTCTAAATCCTGTATAAACAAGCCCTCAATAAATCTATTTGCATTTATTATCCAGGTTCACTGGCCTCAAGTTCCCCAGGCATTTGAGGAGGTTCTTCCTTTTGCCTTAGTGAACAGGAGGCTTTTAAAAAAAATAACAGACTTCTGGCTGGGTGCAGTGGCTCACACCTGTAATCTCAGCACTTTGGGAGGCTGAGGCGGGTGCATCACCTGCAGTCGGGAGTTCGAGACCAGCCTGACCAACATGGAGAAACCCCATCTCTACTAAAAATACAAAATCAGCCGGGTGTGGTGGTGCATGCCTGTAATCCCAGCTACTTGGGAGGCTGAGGCAGGAGAACCACTTGAACCTGGGGGCGTGGAGGTTGTGGTGAGCTGAGATTGTGCCATTGCACTCCAGCCTGGGCAACAAGAGCAAAACTCCATCTCAAAAAAAAAAAAAAAAAAAAGAAGCAGCAGCAGCTCTGGTGGATGATGAAATCCTCCCATTTCTTTCTCCCCATGGTGTTTTTCAAAATTATAAAATCTTTTTATTTTTATAGATTTAGAGGGTACAAAGGCAGTTTTGTTACAGGGATATATCGCCAGTGGTGAAATTGGGGCTTTTAGTGTATGTTTCACCTGAAAAGTGTACATCATACCCACTAAGTAATCTCTCATCCCTCACCACCCTCCCACCTTCCACCCTTCCAAGTCTCCAGTGTCTGTTATTCCATTCTATGTCCTTGTGGACACATTATTTAGCTCCCACTAATAAAAAACCTGTGGTATTTGACTTTCTCTTTCTGAGCTATTTCACTTAAGATAATGGCCTCCAGTTCCATCCATGTTGCTGCAAAAGACATGATTTCATTCTTTTTTATGGCTGAGTAGTACTATGTTGTGTATATATACCATGTTTTCCTTATCCAATCTTCCACTGACAGACACTTAGGTTGATTCCACGTCTTTGCTATTGTGAACAGTGCTGCAATAAACATATAAGCACAGATATCTTTTTTATGTAATGATTTCTTTTCCTTTGGGTAGATTCCCAGTGGGATTGTTGAATCAAATGGTAGTTTTCTATTTTTAGTTCTTTGAGAAATCTTCATACTGTTTCCCGTAGAGGTTGTACTAATTTACATTCCCACCAACAGTGTATAAGCATTCCCTTTTCTCCATATTCTTACTAACATCTGGTTTTTTTTTTTGACATTTTAATAGTAGTCTGACAGGTATAAGTTGGTGTCCCATTGTGGTTTTAATTTGCATTTCTCTAATGATTAATGATATCGAGATTTTTTTCAAATGCTTCTTGGCCACTTGTATATCTTCCTTTGAAAAAATGTCTGTTCATGTCATTTGCTCACTTTTTAATGGGGTTATTTATGGGTTTTTTTGTTGAGTTGTTTGAGTTCCTTGTTTATTCTGTTTATTTGTTAGAAGCATAGTTTGCAAATATTTTCTCCCATTCCGCAGGTTGCCTGTTCACTCTGTTGATTATTTCTTTTTGCTGTGCAGCAGCTTTTTAGTTTAATTAAGTTCTATTCGTCTATTTTTTTTTTTTTTTTTTTTTGAGATGGAGTTTTGCTCTTGTCACCCAGGCTGGAGTGCAGTGGTGCGATCTGGGCTCACTGCGACCTCTGCCTCCCAGGTTGAAGCAATTCTTCTGCCTCAGCCTCTTGAGTAGCTGGGATTACAGGCACCTGTCACCATGCCTGGCTAATTTTTGTATTTTTAGTAGAGACAGGGTTTTGCCATGTTGCCCAGGCTGGTCTTGAACTCCTGACCTCCGATGATCCATCCACTTCGGCCTCCCAAAGTGCTGGGATTATAGGTGTGAACCACCACCCCTGGCCTCCATTCCTCTATTTTTGTTTCTGTTGCATTTGCTTTTGAGATCTTAGTCATGAATTCTTTGCCTATGCCAATGTCCAGAAGAGTTTTTTTCTGGGGTTTTCTTCTAGTATTTTTATAGTTACAGGTCTTATATTCAAGTCTTTAATCCATCTTCAGTTAATTTTTGTATGTGATGAGAAATAGGGGTCCAGTTTCATTCTTCTGTATATGGAAGTCCAATTTCCTCAGCACTATTTAGTAAATAGGGGGTCCTTTTCCAGTGTGTGTTTTGGTCACAACTTTGTCAAAGATCAATTGCTTGTAGGTATGTGACTTTATTTCTGGGTTCGCTATTCTGTTCCATTGATCTATGTGTCTATTTTGTGTGTGTACCATGTTGTTTTGGTTACTAAACCCTTGTAGTATAATTGAAAGTCAGCTTTGTTCTTTTTGCCTAGGATTGCTTTCGTTATTAAAATCTGTTTTTTGGTTCCATGTGAATTTTAGGATTGTTTTTCTAATTCCACAAAAAACGACATTGGTTGTGTGATAGGAATTGCATTGAATCTGTAAGTTATTTTGGGCAGGATAGTCATTTTACTGATACTGATTCTTCCAACCCACGTGCATAGCATTTTTAAAATTTGTATCATCTATAGTTTCTTTCACCAGTGCTTTGAAGTTTTCCTTGTAGAGATTTTTCACCTCCTTGGGTAAATATATTTCTAGGTAATTTTTTGTAGCTGTTATAAATGGAATTGACTTCTTGATTTGGTTCTCAGATTGATTGTTATAGGTGTATAGAAATGCTATTGATTTTTGTACATTGATTTTGTATCCTGAAAATTTACTAAATTCGTTGATCAAATCCTGGAGTCTCTTGGTGGAGTGTTTAGGGTTTTCTAGGTATAGGATCATATTGTCATCAAATAGAGATCATTTGACTCCTCTTTTCAAATTTGGATGCCATTTACCTCTTTCTCTTGCCTGATTACTCTGGCTAGGACTTCCAGTACCATGTTGAATAGGAGTTGTGAAAGTGGGCATCCTTGCCTTGTTCCAGTTCTTAGGGGAAATGATTTCAACTTTTCTCCATTCCATATAATGTTGGCTGTGGGTTTGTCATATATGGCTTTTATTATTTTGAGGTATGTTCCTTCTGTGCTTAGTTTGTTGAGAGCTAAGAAAGACTTTGGGGGTGCTTGGGCAACTCAAGGAATGTGGAAAAACCTCTATGGGCAAGTTGGTGTTCACATGCCTAGAAAAATAAAAGAGAGATGTTTTAAGCTGGTGAGATACGTAGTACCAGGTATAGTAGTAGAAATGAATGGATCTACCAGGCGCGGTGGCTTACACCTGTAACCCCAGCACTTTGGGAGACTGAGGCGGGCAGATTACTTGAGGTCAGGAGTTTGAGACCAGCCTGACCAACATGGTGAAACCCCGTCTCTACTAAAAATACAAAAATTAACCAGGTGTGGTGGTGGGCACCCGTAATCCCAGCTACTCAGGTGGCTGAGGCAGGAGATTCACTTGAACCCGGGAGGCGGAGGTTGCAGTGAGCCAAGATCGTGCTACTGCACTCCAGCTTGGGCAACAGAGTGAGACTCTGTCTCAAAAACAAAAAGAAAAGAAAAGAATGGATCAGAAGGCCAGATAGCCTCCAGCAAGCAGACTCCATGGAGCCACTAAGCAGATAACCAAGGCCTCAGGCCTTGTAGCCTTCTCTGCCGCCCCAGTAAGTGAGTGACCATCCAGGTCCTGTGACAAGTACCCAGCCAATTTTTCTCTAGTGTGGTCAGCCCTGGCCTCTTTCCCAAATGAACAAGACCCCCTCATGAGCTGGCTCCCCCACCTCTCTGACCTCATCTCATAATGCTCGCTTCTTCCTTACTCTGCAGCAGCCACACTGGCCGTCTTGCTGCTTTATGAACATGCAAATTTCATTCCCACCTTGGAGCCCTTGCATTTGCTGCTCTCTGGGCCTGAAACACTTCCCAGAGCTCTTTGTGTGGCAGGATCCTTGTTGTTGTTTTGGCCTTCCCTGACCACCCTGTCTAAATGAGCAGCCCCTCTCACCTCTAGTTGCCCTCCATCCCGTTTCGCTGTTTCATTGTCTTCCTTGCGTATATGACTCTTGGAAATGTCATTGTTTGTTCATTTATTTGCCCGTTGATTGTGTATCTCTTTTCACTAGAATCCAAGCTCCATGTTTGTCTGTCTTGTTGTTTGCCAAATCTCCAGCATGTAGAATAGTGCCAGCCGCAGGGTAGGAGCTCAGCGATTCTTTGTTAAAATGAATGTTGATTCCTTTAACCCTTTCAGCGAAGGCCAGTTCACAGAGGCCCATGACCTTGATTGGCCTAGGGGACCCATAGGTCAGCTGTGTTGTGCCTGGTGGAGATCTGAACTTGGAGCTGACCCCGTCTCTGTCTTTTTTTTTTTTCCCTGACTGTTTTGAGCCTGTTTCCTCTTCTCTGAAAATGAGCTTACCTTATGGGATGTTGACCCACTCTAAGCGGGCGGGAGGTCAATGTTTTTGTGTTTGTGAAATCTGAAGTGGGTGGGACGCATGAGTTAGCAGCTTCCAAGAAGCAGAGGGAGAGAAAGCCAAAAAAGCACATTTCCTGGTCTCACCTTCTGGGAAGACTTGGGTGGGCTCAGTACCAGTGGACACCTCAGGGGACAGTGGGGGCCCAGCATGGGAGGTCCTCAAGGAGCAGAGTGGGCAAGGCTCTGGTGCTGAGTAGGATGAGCTGGGGTGTGGGCATGGGCCCAGGAAGGCCGGAGCCTGGCAACAGGAACAGCTTGGGCTGAAGGCCTGGGTCGGGAACCGCAAGGGCAGGAGGGAGGCCACGGACATTCATGGTCACTGATGATCTTCCAGATTTCAGGTCCTCTTCTTTTGTTCTAGGACACCTGGCTTAACTCCACTGGGGAGAACTTACTGCTCCTTCTTCAGTGCTCCTACTAAATGTTGCTCATACATCTTTGACCAGTATCTGGTTGTACAGTTGACCCTCAAACAACCTGGGTTCGAACTGCGCAGGTCCACTTCTACGTGGATTTTCTTCCTCCTCTGCCACTTGTGGACAAGGCAAACTCATCCTCTTCCTCCTTCTCCTCAATGTGAAGATAACAAGATAAAGACCTTTATGATGATCCACTTCCACTTAGCGAAGAGAAAACATATTTTCTTTTCCCAATGATTTTCTTAATAACATTTTATTTTCTCTAGCTTACTTCATTGTAAAAATACAGTATATAATACACATGACATACAAAATATGTATTCCATGGACTGTTTATGTTATCGGTAAGGCTTCTAGTCAACAGTGGGTTATTAGCAGTTAAGTCTTGGAGGAGACAAAAGTTATAGGCAGATTTTTTTACTGTGTAGGGTCTTGATGCCCTTAGCCTTCACATTGTTCAAGAGTCAATTGTATTTTCACATGTTTTTCCTTCCTTCTAGACTCTGGACTCTTGGAGCATAGCAATGATGACTTTTTGATTTATGTCCCCAGGCAGAATTAGGCAGTACTCCTTCTCTAGTGCTCCCACCGAACATAGCCTACGTGTTCGTGACAACAATGATCTGGTCAATTGGAATTGTTTATTCACATAGGTGGCTCTTTGTTGACCCGCAGGGTAGGGGTCAGATATTTTCATCTTTATGTCCCTAGCTCTTAGCACACCGAATAAACACTCAATAATAAGTTATTGAATGATAAAAGAAGAATAAATATTGTCCGGTGGAATTCGCATTCTCACATGCACCCTATGGATGTTCTCCATAGAGTTCATTATTGCTCAGCCCGTGAACTCTCCCTCTGTAACATTAGATTAAAGTGATTTGCCACTGGTATTTCAATGAACTTTTTTCCTTTCCTGCAGGCTGTAGGAGTCATCATCTATTGGGCTCTTATATTGATATACATTAGCTCATTTAATCTGCACAACACTTCCTCTGATGGCTAGAGAGTGCAAATGAAGCACAAAGAGGTGGGGAGCCAGGATTTGAACCCACATCCAGGAGAGGCCAGAGCCAGGCACTTTTGCCTGTGTTAGGACACCCAGAGGCAATAATAAACCTTTACCCAGGGCTGTAGCAGGATCAGATTTAGTGACAGCTGCTCGAATGATCTTCTGCCCTACCCCAAGGTGGGTGGGAGAAAGCCATTCCAAACCCTCAGCTGGGAGCCCGAGCAGATCCAAGATTCCCGAGGATGAGGTGGGGTGGCGTTTGGGCAGACTTGTGCGATGACAGCCAGTATGGGAAACCACTGGACACAGGTTCCAGAGGCCCTTCATTGCCAGCTAATGGTTGGTGTAGCTGCCAGGGTCCCAGGCTAGCAGGCAGCAGGCACCCCCTATGACCTTGTCTGCCAGAAGGAGACATCAGCTACACAGTTGTACTGCCTTTGGGATACATGCAAGATGGAGTCTTAGGGGCCCCAGGACAGTCAGAAGAAAACCCCATAATCTAGTTCCTGTCTGCCTTGACCTTGAGCAAGCCCCCCATCACCTCCAGCAGTGGGTGCCCCACACCCAAGTGTCTGTGGTCCTCCAGCTCCCTGACTGCAGTGTCTCCTCTTGTCCTGGAGATTGTCCTATAGTCCAAATTGCATCTGGTCTCGCCCCTGTTAGACCTGCTCTAAGGTCTTTCCGGCTTTTGCTAGAACCTTTTCCCAAGACTAGCCTCCTTCTTCTCTTCCCTAAACCTGCCAGGTGGAAACTTTTGGCAATGGCATGGGCTGAGTGCCTCATCACTGTGAATATTCAAGCAGAGGCTAGTGAGGGCCTCCCTTTGTGACTCCAAGGCCTGCAGTTCTAGGGTCTTCCTTATGGCTGGTATCAGTAAGCCCTGCAGAGGGAACTGTGTGAGCCCCAGAGCTGGCCCATCTTTCCTTGGAAGCTGTCCATTGCTCTCCCTGGCCTCCGTCTCCTCATGTGTCCATGGGGATGTTGACATCACCTCATAGGATTATTGTAGGGATAAAATGAGAGGAGGTTTGTAAAACCCCTAGTGCAGTGCAGGCACAGACACAGCACATGTTCCTCTGCCATTTGGGCTGCCACAGCAGCTGGTCTGCTGCTTTGTGCCAGACCCCTGGCCATGGCCTGAGCTGAATTTTGTGAGGATGGAGAGGAGGCTGGTGCCCACTGGGAAGGTGACTCCTTACTTTCCACATTGCTTTGGTTTGCATTTGTTCTCTAACACTCCCTCCCTCCTAGCCTTTGCTTATGTGGTTCCTCCTCTCCATATTTACTCACATGCCCATTCAACAATTATATACAGAATTTCTGACCCTAGTTTTATGTTAGGCACTCTTCAAGGTGCTGGGAACGATACAACTGTGAATAAGACAGCTCTCACGCAGCTTATATTCAAATCGGGAGAGAAATAAAGACAGTAACAGAAGGTATCTGCAATGGTGTGAAGTGCCCTGAAGAGTGTCAGGCATGGTGACTGGACAGTGTGACAGGGTGGGGATGGAGATGGTGAGGAATGGCAGGCCATAGAAACCAGCCCTGGCCATTGGATGCTGAACTGAACAGGAACAGGCTGGAGGGATCCCCAGGAATGAAGAGTGAGACTCAGAAAGGAGGCAGGTCCCAGGGAGACCTCAGCCAGACCAGCCATAGGACAGGCTATCACCCTTCCTCTCTGCATGGGCTAGTTGAGCCTCCTTACAACATGGCTGCACAAGGCTCTAGCACATGTGTTCTAGTGAACCAGATGGGAACTCCATCTCCTTTTACAACCGAGCCTTGGAAGTCACAGGGTGTCACTTCTGACACATTCTGTTGGTCAAGTTCCTAAGGTTGGCCCAAATTCAAGGGCACTCTACTTGTTAATGACTGACAAGAATATGTAGATATGCTTGAAAACTACCACATCATGCCAGTCTTACTCTTTTGCCACTGATGGGTCAACAGGTCAACACTGATTTTGCAACCTATTTCTGGCCAATGAGACATAAAGGCAAATCTCTTGCAGGTTTTCAAGCATAATTTTTCCTGCATAATAAGAGAGGATACTCCTTTTATGCCATCTTCTGTCCTTCTCTCTTGGGATACATTCATGCTGCTTGCAGCTGCGGCAGCCAAATTGCAAGCTGCCAGAATAAGAGGGACAGAGTGGGAAATTGGGAAGAGCGTGAGTCCTTGATGACATGGTTGAGCTATTGCCTCTACCCTGGAATCATTTAAGACCAGACATCTTGATATGTGAGAATAATAAACCCCTGCTGTATAAGCGCCTTTGCCTGCTGTTCCTTGCAGTTGACCATATGCTAATGCTGACTGGTGTAGGAATTCAAAGCACAGGCTTTGGAACAAGACCTTTCTTCCTTTTTTTTTTTTTGCGATGTAGTCTCGCTCTGTCACCCAGGCTGCAGTGGCATGATCTCGGCTCACTGCAAGCTCCACCTGCTGGGTTCACGCCATTCTCCTGCCTCAGCCTCCTGAGTAGCTGGGACTACAGGCGCCTGCCACCATGCCCGGCTAATTTTTTTTTGTATTTTTAGTAGAAACGGGGTTGCACTGTGTTAGCCGGGATGGTCTCTCCTGACCTCGTGATCTGCCTGGCTTGGCCTCCTAATGTGCTGAGGATTACAGGCGTGAGCCACTGCGCCCGGCCGGAACAAGACCTTTCTGTGTTTAAATTCTAGTCCTACATTTAGTCACTATGTGATCTTGGGCAAATCACTTCACTCTCTGAGTCTCACTGAATAATGAATGGAATAACTCTGCCCTACCTCACTGGGATGTTGGGAGGATTAATGAGATCTTGTACAGAACACATGGCATAGCATTTGGCATGTAGTACATGCTCAGCAAATTCCAGCTAATGATATGCAGTGATTTAAACCCACGTGGCAGGAGCTATCGCTTTCATGATCTCAACAATTTCGTGAGATGTGGGTGTTTATATCCTTGTTTTGGAGACAGGGAAAGCGAGGGTTAGGAAGGTGAAGTGACTTGCTGGAAGTCACATGGCTGGTGGGGATGGAGCCAGGGTTTCCGGGTCTGGCTGGGTCCACCTGTTCCTTCTCCACTTTGGTTTTGTTCTGACTCTTACTTTGTTTCCTGCAAAGCTGTCTCTGAGATCCATGTTTTGTGCCATGTACCAAGCTTCCCACAGTCACCCTCCTTACCCATGCACTGCTGTCAACTCTATTCTGCTGTGTCCTGCCCAAAGCTGCCTTCTTCTTCCCAGCCCCGTGGGCACCACCTTGTTTCTCTCACTGGGCTCACTGCAGTGCCTCTCAAGAGCTGGTTTGGAGGTTCTAGCAGGGGAGCACAGCTACTTTTATACCCTTAACAGAAGAATGGCCCTCCTCTCTCAGGGAAGGTCGCCCCCTTTGACTGAGCATACAGCTTTGGGAGGGACACATGTGGAGGGTTGAGGGAGGAAGGGGACACCCGCCTAGCCAGCCAGATCAGCTGAATCGGCTTTGGCAATCCAGTGGGGTGATAGATGTCACAACCAGATCGCCCTCCATCGTGCCGTGTCTCTTGAATGGTCTCCTTGTGTCCACTTGTGGTCCTCTGGGTCCAGAGGATTCTTCCTAGAACCTAAATCAGCTCGCATCTCTCCAGTGGCTTCTCAATACTCTTGGAGTAAAGAGCAAACTCCCTGTAGAGGCCTCCCAGGCCTGCAGCCTCTGAGCCCCGCTGTGTCCTGACCCTCCCACCACAGCCTACCATGCCCCACACACTGGGCGTCTCCCTCTTCCCTCTGCCAGCTGCCACTCCCTCTTCTGGGCTCCCTAGAGGGCCACTTCTGCCCACTCCTCCCATCTCTGATCCCTTGTAACTTTATGCCACACAACTTTTCAGTTTCACCCTTCACTTGTTTCTTGGGTTTTTTTAAACAGCATCCCCCTCACCTGGGCTGTGAGCTGTGTGTGGACGGGCAAGCAGTGTAGCTTAGTGGATAGAAGGATGGGCTCTGGACTCAGACCAAATTCACGTCCCTGTTTACTACTCACTGTGGGCCCTCCCTACAGGCAAGGGACGTAGCTGTTTTCTGCCTTAGTTTCTTTGTACATAAAAAGAGGGTGATGAGAGAACCCATCTCATTGGGTTGCTGTGGAAATTAAATGAAGCAAATCCACATGATATTATTAGAGAGGAGCCTGGGTCATAAGCAGCACTTAACAAATACAAGTGATTTCTTATTCTGCTGGCTGCACCGCCCCTCCCACCTGGCACTGAGTGCCCCTACCCACGCAGTATGTGCTTAATTAGAACTTGCTGGATGAGGAATGAATGGATGATCTGCCTTGCTCCTTCCCATAGCCCTGTGCAGTGGGAAGGTGGGATTATTTCCCTCATTTTGCTGAGAAGGATTCAGCCCAGTGTGGGCTAGCAGCCTGCCTGTGGGCACAGAGCAAGTCGGGGGTGGAAGCATCAGTTGAGCTCAAGCCTCTTGACTCCCAGCCAGGGTTCTTTCCATCATTCAGGGGTGGATGCAGTCCTAGGGAAACCCCGCCGAGGCCTCAGCCATCCTCAGCCAGTCAGCAGCAGAGCACCAGGACTTGGCTGTCTCCTTCTTCAGGAGATGATAAGCCAAAATACCAGAGGCCTTTGGCTTATCAAGATGTCCCTTTCCCCCTTTCTCCCTGGCTCGGGGTCAGCTGTGATTTGGAGGCGTCTAGCCCTGCCTGCAGATGTCCTTGGGGACCCAGCAGCCAGAAGCAGGTTGGTGCAGGCCCTGATCAGGAGGCATGCCATACCGAGACCCAGATTCCACAGCATTCCCTGAACAGCCGCAATGTGTCTGGCCACCATGTGGCTCCTGCTCCCCCAGGTCCCTTCCCTCCTGCATAGGGCAAGCCTCTGAAACACAAATCTAACCTCATCCCTCCTCTGCCCACACCTCCTCTGAGGTAGTGGGCTCTCCAGCACCTCAGCTCCCTGGGCCTGGCATTCAAGGCACTTCTCCTTATTCATGGCCCTGTCGTTCTGAAACTGTTATGTACTTGACCACTTGTCTGCGCTCTTACTGCCCATCTTCCTCCCCCACACCTTAAGCTCTGTGCCTTGTTCACTGCTGTATCCACAATCCCCCTTGCAGTGTCAGGATCTTTTGGTGCTGTATGGATACTCACTTAATAAATGAATAAATGAATAAACAAACCTTCTGTCCCCTGGACTACTGGACTACTGTCCAGTAACATCCCTTAAAGTGTCCCTGATGACTTGGTTTGGCTGTGTCCCCACCCAATTCTCAGCTTGAATTTTAGTTCCCATAATTCCCATGTGTCATGGGGGCACCTGGAGGGAGGTAATTGAATTATGGAGGCAGTTACCTCCAGGCTGTTCTCATGTGATCTGATGGTTTTATAAGGGGCTTTTCTCCCTTTTGCTCAGCACTTCTCCTTCCTGAGGCCATGTGAAGAAGGACATGTTTGCTTCCTTTTCTGTTGTGATTGTAAGTTTCCTGAGGCCTCCTCAGTCATGCTGAACTGTCAGTCAATTAAACTTCTTTCCTTTATAAATTACCCAGTCTCGGCTGGGCCTGGATATAATTACCTTGGCTTGGCTCAGTCCTGTAATCCCAGCACTTTGGGAGACTGAGGCAGGTGATCACAAGGTCAAGAGATTGAGACCATCCTGGCCAACATGCTGAAACCCCGTCTCTACTAAAAATTAAAAAAAAAATTAGCTGGGCGTGGTGGCACGCACCTGTAGTCCCAGCTACTCGGGAGGCTGAGGCAAGAGAATCGTTTGAACGTGGGAGGCCGGGGTTGCAGTGAGCTGAGATCGTGCCATTACACTCCAGCCTGGGCAACAAGAGCGAAACTCGATCTCAAAAAAAAAAATAATAAAATAAGTAAATAAATAAATAAATAAATTACCCAGTCTCGAGTATGTCTTTATTAGCAGCATGAGAACAGACTAATACACCTGCCATGCCCCTGTCCTGGGTTTTACACTTCAGCAATACCAATCCACACCTTGGCCAAGGCTGGTCTCTGCCTGGCATGACCTCCCTTTTTTGACCTACTCATTGGTGAAGTCTGAGCTCTTTCTTGACCTTCCCTTGCTCCGCCTGCCCCACTGGTCCATCTTCCTGGTTCCTCCCTGCATCCTCCATGGCCTCCATCCCACACATGGCCTCCGTCACAGGGCCATGGGAACCATTACTAACCTGGATCATGAGCTCTTGAAAAACCCAGATCTGATTCATCTCCTGAACCCCAGAACTGGGCCAGGTCCTTGGACAGTGTGGACACTTGGTAAACACTTGCAGACTCAGTCTTTCAGATGAACGAGTTTAATCCTCGCACACCCTGAGGGGCAGGGGTTCTTTGTGTTGTAAAGTGTGCCTGCCACCGGTGAGCAGCAAGGACGCTGTTGGGCCCAGGTGTAGAGTCTGGTGGTCCAGGACTGAGGCCATGGAGTCGGGCAGACCTGGGTTTGAATCTTGGCCCTGCCATGTGCCAACTATGACCTCAGGACAGTTTTCCTACTGTTCTGTGCCTCAGTTTGCCCACTTGTCAAATGAGGACACTAATAGGGTCTTTCTCATAGGGTTGTTAAGAGAGTTAAATGGGACAATTCTTGTAAAACACTTGGCAAAAAGTCTGGCACATAGTAAGTGCTCAATACATGTCTGCTGCTATTATTGTAGTTATCTTTTTTTTTTTTTTTTTTTTTTTTTTTTTTGAGACAGGGTCTTTCTTTGTCACCCAGGCTGGAGTGCAGTGGTGTGAAGTCAGCTCACTGCAGTCTCAACCTTCTAAGGTCAGCTTCCCAAGTAGCTGGGACTATAGGTGCACACCACCACACCCGGCCAATTTTTATTTTTATTTCTTATTTTTTTGTAGAGAGAGGGCCTCCCTATGTTGCCCAGGATGGCCTTGAACTCCTGGGCTTAAGCAATCCTCCCACCTCAGCCTCCCAAAATGCTGGGATTACAGGCAGGAGCCACCGCACTCAGTCTGTTGTTTTTATCTTGACTGCATGTCTTGTGCTGTCTTCTACTAACCAACTCAGTTACAGCAACACGGAGTAAACTTTGCCAGAAAATAGAAAACAACAGCCCGAAGTCAGATTGTTTTTGACCTTTGGCTGCTAAGGCGAAGGACAGTGACATTTGAGATAAGCTCTGCCAATGGCTTTGATTGGAAGGCTGGGCAGTTGGCTCTCTAATGATGCTAGTGATCTCTGACTCTGGGGAGGAGTTGGGAGGAATAACATGGTTGCCTCTGCAGAGCTTTCCACAGCCCAGCCCAAACTGTCCCAGCAGCCACACCCCTAGGACCTGCCCCATCTGGGCAGCCAGGAGGTAAGGACACCCCACTGTGAAAATAGCACAAATGGAAATGACCTCTTACCAATACCAAAGCCTTACCAGGCAAAACAGAGGCTTTTTGTGGGAACGGAAAACTGCATTTGGCAATCACCTGCTCTGTGGCTGGAGTTTTGATGTCCATTAGCTCTCCGATTTTCCCAACCAATGAGCCAAAGGACCTGTGGGAAAGACTGTAGGTGCTTGCCAAATAGCACATAGACAAAAATTCCTGCAAAACTCCAGAAATTCCTGCAAGTATTTGGGAGCCATGTGACTCTTTCTGGCCAGTAGCTTGTGTGTGGAAGTAACATCGGTCACTTTTTGGCCAAGGCAACTGAAAGCCAGTGTGCCCCCTCCATTGCTTTTCTTCTGCCTGCCCTGGTGACCTTCCAGAACACGTGCCTTAGATGACAGAGTTGCAAGATGGAGCAGCACTGTGAGTGGGGATATGAGGGGCAAGTCACCTCTTTTAGGTTAGGATGTAATTTTGTTACCCCAGCAAAGCCTAGAGTAGTCCTGACTCCTGCAGCATTCTTTTTCTTGTTTCCAGATGAGGAAATAGAATCTTCTGAATTTGAAGCTGTTACCCCCCAAAAACAGGCTTGATTTGTTCACCTAGTGAGTAACAAACAACTCTCCATGAGAATACAGGTTTTGATCAATAGGAGTTTTATTACTTGTCACAAGTAAAAAAAAAAGCACTGGGAGTATTCTTCAAAGCAGTGTCTCCCCGAGGGAAAATTGTCAAAGTAAAAAAAAGCACTGGGAATATTCTCCAAAGCAGTGTCTCCCTGAGAGAAAATGAGAGGAGGGTTTTATGGGGTGATGGAGAGGGGAGAGGGTGCATCATCGCATGCAGAGGACGGGTCCCAGTGGCACAGATGCAGTGAGTCCTCATGCCAGCACATAGGTAGCATGTTACGGCAATGAAGCTATAGCTCCTCCATGGGTAAGACTTCAGCACGGTGGTGAGGAAAGTTCACTTGGGTTCATCTCTGAGTTGCCGAGGTCTGTCAGGCGCTGCTTCCAACTGACTAGATGACAGCATTCCACATGGGGCTTGGGGAAAAACAGGCTGCAAGGCAGAAGGCTGTAAAACAGGCTGATTGCTCGAGTTGATTAAATTCCTATAGTCCCTGGAGACCCTCCCCGTCTGCTTACAAAGTGATTTGCTCTAGATCATCCAACTAGCAAATGGCAGAGCTGGGAATGTGTTATTGGCAGTTGGACTTACATCTTTTTAAGACTCATTCCAAATCAGAATTTTTTTTACGTTTCTCTAGCTCAGGATCTGAAGTTGGGGTGAGTCAAGAAAGCACAGCCAGGGGTCTTGGGCAGTGGCCAGGTGAGACAGGGGAATCTGGGCAGATCCATCAGAGGACATAGGTGGGTGAGGGCCCCAGCCTCAGCCCAGGAAGTGGGGTTCAGACCTTGTACAGAAGACACACCTGACAGCAATAACTCAAGCATACCCTGAGAATGACCCTATGGTCTAAGAATGTCAGTTCAGAGTTTTGAGCTAGGGAATTCGGGAGTAGCCAACTCAGAGATTCACTCTTTATCTACAAAGAACATCTGAACCCCTGGCCCATTCCTTGGAATGAAGGCCATACAGGAGATGGAGGCCTTTGTTTTGGGTTAAATAGAAGTTGCTAGGTAGAGTGTGCTAAGTGAAGATTGCTGTATAAACTACATGTTTTTTACAAATGGCAGTGGTTCTCCTGTCCAGCCCACTGCCCTTAGACTATCCCATGTGTAAGCCCTCAAAAAACCCTGTGTATTATTCACTGGCTTCGGGTCTCTTCTTCAGCCTCTTGGACATGGTGCCATCCCTACTGGAGTCAACAGGGGTCCAGCACAACTGACCTGAAGCTCCAGCTCCAGATCAGAAGGAGGTTAAGGGAGGGTCTGTGGTTATCTAAACATAAGCAGAATAAGCCCCCATATGGCTAAGGGATAAGATCGGCTCTTGCCAATGTCATTTCCAGGGACAAGATGTCTCCCAAGTTCAAAGGAAAAATTTCAGATCTTAGAAATTCAATTAAGAGTTTGAGGAGGGAGAAGAGGGGGCTGCCTAAGGAAAGTCTGCTATAATAAGAATGTATCTGGTTTCCATTCCCATTTCTGGCACTGAGCTCCAAAAATGTTTGGAATTTTCTGAGTTCTAAAAGGGTCTTTGTTATGCTAAGGAGGTAGGCCCCTAGATAGTTTTAGGATGGGGATTGGTTACCAGAAAGATTAACCATGAGATTAGAGGGTTGGTATTTTGGGCCAGCCCAAGCTCTGGGGAAGGAAGGGGGTTGGAGGCTGCGTTCAATCACACAGCCAGTGACTTAACCAGTCATGCCCACAAAATCAAACCCCAATAAAAACTCTGGACACCAAGGCTTGGTGGAGCTTCCTAATTGGTGAACACACTGATGTGCCAGGAAAGCAGTGTTTCTGGATTCCACAAGGAGAGGTCACAGAAGCTCTGCACCCCTCTCTTCAAACCTTGCCTTGTGCCTCTTCACTCAGTTGGTCCTTCTCTGTATCCTTTGTAATAAAACTGTGATTGTAATCTAGTATTTTCAATGAGTTCTATGAGAACTACTAAATCCGAGGGAGTCTGGGACCCGTGAATTTAGAGCTGGCTCTTTAGAAGTGTGAGTGGTACCTGAAACGTTTGGCTGGCATCTGCAGTGGAGGCAGTCATGTGATGTCCCGAGCTCTTAAACCTGTGAGTCTGATGGTAACTTCAAGACATTTAGTAGGTGTCAGAGTATTGGAGATGAATGAAGGGACAATTATTTGTCCATCTGGAAGAAGAGTTTAAACAGATAGTTTGTTTGCAAGGAGCCCAGAAAAAGAGATTAAGTGTCAGTGTTCTCACCCAGAGATGCCAGCATCTACTGCTTTTGGTGGGTCTTCCTTGCATTGGTAATGGGAAAGACTTAGGTTCAGCTAAAAGATCCCAGGCACTGGGGACATGCAACCACTGTCTGTGCATTTCTTATAAGATCATCCTTATCATCACCATTATATTATCATCACTATCACCCATCACCACCATCATCCCATCATCCTTGCTATTATCATCACCATCACCATCACCATTATCAACATCACCATCATCATCACTGTTTTAGTCCATTTATGCTGCTATAAGAAAATGCCATAGCCTGGGTAATTTATAAACAATAGAAATTTATTTCTGACAGTACCAAAGGTTGGGAAATCCAAGATCAAAGCACCAGCAGGTCTGGTGTCTGGTGAGAGCCCAGTCTCCACTTCTAAGATGGCGCCTTGTTGCTCTATCCTCCAGAGCGAAGGAATGCCATGTCCTCACATGGTGGAAGGAATGGAAAGGGCAAAAAGAGGTGAACTCCCCTCATGAAGCCCTTTTACAAGGGCACCTAACTGCCATTCATGAGAGCAAAGCCCTCACGACTCAATCACCTCCCAAAGGCTACACCTCCCAATACTGTTGCATTAGAGATTAAGTTTCAACATGAATTTTGGCAAGGACAAAAACATTTAAAACATAGCAATCACTATCATCATCATCATCCTCATCCTCAGCATCATCATCATCACCATAATCAGTACCACCATCATTATCCTTATCATCACCATCACCATCATCACCATTACCAACATTATCACCATCACCATCATCATCCTTACCATCATCATCCTCACCATCATCATCCTCACCATCATCACCATAATTATAATCACCACAGTAATAATTATCATCATTCACCATCGCTATCATCATCCTCACCATCACCATTGTCATCCTCACCATCACCACCATCACCATCATCATCATCATTCTCACCATCACCATCACTGTCACCACCATCACCATCACCATGATCATCATCCTTACCATCACCATCACTAACATTGATCTAGTGCTTACCATGTGCCAGATCCTCTCTTGAATTTCTGCCACACATTCCATAGCAGTCCAGTGAGGTGGAAACCATAGCTATCCTCATTTTACCTGGGGAACTTGAGGGCAGGAAAAGTGAAATGACTTCTCTGGTAAATGCCAGTGAAAGTCCACTAGGATCTAAAGCCCAGGCTACCTCATTGCAGAGCCTGCGCTCACAGATACTATCTTGTAAGCTGCCATGCAGAAGTCTTCCTGCTTCCTCCCCTTATCCAATTCCAGGCTGCTATAGATGGACTATGTCTCGCCCAGAATTCATATGTTGAAGCCTTAACTCTCAGTGTGGCTGTATTTGGAGATATTAAGGAAGTAATAAAGGCTAAATGAGGTGGTCACAAGAATGGGTTTCTGATCCTGTAGGATTAGTTTCCTTCCAAGAAGCAATACCAGAGCGCTGTTTCTCTGCACATGCTCAAAGAGGTCAGATGTGCACACAGTGAGATGGTGGCCACCTATAAGCCAGGAAGAGAGGTCTTACCAGAAAGTGACCGTATGGACACCTTGATCTCAGACTTCCAGCCTCCTGAACTGTGAGAAAACACATTTCTGTTGTTCAAGCCACCAGTCTGTTGTATTTTGTTATAGCAGCCTGGAGCAGACAAATACACAGGTAGACTCAGTAAAGGGAAGGAGATGGGGAGGGAAGTCTCACTTCCCTGAGCACCTGCTTGTGGCTTGCCAAGTGCTGACCGATCCATCAGGCACATAGGCACAGAGCTAAGGGCCACGATACTTTTATGGACCCTCAAAATATTTTAATTTCTTCTAAAAAATCATAAGATAATTTTTTCACGTTAAAAAAAAAATTTCTAGGGCCAACAGACTTCTGCTATGGTAAGAAGGACCCATGAAGGCACAAGTACCTAGAGCTCATGAAAGTCATGATGAAGTCCTATGTATCCCTGGCTTGGACTGATTTTGATCAGGTATCACCACACCATGGCCAGGGAGCCAAATCCAGCCTACTGCCTGTTTTTGTAAATACATATTGCCTATGGTTGGTTTTGTGCAACAAAGATAGAGTTGAGAAGTTGTGGCAGAAATTGTATGGCTTACGAAGCCGAAAAGATCTACTCTCTGCTCCTTGGGAGAAAAAATATCGTCAACCCCTGCTTTATATTCATTAATTGAGTTAATCCATGCCCTGTGAGGCTAGGCATTTTATCCTTATTTTTCTAGACGAAAAAACTGAGGCCGAGCAAGTCGAAATGGCTTGTCGCAGATCCCATAGATTTGCAGCAACGAAATGTTGACTTCACAAAAAGCTCATGTTCTTTCTGTCACAACCAGGCCCAGCCAGGGTATTTGTTTGGTCCCCTTCCTTCCTGAAACTGCCCTCTTTTCTTGCTAAATACACAGAATGAAACTGCAACAATTAAGGAAAACGTGTTACCACAATTAATTTCAGTGCAAGCAATATTTTCTGTGCCAAGCCTGTTCCTGTACTTAGTGCCATCAATATAAAGACAAAGGGCCAGGCGTGGTGGCTCACACCTATAATCCCAGCACTTTGGGAGGCCAAGGTGGGTGAATTGCTTGAGGCCAGGGGTTCAAGACCAGCCTGGGTAAAATAGAGAGACCCCCATCTCTACAAAAAATAAAAAATAAATTAGCTGGGCAAGGCGGCGTGTGCCTGTATTCCCAGCTACTCGAGAGGCTGAACCAGGAGTATCATTTGAGCCCAGGAGTTGGAGGCTGCCGTGAGCTATGATGGTGCCACTGAACTCCAGCTCAGGTAATAGAGACCCTGTCTCTAAAATAATAATAATAACATAATAATGATAAAGACAAAGAAGACATATCTTCTGGGGAATAGTATAGGACAGTGACTACAACATGAGTGTTAGTGCTGGCTAGAGTGGCCCTGATAAGCCGTTTCCCCTCTCTGAGCCTTGTGGCTTGCTTTTCTAATAATGCAGCCAGCGTGGTTGTTAAGAGTGGGGCTCTGGAGGCAATAGACTAAAGCTGGAATCCTGTGGTGTAAACTCACCTGTTGTCTCCTCTATAAAACTGAGATGCTAATAGCTCCTATCTCATACAGTTGTTGTGAGAAGCAGAAGAACTAAACATGAAAATGCCTTTGAATGCTGTCACAGAGGGGGAGCTTAATGATGATTAGCCATTGTTGTTATTATTATTATTACGCGCTAGGACCACTTAGATTTATTTTTATTTATTATTTATTTTTAATTTTTAAAATTTATTTATTTATTTATTTTTGAGATGGAGTCTCACTCTGTCACCCAGGCTGGAGTGCAGTGGCATTATCTCGGCTCAACCTCCACCTCCCGGGCTCAAGTGATTCTCATGCCTCAGCCTCCTGCACAGCTGGGACTACAGGAATATGCCACCATGCCTGGCCAATTTTTTGTATTTTGGTAGAGACCGGGTTTCACCATGTTGCCCAGGCTGGTCTCGAACTCCTGAGTTCAGGTGATCCACCCGCCTCAGCCTCTCAAAGTGCTGGGATTATACAGGGGTGAACCAGCATGCCTGGCCAGAACGCTTAGATTTCTGGGCTTCGTGAGAAGGCCTCACAGTGGGGTCTGCTAGAGACTTGGGACCTAGTCCCGGGTGTTTCTGACTAGCCACGTGACTCTAGATAAGTCCCTTCCTCTCTCCAGGCCTCAGTTTCTCCACACAATCACCAGTTAATCTCCACCCGGCATTAATTTTCCCTCTTCTTCTAGACTGTCCTCTCTGCTCTCGCCCTCCTAGGCCTTGTTTCCCTGGAGGACTGCCCCGGGTGGGGCCTGCCCTGTGGCCCCATTGCCTACTTGGTGACTGCCACTGTGGCCTGCCCTCCAGTGGCTCAGATGGGGACATCCTGGGTTAGGTCAGAATCCAGGTGCAGAGCCCGCCAGAGCCGGGAAAGGCAAAGAGGGAAGGAAATGAGAAGAACAGATTGTAGCTGACTTAGCACCAAAGTATACCTGTTTGCCCAGAGGACAAAACAGAACCCTCCAGAATCTGGAGATTAACCCTCCACAACGGGGACCCCAGAAGATCAAATGCGTCATAGCTCGTGGGTGTGCAGTGCTGTGTACAGTTCACATAGCTCACTCATAGCCAGGTCTCTTCCCTGTTCATGACACTTGCTTCCTCAAACCCTCCTTCTCAGTGGAGACCCTCCTTCAGGGTCTCCAAGGAGGTCTCCGAGGACCCTCCTTCTCAGTGGGAACCACATCTGAACCTGCTCCTGGTTTCCAGCTGCAGGGGCTGCCTCCTGCCCACCCACCTTTCTGGCTCTGTGCATCCAGCCACACTGGCCTCTTCTCTGTTTTCCTGCAAAGCCAAGTTTGCTTGCACCACTTTGGCTGATAATTCTGCTTTTTAAAGGCTGGCCCCTTTCACTCTACTTCTCCGGGAGGTCACCCCAGTGAAAGCAGCACTCCCCAGACACTCTTGACCTTGTTCTGTATTCTGCAGGGCACCTTGACTCTGGGAGTCTCCTATTTGTGTATTTATTGTCTGCCCCCCTGCCCCAGTGTAAGCTCCATGAGGCCAGGGCCCTTGTCCCTCCATCACCACTGCCTTCGCAGGGGCAGGGCAGCGCCTGGAGCATAGGAGGTGCCAGTCATAGCTGCTGAGGGACTGAATGAGTGCATTCACACACATCTTCAAACTGCATCTTTCCATCTTTTTTTTTTTTTTTTCTGGCAGAGTCTTGCTCTGTCACCCAGGCTGCAGTGAAGTGGCACGATCTCGGCTCACTGCAACCTCCGTCTCGCAGGTTCTAAGCGATTCTGCTGCCTCAGCCTCCTGAGTAGCTGGGATTACAGGCGCCTGACACCACGCCTGGCTAATTTTGTATTTTTAGCAGAGACGAGGTTTCACCATGTTGGCCAGGCTGGTCTCAAACTCCTGATCTCAGATGATCCACCCGCCTCGGCCTCCCGAAGTGCTGGGATTATAGGTGTGAGCCACCACACCTGGCCCCATCTTTCCTTTTTTATGAGAGGAGGCTGAGGCCTGGGAGGAGCCATAATGTAGAGAGAATTTCTGAGGGAGCTGGCAGTGTGACTTGGACCCCAGACCACGTTGCAGAGAGGCTGAGGGAGGAGCGCAAGCTTCGGAAACAGGCACCTGGGTGTGGGAGCTTCCTCCGCTTTACTAGCTGTGTGACCTTGGGCAAGTGACTCACCCTCTCTGAGCCTCTTCTGTATCTGTGAAATCATCACTCAGGTGGGTGGTGTTCTGGGAAGATAGAATCTGATGAGTGAGTGTGAGTGCGCTGTGTGCTGATGAGGGTGTGGGGATGGTGGTGGTGTTCTTGTTTTTCCCAGACTCTATGATGCTTTGCCAGAGGTGGCCAAAAGGCTGTCAGGGGCTGCAGACCCTGCACCTTCCTAAAAAGCAACTCACAGCTCCACCTGGGATCTTCTGGGAGTTTGCAACCATGGCCTCTAAGAAAGCATAAAGGACTCTGGGCTATATATATATTTTTAATTGTATAATAGTAAAATACATGCAGCATTGATTATCTTAGCTATTTTCAAGTGTACAGTTCAGTGGCATTAAGTACATTCACACTGTGTGCCACCATCACCACCATCTATCGCCAGAGCTCTTTTCACCCTCCCCTGCTGAAACTCTGCACCCATGAAACGCTAACTCCCCATCCTCCTCCCCTCACAGCCCCTGGCAGCTGCCATTCTACTTCCTGTCTTTATGAGTTTCACTATTCCAGGTATATCACGTAGGTGGAATTAGAGTATTTGTTCTTTTGCGATGGGCTTATTTCACTCAGCATAATGTCCTCAAGGTCCATCCATGTAGCATGCATCAGAATTTCCTTCCTTTTTAAGACTGAGTACTATTCCATTGTGTATATGCCCCATATTGTTTATCCACTCATCTGTCGTTGGACATTCAGGTTGCTTCCACCTTTTGGCTATTGTGAGTAATGCTGCTATAAACACGGCTGTAGCTGGGAGCAGTGGCTCACACCTGTAATTCCAGTACTTTGGGAGGCCAAGGCAGGTGGCTCACCTGAGGTCAGGAGTTCAATATCAGCCTGGCCACCATGGCGAAACCCTGTCTCTACTAAAAATACAAAAATTAGCCAGCCGTGGTGGCGGGCGCCTGTAATGCCAGCTACTCAGGAGGCCGAGGCAGGAGAATCGCTTGAACCCGAGAGGCAGAGGTTGCAGTGAGCTGAGATCACGCCATTGCACTCCAATCTTGGTGACAAGACTGAAACTCCATCTCAAAACGTGTATAAATAAATAAATAAACATGGCTGTACAAATAGCCCTTTGAGGCCCTGCTTTCAATTCTTTTGAATAAATACCCAGAAGGGAAATTGCTGGATCATATGGTAATTCTATTTTTAATTTTTTGAGGAACAGCCATACTGTTTTACACAGAGGCTGCACAATTTTCCATTCCCATCGATGGTACACAAGGGTTCCAATTTCTCCATATCCATGCCAACATTTCTTATTTTCTATTTTTTTGATAGTAGCCATCTTAATGGGTGTGAGGTGATATCTCATTGTGGTTTTGATTTGCGTTTCCTTAGTGATTAGGGATGTTGACTTTCTTTGCATGTGCTTGTTGGACATATGAATATCTTCTTTGGAGAAATGTGTATTCAAGTCCTTTGCCCATTTTTTAATTGGGTTGTTTTGCTGTCGTTGAATCATAGTTGTTTATATATTTTGGTTATTAACTCCTCATCAGATATGTGATAGGCAAATACTCTCTCTAATTCCATAGGTTGCCTTTTCACTTGGTTGATTCTGTCCTTAGATGCACAGAACTTTTATATTTTGCTGTGGTCCAAGTTATCTATTTTTACTTTTGTTGCTTGTGCTTTTGATGTCATAGCCAAGAAAACATTGCCAAATCCAATGTCATAAAGCTTTTCCCCTGTGTGTTCTTCTAAGAGTTTTATAGTTCTAGACTATTTTAAAAGCCAAAGAAAAAGAAACATGGTAAAATGTCAAGCGATCTCAGTGCAGCTTGGAGCCCTCTGACTCAGATGCCCAAAGCCAAGAGTCTTGTGACTGGAGATCATTTGTGTCCAGTTTCCCGGCAGAGCAATGCAAGGCAGGCAGTGGGCATGCCGTCCGAGAGCTCCTTAAGTGCCTTGGTTTTCCCATCAGTAAGACGTTCCTGCTTCATGGATTTGTGAGGATTAAATGAGAAGGAATGTAAAGCAACTGACCCTTCCTGAGTGTCTGAAGCCCTGATCGCTCTGAGCTGTGCAGGGCCTCAGCTGGGTCGCCAAGAGAACTCTTGAAGATTTTTAGACCAGCCCAGTCTCTGCAAGCAATTCTTCCACGGAAGTCTGGCCCAATAATGAAAAAAGGAATTCTCAACTTTACAAACAGCACTAGAAAAGATTAAAGAGGATCTGATTCCTAACCCACTGGACACTTGTCCATTTTCCCTCCATCCTCAGCCAGCCCAAAGGGCTCCAGCCCCTTCCTCACCCAGCCGCACCCAATGCCCTCCACCCAGCAGGTACACGCTCTCCTGCCTCCTCCACTCTCTGAACACAGATGAACTCCTTTCTGATGTGCTCTTTTCTTTGCCCTTTTTCCTAGGCCTGGATCATATAAAGCTCTCGTGAGACCTGGAGAAGCAGCAATGGCAAAACCAGCATTGTCTATGGGAGGGGCTAGGATGTAAAAACAATCCAGGTTAATAAGTGTAAAAACATCCAGTCAGTCAACATGGGTTAACTTTGAAAACATTGTGCTGAGAAAAGGAACCAGTCACAAAAGCCCACATATGAGATGAAAGTCCAGAACAGGCAAATCTAGAGAGACAAAGTAGATTGTTGGCTACCTGGGGCAGGGGTGACAGCTAAGGGGTACAGGGTTTCTTTTTGGGGTGATGAAAATATTCTAAAACTGATTGTGATCATGGATACACAGCTCTGTGAATTCACTGAAAATGATTAAACTGTACACTTTAAATGGGCGAATTGGATGATGATACGGTTTGGCTGTGTCCCCACCCAAATCTCTTCTTGAATTGTAGCTCCCATAATTCCCATGTGGTGTGGGAGGGACCTGGTGGGAGATAATTGAATCATGGTGGCGGCTTCCCCCATACTGTTCTCATGGTAGTGAATAAGTCTCATGAGCTCTGATGATTTTATAAGGGAAACCCTTTTCACTTGATTCTCATTCTCTCTTGTCTGCCGCCATGTAAGACCTGCCTTTCACCTTCCACCATGATTGTGAGGTCTCCCCAGCCATGAGGAACTGTGAGTCCACTAAACCTCTTTTTATTTATAAATTACCCAGTCTCAGATATGTCTTTATCAACAGCGTGAAAATGGACTAATACAGATGGTATTTGAATTATATCTCAATAAAGCTGTTAAGAAAAATCTCTTCACCTACCAAAGATAAAACTGTGCTCCTAGGGACAAAGTTGCTGATCCAGGGTCACAACCAGCAAGTGACAAAGCTGCCACCCAAGACTAGTCGGCATGGCCTCAAGGGCTGCTTTATTCCTCTCTCCTGTGCTACCTCCCTCAAGGACAAGTGAGGAGGCAGAAGTTTGGCATTGTCCCTCTAAAATCTAAGGGGTATTAGCAAATATTTTAACAGTAGTATCTATGAGTGATCAGATTTGCTTTCTTCTTTGTTCTTTCTGTATTGTTTGAGTATTTTAATATCGTTTTTTATTAGAAAATGTTTTAAAAAGAATACATTATTCAAGAACTGTAGGTGACAGTAAGTTTCATGGGGGTCGGTAGTAAACAATTACTCCTGATTGCTCTGCTGAGGTGGCATGCTTTTTAATGTGGCAGGCATGAAACCACCTTTGCAAAATGACGTCAATGAGAAAATTGTGGCAGTGGGGGAGATCTGATTTAGCCAACCTGACTTGTGCCTTTAGCCTTCGAGCTGCCTTTGATTATTCCTGGGCTAGCTTTGGAAGACATTTAGTTTATAGTTTAAATGATAACAGCCCGGCCGGGCATGGTGGCTCACGCCTGTAATCCCAACAGTTTGGGAGGCTGAGGCAGGTGGATCACTTGAGGTCAGGAGTTTGAGACCAGCCTGACCAACATGGTGAAACCCCATCTTTATTAAAAATACAAAAATTAGCCGGGCGTGGCGGCGCACACCTATAATCCAAGCTACTTGGGAGGCTGAGGCAGGAGAATCGCTTGAACCCGGGAGGCAGAGGTTGCAGTGAGCCGAGATCGTGTCATTGCACTCCAGCCTGGGCAACAAGAAAGAAACTCTGTCTCAAAAAAAAAAAAAATGATGACAGCCCTTCCCCAAAACTCAACCACCTTCCTAAAGCTAATGAGAGGCTACCAGACTAGGAGAGGAGACGGAATTCTGCTAAGGTGTAGACATAAACAACTGCCAGCCATTATTCCAGAGGTCATAAGATACGCTACTCCCCCAGGCACTCCTGCAAATAACATCACTATGATAGAACCTAAGGTTGGCCTTTTGGAAATATCTTTTCAGGTTTTTTGCATGTCTGACACCTAGGGTTCCACAGGATCCACCCACCGATGGTGACTCCAACTGGACTCACCCACTCTCCTGTGGCCCCACCCAGAAGCGATTCAGGGCAGGAGGATCATTTCCCACACCGGTTGGATTATACCGCCCAACAAATCAGCAGCCACCCCACCCCTTTCCCCAGACTACCTGTGAAAAACCCTAGCCCCTGAATTCCAGGGAGACTGATTTGAGTAATAAGAAAACTCTGGTCTCCCGTTCAGCCAGCTCTGTGTGAATTAAACTCTCTCCATTGCACTTCCCCTGCCTTGATAAATCAGCTCTGTCTGGGGTGTGGGAAAGAGAACCCATTGGGTGGTTACAGGCGCTGTACTTAGTGCATGATGCATGACGTGGAGGCAATGATTGTCCTCATTTTACAGATGAGAGCATTGAGGTTTCAAGAAATGAAGTGGCCTGTCCAAGGAGGCACAGCAGGAGATAGCAGGGCCAGGATCTACCCCCAGGTCAGTGGGTTCCGGAGTCTGTTTCTGGAATTTAGGTTATTTCCCATGCCCATGGAGGCATACTGTCTAGATCAGTAGACACAAGGGTCTGGCCACTGGCCACACTCATTGGCCATGATGGTTAGTTCCAGACTCTGCCCTTGTGGAAGAGACTAAGTAGAGAGGAGATGGCACAGGGAGCCATGCTGTATAGGAGCAGTTGGGGGTCTGAGGAGGAGGGACCAGGGGCATAACACTGTCACTGCTTTGTCTTGGCCAGGCTGTGCTGGGGAGTGGGGGACTTTGTGAGGCCAAGGAGGAGAGACAGAGGGAGCTGCGACCAATGGTCAAACTTGGATGGGAGATAGGTTAGGATCTAACTGTCCAGAGATGGGATTGGGCAGCCTTGTGAAGTAGTGAGCTCCCCATCACTGGAGGCGTGCAAGCTGAGGTTTGATTTCAGCTTGGCAGAGATGGTGAGGGGTGGTTTTATGCATTGCATGGAGGTTGGATTCGATGATTGTATTAGTCAGCTTGTGCTGGGTAGAAGTCCCACCCTACCCCCACTCCACCAAATCTCAGTAGCTTACCACAAACAGTTATTTCTCATACATTGGTCTTCAGGTCAGCTGTGGCTCAGCTGGGCTTGAGTTCTTTTCAGAAAGAAGTAGGGGATGTGGCAACAAGCTAGCACCAAAGCATGAATGTAGCCAGGGAGAGATTCCCCATGGTGGGCAAGCAGCAGATAGATCTTAGGATAATAATGAATTTGGGAATAATATTCAAGTTGAAGCTATTGCCTCTGCTGCATGATGTGCAATAACTACCCTCCACCACCCTAAAACTTGAGTAAAATTCTGTTACGTACAGAAGCTTGTGTTCCTGGCAATGGGGGAGTGAAATGATCAGTCCAGCGTTCAGCATGGGAGAGAGTGGGAAGCAAAGGTAGCGTGGAGAGTGAGAACTCAGCAAAGGAGGAGATGAGCGCCAAGGCTAACTGAGGGAGAGGGAGATGTCTAGAATGGGGGTGTGAGTTATTTTCAAAGAATACGCTTAGCCCAGCAGGCTGGAGGGGACTCAAGGCCTCCAGGTGGCTGCCATCTGACTTACATTTGGGGTAGTTTTGTGCTCTATGGAGAGTCCTTTGCAGCTTGGGCTAGCCATCAACTAGCGCTGAGACAGAAGTGTCCTCACAGTGTTGGGGAGAACAGCCCAGGGATGGACAGACCCTCAGAACAGACCCCAAAGCCAGAATGGAGTCATTGCAGAGTCTGAAATCAGCCCTGGGATCTTTGTGGAGTCCCTCCACTGCAGGCTGGCTGTTCCAGGCACAGTGTCAAGGCAACTGCAGTGTTGAGAGAACTTTCTAGAACCCTTCGGCCAAGCAAGTCTCCTGAGGCAAACGTACAGGAGGCAGGACAACCCCAGGCAGCTCTCTTCCGGGGTAAGTCAGAATACAGTGTGACTGAGTCGGGAAGAAGGATGCACACAGTCCAGGGAGGCTGGAGGGGAGAAGCCGGCGAGCACCCCAGGAGCCTCCACACAGGCTACCTGTGAGCAGGGCCTGGGAGGATGGAGCAGAGTTTATCCGATAGCAGCAGGGAGGAAGGGCTTCTTAGGCGGAAGGAGGAACGTGAGGTGGAATGTAAAGGAGCATGACACACAGCCTCACTAGTTAACAGGAGCTTTTTATCTCTTTTCCCATGTATTTCTCATTCCTGTTAAAAATGGAAAATGTATTCAGATGTATGCTAATTACGCACCCCACACCCAGAATAGAAAAAGTCGTAGGCAGAGGCTGCAAAATTGTCACTCCTGCGGTAGCTTCTCGCGGTGAGAGATCACAGAGGCTGTGGCTTCCGAGGAAGGTCCTCAGACACCAGTACTCTAAGCCACCCTTGGGGCAGCCACACTCAGTGGAAAAGTCACAGACTGTGCAGCCTCACGGACCAGGGTTCAAGGCCGGATGCTGGCACTTTTAGGCTGCGTGACCTTGGACAGGTCATTTTGCCTCTCTCAATTTGCATTCCCAAAATCTAAAATAAGGATGCAGGATAAGGAGACAGGCCCATCCTCCTGTCACTGTGTCTCCTCCAGGGCCAAGTGCTTGGACTGTCTCCCCGAGAGTATGTCAACTGGAGGCCCAAGGCCACCTCTTCCTTGATCTAGAGGCTGCCTGGATGCCTGACCCAAAGCACAAGAGCACCTTGATCCCTCTTTTACTCTGTTGTTAAAGAGACCTTTAAGCAAGTGAGAGCAACCAAGCAGGCAAACACACCCATCTTCCCTCCTAGAACTCAGGCCAGCTTCCTGGTAACTTCTCACCAGGGCCAGCAGCACCAGCTCCATCAACGGGACCTGGATTCCTGTGTCCCTGGCTTCAGGGTGAGGCCCAGAATGGAACTGTCTCCCGTTCACCCCACACAGAGCAGGTAAAGCAGTCTCCTCTTTGGATCTGGAGGGCTCTGGAATGTGCAGAGCCTGGGCTGGAATTCTGGTTCAGCTGTGACACCTCGGGCAAGTCCACTCACCTCTCTGAGCCTCAGTTTCCTCACAGTGAAAATGAGGATGACAGCATCCACCTCACAGAATTACGATGAGGGTGACATTAAATGAGATAATGTATGCAAAGTGGCAGATGTATAGTGAGTGCTCATAAATGGCAGCTATTTTTACCTCCAAGAATGCACCTTCAGACTGTTCTAGGTTTTTCGGAAGCTCTCATCCACTGAGAACCCTGTCCACGCTCTGAACCCTAGCTCATAGTTTGCTATCTTGCTTGCCTCTCCCTGCACGCCTGTTTTGTTTGCTTAACCTCTTTGAGCAGATGAGGAAACTGAGGCTTAAAGAGGTGAAGTGTCAGAGCTGGGATTCTAGCCCACCCTTCTGATGCCAGACTTTGGGCTCTCTCCCCACTCTACCACTCTAGTGGGCAGCTCACATTTGAGGCCAGGGTCCCGGAGGCCCTTCTGGGCTCAAGGAAGGATGTCAGCTCTGGGAGAGGGGGCCTGGGGTCCAGCAGTGCCCAGCTTCCAGAGCACTTGGCACAGTGGTGCCCAGATTGTAGGAATGCTCACCCAGGGAGGCAATGAGGGGTACATGGTCTGAGAGTTTAACTACAATAATAAAATCAACTAAAAGTCAGCTTGCTTTTCAAATTATAACCATGTGCCTGCAAGTCTAAACAATGTTCGTGATACAATACCCCTCCTTGAAAAAAAATTGTTGGTCTATGTCTAAACAATTGCTGTGGTTGTTATTGAGAATTTGTGCCTGTGAGTAAGGCATGAGATCTAATGTATTATGAGAGTAATGTACATCAGCTTCCAATTAGCACGTTTTTATGACTTACCCTTTAAAAATATTATTCTTCATGGAAATTAATTCTTTTATTTTTTGAGACAGAGTCTCACTCTGTTGCCCAGGCTGGAGTGCAGTGGCACGATCTTGGCTCACTGCAACCTCCACCTCCCAGGTTCAAGCAGTTCTCCTGCCTCAGTCTCCTAAGTGGCTGGGATTACAGACCATACCACCACACATGGCTAGTTTTTATGTTTTTAGTAGAGATGGGTTTTCACCATGTTGTCCAGGATGGTCTTGAACTCCTGGCCTCAAGTGATCCACCCACCTCAGCCTCCCAAAATGCTGAGATTACAGATGTGAGCCACCGTGCCCAGCCTCCACATGGAAATTAATTCTGAGCGTTCCTTGTCACACAGTCAACTTTGACAAACTCAAACTCAGCTGTACATTCTTCTTTTGGGTATAAATTTGTAAAGATGTAGAGTTGTTCGAGTTCACTTTGGATGAAGTTTATGTCTCTACCCCTGTGATACTCTATATTCCTGTGTTTGAACAACAGATTTGAAATAAATAAGAGCACAGTAATTGTAAAGATGAAGAAACTGACCTTGAGTTTCTTTAACTGTCATTCTGCATAATCACTTGAGGCTCTTATTTGTGTTTAAAATTTAAAACAGCAGAGCAAAGTACACACTGTGGGATGTCATATTTTTGTTTGATAGTGTAACTTCCGTTTACACATGAAAAATATGTTTCACTATTCATTATTATTTTATTTCAGAATATTATAATTTAATATTCCCCTGGTATAGAGAAGGGGATCTAAAAAATTATCCACTCTGGATCAGATATGGTAGGTATTCCCTGCCAAGGAACAACCAGACTGAGGCCAGGTCCCTGGGGAGCTGGAGCAGCCTCTGCCTCCCTGCTCAGATCGGACTGACTATCCAGTGGTCTAGGGGACTGAGGCCGTGTGCTGCAGTCTCATGAAGGAGGCAGCGGCTGCTATGACATGGAACCACAGGCTTTGGAATCAGAAAGACCAGGTCTGAATTCCAAATGGCTGTGTGGCTTTGAGTAAATTACTTCACTTCTGTGAGCCGCTGTGTCATCATCTGTAAAATGTGAGATGCCAACAGTAACTATCTCCTGGTTTGATGGGAGGGCTTAATGAGATAATGTTGCCAAATTCTGCCTGGCCCACAGTTGGTGTGCAAGGACTGGTGGCCACTGGTATTTTTTTTGTTTGTTTTTTTGAGATGGAGTTCTGCTCTTGTTGCTCAGGCTGGAGTGCAATGGCATGATCTCAGCTCACTGCAACCTCTGCCTCCTGGGTTCAAGCAATTCTCTTGCCTCAGTCTCCTGAGTAGCTGAGACTACAGGCGCCCGCCACCATGACCGGCTAATTTTTTGTATCTTTAGTAGAGACAAGGTTTCACTGTGTTGGCTAGGCCGGTCTCAAGCTCCTGACCTCAGGTGATCCACCCACCTCAGCCTCCCAAAGTGTTGGGATTACAGGTGTGAGCCATCACACCCGGCCCAGCCATTGTTAATGATGTAATTTCTGTTCATCAGGGGCTGGCAAGGAAGGAAAAGGTAGGAAGTGAAAGTGCCTTTGCAAAAATGATGACAGTGGCAGAAATTTGACCTAACCGACTGTATCTTGCTTCTAACCCCCAAGCTGTCCTTGCTCATTCCTGGACATATACTGAGCTGACTATGGGAGGAATTTAGTTTGTAGTTTAACTTTGAAAAAAACAATAACAGCCCCTTCCCAAAACTAACCCCCTCCTTCCTTGGGGATTGGACTTCTTTTGTAAAACTAACATTAGCCAGAAGATCAGAAGTTACAGCTCAAGAGTCATGCAGCCAGAGGCCACAAGATTCCTAACCTCCTCAATTGCTTCTGTAGATAACATCATTATTGTAATACCTGAGATTGGTGTTCGAGGTATTGTTAAGGCCCTGAATTCTGATGGACCAGCTGGCACCACCTAGACTGGTCAACTGGCTCATCTGGTCTTGGGCCCCCACCAAGGGACTGACTCAGCACAAGAAGAAAAGCTCCAACTCCCTGTGATTTCATCCCCGACCCAACCAATCCGCGTCCCCATTCCCTAGCCCCCTGCCCACCAAACCATCCTTAAAAAATCCTAGCCTTTGCAATTTCAGGGAGGCGGATTTGAGTAATAATAAAACTCCTGTCCTTCCACTTAGCTGGCTCTGCATTTATTAAACTCTTTTTTGTTGCAAAAACCTGCTTTTCTCCAGTGCATTGGCTTTTCTGGGCAGCAGGTGAAATGAACATATCAGGCTGCTGGTCCATTACAGAGGCAGAACAGGGTGTGGGTGTGGGCATTTCTAGTGTGACCCCTGGCAGCTGGGATGACCAGAAGAACAGAGGTTCTGTTTATGGGCTCAGGTCCACGATTTGGAGGGTATGATTTCTCAAGTGAAGCTGGTGATGGAGAGTTTTCAGTGAAATCTTTCATTTTAAAATGTTGGTTCAAATGCTTCTAAAACACTGTGAGGGTCAAACGAAACAAATGTGTGGGTTGAATGTGATCCATGGGCCACTGGTTAGCAACCACAGTCTAAGAAAAGATGGGTCCTGAAATACAATGAGAAGAAAGTCTGTTGCTCTGAGAAACATCAATTAATCTCTCTTTTCTTTTATCTTTGACTCTCTAGCTCTGCTTTTCCTCTTCCCCCGTTTTGACTCTCCTCTACTCTCTATTTCATCTGTAAATATCTCAGTAGTTATCTCTGAAAGATTAGCACTCTTTATAACATAACCATAATACCATTATCATACCTAAAAAATTAGCAATATTTCATCAAATACTCAGTAAGTATTCGATATTTTCCTTGTTGTCTTATATATATGATCTATGATATGATATGATACGTCATATATATATCAACTTGTATGTTCTAATTCAGTGTTTTCAAACCTTTTTTCATCATGGCACCCCTAAGGAGCTTTTGTAGACATATTTTACCAGTCATAGCCTTCCCTCTCCTAATGAAATTTTAATAGCACAGATATACGCTATATTTCTTTAGGTTCTGCAGCCCTTTGGAGAGCCACAAACCATTATAATAGCTAAGATTTTTCCATCATCCAAGAAGCAATTTTTGCTCCACTGGTGACAATGGCCCCCCACCACCTTGAAAAATGTATGCTCTAGTGAGATCCATATGAGATCCACACATAACAATTGGTTGATGTGCTCTCTTAGACCTCTTTTCAGGTTTCCCCTCTATCTCTCTCAAGTTTTAAAAGCAATACAAAAAAATGTGCACATCTGTCTTTTGGAATATCCCCTGAATTTTAGCTGAATGTTGCTGACTGCATCCCCCTGGTGTTGGTTACCACGTTCCTCTGTCCTCTGCATTTTCTGTACATTGCTAGCTGGATCCAGATGCATTAATCAATATGGGGATTGATTTTTTTCTTCCTCTTTCTTTTGCAAGACTGTATCTTTTACTGATGGGAACAGACATTGATGATCTGGTCTAGCTTCCTTAATTTATTAGGGCTTTCTCTCCCTTTAAAGTAAATGGCTTCTAAGAGTTAATTCCTCAAGAGGCTGAAAACTTTTGCATTTCTTAAGGGTTTATTCATTGCACTCCCTGCAAAGAATGTTTTAAAGCTCCTTCATCTAAAACACAATGGCTATAATTAAAAGTTTAGCTCTGGTGGCTCTTGGAGGGCAGCAAAGTCATACATGTGAAATTCACGTATTTCACAGCTCACTACAAACATAAGGAGAAAGGATGACCCAACTCGAAAAGTTCTTTCTGCCTTCTTTCCCTCCTTTGTTCCAATAATGAGTATTTACTAAGATCCTATTGTGAGTGCTGGATTCTCTCTTAGTATATGGGACCCCGGGACTGAGCCAGCCAGAGTGGGGAGCTGGTGTTCCCAGAATAAACCTGTTCCTGACATGCAAGACATATCTCCAAGGTATTTTTAGGTGTTGGTGAGGGTGCGGGGGGATAGCTCCTTTAAAAGCCAAATCCTCACTTGGAAGAGAAATAGGTTCACCAGAGGCTGCAGATCTGGTTAGAGTGTAATCTTTAACACAAAGCCAGATTGCACAGGGCAGGGTTTAGCCAAAGACTTGCTTCCAATGCTAATGAAGCAGAATTCCATCTTGAAGGGTGGAGGGAGGAAGTGTGGGGATCCAAGAGGGGCTAAGAATGAGATCTGTCTTTCTCCCTGGCTGGTGTCTCTGGTGCCTAGTGGATGCTTGGAACCAACTCTTTGAATAAATGAAGACCAAGTGAGATAATATATAGAAAAATGCTTTTGCAATCTAAAATGCTGTTATAGAATACTGGCTTGTTTTTATTAAGGTGAATACTTACCTTGACCTTGGAGAGTGAAGGTGGGGTAAAGAATGTAGGGAGGAAAAGGAGTTATTATGTACCAGGTACTTTAGAAACATGGGTCTTATTTCCTTTAGCCCTTATGGGAAGTAGGAATTCTTTTTTTTTTTTTTTTTCTTGAGACAGAATTCTTACTCTGTCACCCAGGCTGGAGGGCAGTAGTGTGATCTCGGCTCATTACAACCTCCACCTCCCGGGTTCAAGTGATTCTTCTGTCTCAGCCTCCTGAGTAGCTGGGATTACAGATGTGTGCCACCATGCCAGGCTAATTTCTTTATTTTTAGTAGAGACGGGGTTTCAACCATGTTGCCCAGGCTGGTCTCGAACTCTTGACCTCAAGTGATCTGCCTGTCTTGGCCTCCCAAAGTGCTGGAATTATAGGCATGAGCCACTGCACCTGGCCAAGAATTCTTATTCTATGATATGTCAGATTCTACATATTTATTTTGTCAATCAAAAGCAAATCAAAAAGCTCAAATCTAGTTGAAAGAGTTTATTCAAGAACAGTGTGGGGAAAGGTGAGGATGGTCTATATTATGTAGGCAAAAATGGAGGCGCTAAACTGTATTACAAGGTTTTCCATACAAAGGCTAACATACAGATACAAGATTTGTTTGGCGACCATTGATTACACTCTAAGGGGGTTGCTTAATATTCACTTGTAAAAAGGTAACAATCACCAGGATCTCTGATTCCAAAGTCATTTATTCTAGGTTTGAATAAAGAATAAGGGATCTGGTTAATATTTAACATTTCAACACAAAGGTCAGGAAGCAAGTGTCCAAAAACAGCCGGTGTTATGTGACTCAGTTTACAAGGCTTAACTTTTCCCCTGGCCACAATACATTTGGAAGCCCTGAGATTTGATTTGATTTTTATTTTATTTTATTGTATTTTTTTTTGAGATGGAGTATTGCTCTGTCACCGAGGCTGGAGTGCAGTGGCACGATCTCGGCTTACTGCAAGCTCTGTGTCCTAGGTTCACGCCATTCTCCTGCCTCAGCCTCTCCAAGTAGCTGGGACTACAGGCACCCGCCACCACGCCCGGCTAATTTTTTGTATTTTTAGTAGAGATGGGGTTTCACTGTGGTCTCGATCTCCTGACCTCGTGATCCGCCCGCCTCGGCCTCCCAAAGTGCTGGGATTGCAAGCGTGAGCCACCGTGCCCAGCCAAAAATTTTATTTTCTTTTTACAGTTTTGATTTTGCACATTCCAGAAACACACTAGACTGGGTGCTAGACAATTCTGACAGTCTCTCCATTTCTTTATTAATTCGTTCAATAAATATGCATTGCATGCTTGCTCCAAGCCACTTTACAAATGAAGACACTGGAGTCAGTGCCTTGGCAAGTCACTTCATCCCTCTGTACCTCAGCTTCTTTAAGTGTGAAATGAGAACAATACAGCTGGCTTTACTGGTCTCCTGGGAGGCTTTCCTGAGAACCTGGCGCATGGTAGGGACTGGCCAAAACAGCAGGGCAGGGCAGCCCAACCTGAGTTTTCCTTTACTGTGTAGACCTGGGGTTCTTATTTGCATGATACTCTAATTGGGGACCTCAGTTTAAAAAATTACCCATTTTGTTTTTCTTCCTTTCCTCCCCTCTTACCTCCCCTGTCTAGGCAATGCATGTTTATGTAATTATGCCCTTACTTAAGTCAAGATAGCTCCAACCCGGACAGACAAGGGAACAAGTCACACCACAGACCCCACACCCTGCACCACTCCCACATGTCTCCCATACCAAGTTTCCCTTTAAAAACCCTATGGTAGCCAGGCATGGTGGCTCACGCCTGTAATCCCAGCACTTTGAGAGGCTGAGGCAGGTGGATCACCTGAGGTCAGGAGTTTGAGACCAGCCTGACCAACATGGAGAAACCCCGTCTCTACTAAAAATACAAAATTAGCCGGGCGTGGTGGCGCATGCCTGTAATCCCAGCTACTTGGGAGGCTGAGGCAGGAGAATCGTTTGAACCCAGGAGGCGGAGGTTGAGGTGAGCCAAGATCACGCCATTGCACTCCAGCCTGGGCAAGGAGTGAAACTTCATCTCAAAAAAAAAAAAAAAACCCTATGGTAAATTTTAAAATTTAAAATAGTACTTTAGACTGGGCGCGGTGGCTCACTCCTGTAATCCCAGCACTTCAGGAGGCTGAGGCGGGTGGATCACCTGAGGTCAGGAGTTCGAGACCAGTCTGGCCAACATGGCGAAACCCTGTCTCTACTAAAAATACAAAAATTAGCCGGGCATGGTGGCGGGTGCCTATAATCCCAGCTACTCAGGAGGCTGAGGCAGGAGAATCGCTTGAACCCAAGAGATGGAGGTTGCAGTGAACCAAGATAATGCTGCTGCACTCCAGCCTGGGCAACAGAGCGAGACCCCATCTCAAAAATTAAAATAAAATAAAATAAAATAAAATAAAATAAAATAAAATAAAATAGTACTTTAGAACGCTAGTTCACCATCTTCTTGGTTTGCTGGCCCTCTGATTAAAACTGCTTTCCGCCCCACAAATCCTCGCTTTTCCTGTTCTGGTCCCATTACAATACCATTTCCTTGGGGGCATTTTGGAAACGAGGGGCAGTGTTTTTCGTTGTTGTTGTTGTTATTTTGAGACCGAGTCTTTCTCTGTCACCCAGGCTGGAGTGCAGCTGCCCGATCTCAGCTCACTGCAATCGCCACCTCCCGAGTTCAAGCAATTCTCCTGCCTCAGCCTCCTGAGTAGCTGGGGTTACAGGCACACGCCACCACGCCCGGCTAATTGGGGCAGCGTTTTCGTTGCCAAGAGGATTGTGAATGCTTTCAGCATTTGGGGGAGAGGGACAAGGATGCTTGGGTTCCGCCATGGGCACAACAGTACTGCACAATGAGGCATGAGGAAGAATTGTCCAAATCCTCCCAGACATTATAATGTCCCACCAGGCTAAACAGTACAAACATAGATCAATAATACTCCAATATTTAATAGGCAAAAGCTTTCACAAAATGATATGTAAAATCTCAGTAACTCAGGAGAAGTTTCTTACAGAAGGAGAGGCTTGAATGGAAGGAAAATACTGTCTTGAGATGATTGAACAATTTCTCTTTTGTGTGCGTCTAATTCATCGTAGACCATAGTGTTTCCTATCTCGTGTTTAGTTGAAAAGGGTTTCCAGCTAACAGTATAGTTACTACAAAAACAGTCATTGAATATTGGTAGCAAAGGAGATTTGATATTTCTTTTTTCTTTTTTTTTTTATTTGAGACAGAGTTCCGTTCTTGTTGCCTAGGCTGGAGTGCAATGGCACAGTCTTGGCTCACTGCAACCTCCGCCTCCTGGGTTCAAGTGATTCTCCTGCCTCAGCCTCCTGAGTAGCTGGGATTACAGGTATGCGCCACCATGCCTGCCTAATTTTTGTATTTTTAGTAGAGATGGGTTCTACCATGTTGGCCAAGCTAGTCTCGAACTCCCAACCTCAGGAGATCCGCCCACCTCAGCCTCCCAAAGTGCTGGGTTTACAGGCATAAGCCACCATGTCCAGCCTGATATTTCTTACAACAGACTTAGAGCTGAATTGTTCTAAGTTAGTGGAAATACATGAAATGCAGAAATCTCATTAAGGTTCATGGAATAAAGATTTCAAAAATATTTAAAATGATTGCTATTCAATACAATTTTAATTTTCTTATAGCATAGTGATAAGAAATCTATGTTCTAGAAATTGCACATTAAAATGATTTATTTTGGGATTGCCTGAAATTTTTCCTTTTCCTTTTTATTTTTTTATTTTTTAATTTATTTTTGAGACAGAGTTTCACTCTTGTAGTACAGGCTGGAGTGCAATGGCACAATCTCGGCTCACTGCAACCTCCACCTCCTGGATTCAAGTGATTCTCCCGCCTCAGCCTCCTGAGTAGCTGGGATTACAGGCTCCTGCCGCCACGCCTAGCTAATTTTTGTATTTTTAGTAGAGACGGGGGTTTCACCAAGTTGGCCAGGCTGGTCTGGAACTCCTGACCTCAGGTGATCTGCCCACCTCAGCCTCCCAAAGTGCTGGGATTACAGGCATGAGCCACCGTGGCCGGTTTATCTTTTTAATCTGATAAGGTTTTCAGTTGACCACAAAGGTTTTCTTACGTCTTTAGTGTTATTCCTTTTCCTTTTCCAAACCATACCTTACAAAACTTTAGACAAATTAAATGTAGCAGCGTTTAATTGAGCAAAGAACAAGTGGTGAATCGGGCAGCCCCCTAGCCAGAATAGTTCAGAGGTACTCCAGCACTGCTGCGTGGTAGGAAAAAATTTATAGACAGAAAAAGGAAAATGACATACGGAAAACAGAAGTGAGGTACAGAAACAGCCGGATTGATGAGAGCTGGGCGTTTGCCTTATTTGAACACGGTTTGAACAGTTGGCTGCCTATGAGTGGTTAAGTCTGGCTTCTGGGATTGGCTGAGACTTGGCTACTTCTTACAAGAGTAGGTTATGTCTGTTCACACATCCAGTTAGGCTACAGTTCACTACTTATAGAGAAACCTTTAGGCAGAGCTTAAAATATGTAAGGAGGCAGCTTCGGGCTAAACTTAAAATTTAACACTCCTCTCTAAGGATACAGATTCCCAGGTCTTGAGACTGAGTGAATGCCTCGGCGTATACTAAAATTTCAAGACAGAAGTTATGTTTGCTGGGATACTTCGTCACTACCCTGTCCTTTGTCACAACACGGGGAATTATTTTGACACTACGCTTATAAATAAGGCCCACCTACTTTGCGAGAATGTCACGCGTCCTGATTTTCTCCGTTAGTCTTGGCATGTTCACCAAACTCCAATGAAGGTTATCACCCTTTCCTTATCACATGTCAGTCAGCCTAGTCTATTTATACCCACCCTAACACTGGCTTTTAATCTGAGGTCTACCCTGCCTCTGCCCCTTCATGTCTCTGTACTTCTTACACCTTCTATAAGGCATTTCAGCACCTTGTCCTCTTACATCCAAATGTATACACTATAAATAGGAACCAGCATCTGACTACTTCACTGTGTCTTCTATATAGTGATGCTTGAGCACTTACGCATTGAAATATGCATTATTGCATTACGGATTTTTAAGTATTTTCTTTTGTACGTGTATGTATATTTTTGTGTGTGTTATTATATATATCTCCACATCATGGGTGTAGGTAGGTTATGTTATCTAAAATTTCAGGATAGTAAAGGGAACACTTTTTTGTTTTTTGAGATGGAGTTTTGCTCTGTCACCCAGGTGGAGTGCAGTGGCGTGATCTCAGCTCACTGCAACCTCCGCCTCGTGGGTTCAAGAGATTCTCCTGCCTCAGCTTCCTGCGTAGCTGGGATTACAGGCGCCTGCCACCAGCTATGTTTTGTATTTTTAGCAGAGACGTGGTTTCACCATGTTGGCCAGGCTGGTCTCGAACTCCTGACCTCAGGTGATCTGCCCGCCTCGGCCTCCCAAAGTGCTGGGATTACAGGTACGAGCCACTGTGCCCGGCCAAAGGGAATATTTTTTAAAAACTTAAATTTAACTTCCCCCTCAGAAATATATTTTTTTAACAGCACAGATTGGATACACTAGAAATGCATTTTTTCTGATTTGCTTTCAAATATTGATTACAAAAATATTGATCACAAAATAATGATTACAAAAAAAAATGATGATATATATTGCTTGCATTGTGTGTAAGGAGCTGAGAGCCATGTATCCAGAGGATCCTGATGACATTGGGGCTCTGTGACTGAAGTGTTGTCCTGCAGCCACAGCATCCGTCCTAAAGACCTGTCTCTTCACTGGCCCCTCTGCCTTGGTCTCTCCTGCTCCCCTGCAGCACTCCAGGGTGACAGGCTCACCGCGTTCCTCCCTGCTTACCAGCAGTCATTGAGGGCATTCAGTGCAGACAGCATGAGCACTTCATGTTTGCACAAGGCAGGCCCAGCCACTGCTTCCGCCTCTGAGCTCTGGGGAGGCTCCGTGGTTGGAAGGATCCAGACAGCTCCTATGTCACGCCCCTGCCTCATCACTCTGGTGCATTTTGGGGTCTTGTAATGGCTGAGGCAGGAAGGATGCCCTGCTCGGTGCTTCCCAAATGTCAGTGTGTGGAGTCCCATCATGTAGTATTTGCCATGTCCTGCCAATGCCATGAGAAGGCTGTTCAGAGCACAGATTCTAGATGGAAGTTGCCTGGGTTCAAATCCTCCCTCTGCTGCCTCCTGCATGGCCATGGGAAAATGACTCAATCATGTTGTACCTCTGCTTCTGCATCTGGGAAATGGGTGTAATAATGGCACCTACCTTATTGGGTTGCTATCCGGCTTTAATGAATTAATCTGTGAAGAATGCCCAGTCTATGGTAAGCATTATGCAATTGCTGGGTACACATTGTTTCATATTTTCTTGAGATCAGCTCACTTTTTAAAAATTTAAGTTTAGCTTTGCTCTAAGAAATAATTCCCCATAACAGCACAGATTGGATCTGCTATTTGTATATTTTTCCCATTTACTTTCCAGTAAGCACGTGACTATTAAAATGAAGACTGGCAGCCTACACATCACATGCCGACAGGGTAGATAAGTCCTGTCCCTTCCATCCCAGAAAGAAAGGCTCATGTGGGAATCCCCAGCGTCCCAGGCCCCGGGGGAGCAGGCACTGCTGAGTACTTCACCGATTTGACAATTGAGGAACCTGAGTCCCAGGTCTTGTCCAAGACACTGAGAAGGTGATTCCCCCTCCACTGCCGGCAGGCCAGGGGTGAGGGATCACCTTCATATTCATCACCGTGCTCCCAGGCACTGCTGGAGCCTCTGAGGCGAGACTGTTATTCCGTTTTTGCTGAAGTCATGCATTTTGGAGCTATTTAGCTTCTTTCACACCCACCCCTAGTGGGGGTGGCTGTGGGAATCGTGCTCTGGCAGATAATTAAAATTTCAAATGAGTGAGGAGCCAGGAGGCCTGCGTCTTCTGGAGGAGATGTGCTAATGGGCTTGAAGTGAGGGCCGCAGCTGTGGGGCCAGGGAGGGGGCCTGAGAGGACCCGGCTAGGCTGCCCCTGAGTTGCTCTTCCCCCCACGACCTCCACCACCCTCTGCTCCCCTCCCTGGGCTGCGGAGGCCTCGCCCCTGCTGGAGTACCTCCCCTCCCACCCAGCCTGCACATGGCCTTCTCCAGGGGAAATGGGACTCTGGCTCTCCTGGTCACAGCCTTTTGGTGGCTTTCCACGACCTACACCAGGGGGTCTCAAAATAAGACCCCCAGACCAGCTGCAGCAGCAGCACCTGAGAACCTGTTAGAAAAGCAAATTCTTGGCCCCACCCCAGACCTACTGACCCAGAACCTCAGAGATGGTGCCCAGATATCTGTATTTCACAAGCCCCCGGGTGGTCCTGATGCTGGCTCCACACAGGATTGTTCATTTAAGTGAGCTTACTGTGTGGGGTGGCCGGCCCAGTGCCCGATGCTGAGCAGTTCGACAGTGGTGACTATTTATTGAGCAACTACTATGTGCTAAAGACTGTTGTTGGTGTTTGGGATAAATCTATGAACAAAATGAATCAAGATCCCTGCCTCGTGGAGCTTATAGTCTAGCTGGGAAATACAGAGCACATGCAAAAATAAACCCCAAAATACAGTACCTCAGTACATGACACAGTGTGTTAGGAGATGATAAGACTATGGGAAAAAGAAGAGGAAAGGGCCACGTGGGAGGATCAGGAGTGGCAAGTGGGCAGGTGTGGCTGCGTGGTTTTGTCATTAAATAGAATGAGTGGGGACAGAGACATGTGAGTGAAGACTTGAAGGAGGGGATGCATCGGCCAGCAGACATCTGGGGAAGGGCGTCCCCAGCAGGAGCAGACATAGGGCCAGAGCAAAGGCTCTCCTAGAACACCCGCCTTGCTTGCTGGCGTAGCAGCCAGGTGGCTGGCAGACCAGGCATAGTGAGCAAGGGGAGTCTGACTTGAAGGGGAGGTCAGGATGAGAACAGGGCTGGACCTTGCAGGCCTGGTAGACCTCTACTTAGAACCGAGACTTTCGTCTGAGTGGAATGAGAGTTACTGGGAGTTTTTTGAGCAGAAAAATGACATCGATCAGACTGATATTTGAAAAGGCTTGCAGTGGGTGCAGTGTTGAGAAAAGGCTTTGGTGAGGGTGGTGGTAGGTGGGGGCCTCTCAGGCTGTAGAGTCCAAGCCAGAGAAGATGGCAGCTTGAACCAAGGTGAAGAGTCGCAGGTTACATGATATGGTTCAGCAGAGGCAATGAGGTTTCCTGGCAGAGTGGATGTAGAGTGGGAAAGGAAGGGGGGAAATGACCTGAGATTCGGTCAGACAGGACAATTAAGTTCTGGAGCTATAGTGTACAATATTGCAACTAAAATTAATAATATAAAGTCTTGTGGACTTGAAAATTGCTAGGAGAGTAGCTCTTATTCTCACAACAAAAAATAATAAGTAGGTGAGGTGATGGAAATGTTAATTAGATTGATTTAACCATTTTATGATGATACAGATATCAAAACATTTTATTGTACGCCATAAATATATACAATTTTTATTTGTCAACTCCACCTTAATTTTAAACAAGAAAAAAAAAAAGAAAAAAGAAGGAAAATATGGCCGGGCATGGTGGCTCACACCTGTAATCCCAGCACTTTGGGAGGCTGAGGCAGGTGGATCACAAGGTTAGGAGTTTGAGACCAGCCTGGCCAACATGGTGAAACCCCATGTCTACTAAAAATACAGAAATTAGCCGAGCATGGTGGCACACGCCTGTAGTCCCAGCTACTCAGGAGACTGAGGCAGGAGAATCCCTTAAACCTGGGAGGTGGAGGTTGCAGTGAGCCGAGATCGCACCACTGCACTCCAGACTGGGCAACAGAGTGAGACTCCATCTTGGAAAAAAAAAAAAAAAAAAGAAGAAGGAAAATATAAGAAAGGAAATGGGAAGTCAGAGATGATATACCAAGGTCTCATCTGAGTTGGTGGAAGAAGGGGGTCGCTAGAAATGGAGACAGGGAAGGTTGTGGGTGGAACAGTGTTTCGAGGGAAGATCTGAGTTAGGTTTAGACATCTTAAGTTTGTCTATCAGATGACCAAGGAGAGATGGTAAGTAGGAAGTTAGACTTGAAGCGGGAGTTCAGAAAAGTGCTCTGAAGACGTCAACTCGAGAGTTGTCAGACAGATGACATTTAAAGCCTCAAATCTGGCTGGGAGCTCTAGGGAAGAGAGTGTTGGCAGAGAAGAAGTCACCAAGGACTGAGCCCCGAGGCACAAGAACATTTAGAGAGAAGGAAAGAAAATCCTTAGAGCAAAAGAGGCTGAGAGGAGAGATCAGAGGGCTAGGAGGGACCAGGAGAGCAGGGTATGGAGCCAGGAAGGGCAGTGTTTTTAGGAGGTAGGGGTGATGCTCAACACAGCTGAGGGCTTTGCAAGAGGAGAACTGGGCCCCCACCTGGGATCTGTTGATGTGGAGTCATTGGTGACTTTGACAAGAACAGCTTTGGTGTGGAGTTGGGGGAAAAGCCTGACTGAACTGGGTTTAAAGTGAATGGGAGAATCGGAAGCCACAAGCATGGTCAGCAGGAACATGCCTGCCAAGGGGAACAGAGAAATTGAGAGGTATCTGGAGGTGGGGTGGGGTGGGGTGGCAGAAGTGGGATCCAAATAGCAGAATCACCAGGGGTGTTTTTGCAAACTAAATGTATGGGACTATGAACCAGCAGTGATGGTGCCAAGGGGTGGCTGGAAGAGGGTGGGGAGTAGGTGGAGGGGAGTGGGTGGAGGGCATCTTAAGTATCTGCTCCCACATCTCCATCAGCCACCCACAGTCTTGTCACACCACATGCAATCTCAGTAAAAACACTGTGTCTGTACTGCAAATGCAGCATATTCAGTAAATTCAGGGCAAGGCTGGGCCTGCATATTTTTAGCAGCTCCTCAGGTGATTCCAGTAAGTGCTGCCACTAGTCTAGAACAGTCTTTGCCTGGAGAGCTCCTAATCCTCCTTCAAACTCCAGTTCAGTTGGAAAAACTTTTCTGGGTACTTTTTTTTTTTTTTTTGAGACAGGGTTTCACCATGTTGGCCAGGCTGCTCTCAAACTCCTGACCTCAGGTGATCCGCCCCCTCCCCCCCAGCCTCCCAAAGTGCTGGCATTACAGACATGAACCACTGCACCCGGCTCTGGGTACTTTTTGAGACAGGAAAGTCAGGGGCAATTGTGCGGGAGTTGTGGATGAATGTCCCTGGGAACATGAGACACTCCTATCCTTCAGTAGCCAGGGATGTTCAGAGAATAGTGAAGAATTGTTGGGTTTAGAAATAATGTTGTCAGGCCGGGCGTGGTGGCTCACACCTGTAATCCCAGCACTTTGGGAGGCTGAGGCAGGTGAATCACAAGGTCAGGAGATCGAGACCATCTTGGCTAACATGGTGAAACCCCGTCTCTACTGAAAATACAAAAATTAGCTGGGCTTGGTGACTCATGCCTGTAATCCCAGCTACTCGGGAGGCTGAGGCAGGAGAATCACTTGACCCGGGAGGTGGAGGTTGCAGTGAGCCGAGATCACGCCACTGCACTCCAGCCTGGCGACAAAGTGAGACTCTGTCTCAAAAAAACAAAAATAATAATAATGTTGTCTTGTAGACTCTTCAGGATTATTTGATTCTATAGGAGTCGGTGCTTTTCATGGTCTTTGATTGAGTTAGTTACAACTCTGCAAGTTGTAGAAAACTGACATTGAAGCAAATGACTCTGTCCATAGTGACACGAATGAACTTTGCTGTGGAGACTCAATTGATTTCTGCCCTGTGGAAGGTCAGACCTGCATTTGCTAACAACTTCATTTCAACATTCCTGATTGCTTATTCAAGGGTCTGTTCCTTAGATTCTCCTTTGAACCTGTTATACTTATTGGTTATTGGTTCTCTCATTATTAATGAGCTAAATATGATTTTGGACATGTATTCATTTTATATTTGTGTCACAGTCATGAGCTTCCGTTTTAAAAATGATTCTCTAGCAGTTGTTTAATTTGAAAATGGTGGCTAGTGTGCTCTGTGATGAGTGGAGAAAGAGAAAAATCTTAGAGAATGCTTGGTTTGTGAGCATTGTCCAAGTCCAGGTAAAGGGAGTTTTGCTGAAAAGATCAAGGGTCCTCTTTCGGAACTCGAGGGTAGGCAGAATGGCCAGGCTCCATTTAAACTGGGAATGGGGCATGCAATTAAGTTTGGCTACGTATAACAAAAATAAATGGAAATTTCTTTCTCTCATATAAAGGGGCCGGGAGCAGTGGCTCACACCTGTAATCCCAGCACTTTGGGAGACTGAGGTGGGCAGATCACCTGAGGTCAGGAGTTTGAGACCAGCCTGGCCAACCTGGCGAAACTCCGTCTCTACTAAAAGTACAAAAATTAGCCAGGCATGGTGGTGGGCGCCTGTAGTCCCAGCTACTGGGGAGGCTGAGGCAGGAGAATAGCTTGAACCTGGGAGATGGAGGTTGCAGTGAGCTGAGATGGCACCACTGCACTCCAGCCTGGGTGACAGAGCGAGAGTCCATCTCAAAACAAATAAATAAATAAAAGAATTACTGAAGTCAGAATCTCAACATCGTAAGGGACTCGGATTCCTCCTGTTCTTCCACTCTCATCCTCAGCACACTTCCATTCTCAAAGTCACCTCAATATCTCATATAATTGCCGAAGCTTCCGTCATCATGTTTGTATTCCAGGCGTCAGGAAGGAGGAAGGAAAGAAGGACATACTTCCTCCTTTGAAGAAGAAGACTTCCAGGTAGTCCCATGTAACACTTCTACCGGCCAGAACTTGGTGGCATGGCTATACCTAACTGTCAAAGAGGCTGGGGAATGAGACTCCACTGAAACCCCAGACTGTGGTTTGAATCCAGCCAGCCTGCAGATATATTGTGATTGGCCTTGACAATTTTGAATTTTTAAAAACATTAGACACTTAAATGTTATGAGACTACATAAAAATAAGTGTAGATTTCTGGCTGCTCTGGAAAACTCAGACCTGACAACCCCACATTCCACATGGCAGTTTTTGGCTGAAACTCAGTAGTTGTCCCTTTAGGTGGGGCCTTGCTCTCCATCCTCTCCACTCCCTCAGGTTGTCTGCAGGAACCCTGTGGATGTCTAGTCCATTACCCTCACTCCAGCCCCTTTTTTAAAAAAATTCTTTCATTATTATTATTATTATTATTATTATTATTATTATTATTATTATTTTTAGACAGAGTCTCACTCTGCCTCCCAGGCTGGAGCATAGTGATGTAATCACGGCTCACAGCAGCCTGGAACTCCTGGGCTCGGTGATCCTCTTGACATAGCCCCAGGAGCGGCTGGGATTACAGGCATGCATCACCATGCCTGGCTCAGCCTTTTTAAGGGAGTCTCTGATGTGCCCAGATCACCTGCTTTCAGAAGAGCTGACCTCAGGTTGCTAACCCCTCCTGGCTCCATCAGTGCTGGCCACTGGTGAGGCGGTGAGGGGGATCACAGAGCAGCTCTCCATATTGGGCTATCTATTACAGGTTATCATTAATCTGCATTGGCACCTTCAGGACTCTAGGAAGACAGAGTCAGCCACCAGAAGCCTTGAGCCGTCCCTTCCTGAGCACCTAAGTGTGCTCTGGAGGCCACCTGCATCCACACTGCCCAGGGAGCCTGTTTAAACAGTCAACTCCTAGGGCCCATTCCAAAGCTACAGAACCAAACTTTCAGCAGGGGCCCAAGGACTTTGCATCTCAGCAGACTCCCTGGGTGATCCTGCTGTACACCAGGGCTTGGGAGTGGCTGTGTCATGTCAGCCCTGCAGTTAGGAGCACAGGCCAGGGACCTGCTCCTCTTGGCCCTCTAAAGAAGGTGGGGAAGCAGTAGAAGACCTTTCATGCAGAGGCTGCTAGGCCGTGCCGGGTTCTGGTACCATAGGCAGTTTGGAGAAAACTACCGCCAGGGTGTCTTCTGCATGCAAGACTAACCCTGGGCTGCAGGGAGGGCCTTTCTCTTAACTCTCTTTCACTTAGGTGGGGGTGGGGGAACAGCAAGCATAGAGAGAAGAGAATGAGTCACACCATGCTCCATTCCTCACTCCACCCTGGTCAAGCTGCTTTACTCTTTCATTCCGGTTTCCTTACCCTATAAAGTGGGCAGTCATTAGTGTAATGGATGTTAGCTGTTTTATGTCATCAAAACACTATTGGTGTCTATGGTATTTCCTCTCCTCTGGTATTATCACTTCCCCTTTCCTGGGAGGAGCCCTTTTCCCACACGAAGTGCCTGTGGCTTGGGTCCCTCCATGAGTCAGATGAGGACAATGAGAGCCAGGACCAGGCCTTTGGTTGAAACCACCGGGAAGAGAGGCATTCTCCCCCTTGGCTGGGAGATGTGGGGCTGCAAGCTGGGGGCCAGCTTCTCTCCACGAAGGGAAATTCTGCCTGGGAAGGAAGCCAGTGTAGGGGAAAGCAGGCTTGAGAGGAAAGAGATCAAGGAAAAGTCCAGATGACACCCAGTGAGTCCCTGGATGCAGTCAGACCCCAAAGCCAGGTCTTCCCCAGACGTAATGTGCCAGCAGATTCTTTTTCTGCTAAAGTTAATTAGAGTTGGTTTTCTGTTGCTGAAGGAGTGATAGAAGGCCTAATGCAAGCAGCAACTACGAAATCAGAAGCTTGTGTCTGATGCTAAATAGTGCATCACTGCTGTCTGTTTAGCACTCGGCGACTGTTTGGGATCCTCTTTAGCTTCTTATAATTTGAGCTGGACACTTGCTCTTTTTCCCTTATTTCACAGCTTGACCCATGGTAACAGCCTGCAGATTTGAATGCTTGTGTGGAGAAGGCATGTGGCTTTTGGCTAAGTGACTGTCTTTTTTAATTGGCTGCCTGGAGTGGGTTAAGAAATCAGTGGGGAAGAATGCTGGGATTGATTAGTGATGTCTGCCACAGGAGCGGAAAATGAGTGCAGGTGTGCAGGCTACATCCTTGCCAGCGTGAATTAGTCTTCGATGTTGTTTATTCCAAGTCAATAAAAGGGAATTATAATGACTTCCCCAATTAGTTTCCCAAAGTGGTGCCACTTCTCAACTCAATTCAGGAATTGGAGCGTAGGAAGATTTATGGCCAGAGGTAACTGAGGCACCTGTTGTGGAGGGGAATTCATGAAGGACTGGGGCTGATGGCCAGAGGTCACATTCAGCCTCTTTCAGGTGCTGGGTGCCTGTGGGCAAATCACTTTTCTAGGGGCTGCATTGATTGAGTCTGTAATAAAAGGGAATTGAACCTGAGACACCCCCCCACCCCCCGCAAACTTGTCTGCCAGAAACACTGCCCTGTGCAGTCCTCCCACTGGACTTAACACTCCGATGACATCAATTTACTTGTCATTCCCCAAACATACTTTGTCTCTGTGTCTTTGAGGATGTTTGTCTCCCTGTGAGATGTCACCTTTAGCAACCCCGCATCAGTCCTCAGGGCCCTCCTCAAATGTCCCTTCTTCTTCCACCTCAAGCAGGGGCTGTCAGAGCCTCCACTTGGGTTGAGGCTATGCCGTGGCTGAGTCTGTCACCCCCCACCAGGCTGTGAGCTACTTGAAGGCAGGTCCAGGTCTGATTTGGCTCATGCCCCAGAACTTGGCAAGTGACCTGGCACAGAGAGAACAAGGGCTCAGTCAAGGTCTGCCGAATGAATTTGTAAATGATCACTTTACAGAGACAGGAGGCGGCTTAGAAATGGAGGGAAAGGAAAGATCCTGAGGAGTTATTCCTCCCTCCCTCTCACCCTTCTTTCCTCCTGCTCTCCCTTCCTCCTTCCGTCCTTTCCTTCCTCTTTCCTTTCTTTCTCCCTCCTTCCCTCCTTCCTTGCTGCCTCCTACCCTCCCTACCTCCTTTCTGTCTTCCTTTTCTCCATTCCTTCTTCCCTCCCTCCTTCCTTCCTGCCTTTCTTCTTTCTTCCTTTCTCCTTTCCTTCTTCCCTCCCTCTTTCTTTCCTCCCTCCCTTCCTCCCTATTTTCCTTCCCCCTCCCTCCCTCTCTTTCTTCTTCCCCCCCCCTTTCTTTCTTCCTCCCTCCCTACTTCCTTCCCTCCTCCCTCCCTTCTTCCTTCCTTCTTCCCTCCTCCTTTTCTCCTCCCCTCCCACTTCCCTCCCTATCTGTCCCTTCCTTCTTCCCTCCCTCTCTCCTTCATTCCTCCCTTCCTTTCTTCCTCCCTTCCTTTCTCTCTTCTTCCCTACTCTCCTTCCCTCTCCCTCCCTCCCTTCCTTTCTCCCCCACTTCCTCCTTCCTTCTTCCCTCCCTCTCCTCCCATATATCCTCTGCTGTAGAATTTCCAAGCAGAAAGAGCCTTTGAGATTGCTGTCATTGCCTTTGGAGATGAAACCCCTGCCTTATGGAATTGGCATGGGCTGTCTGGGCTAGAGGGGTGGGAGGCGGCCTGTTCTCCTGATCTGCCTTCACCTCAGAAGGCTGTGCCACTGCTGCTGCTTCTCCAAAGAGTCAATCAGAAGCACTGTTTACATGCTAAAGCCTGTTTTTCTCTGAACTTCCTGCAAATTGGACGGAATGTGCTAAATACATAATGAATCTGCTAAACTCTTTAATGCACTTGCAGTCCTTATTGATTTCCTCGTTGATTACATATAATTTGCTGAACTGATTTGGCTGTGTGACTTGAAAGGCATTTGGGAAAAATCTCTGTAATTTGTCACTCAGCTCGCCCTGGACTTTAAAATGAATACAGAATGATACATTAGAGAAAGTTTGAGGGTTGTGATCCAGATTATCTTCAACGGATGACACCACATTCAAAGTAACAAAAAATTGTACTGAGTTCCAATTATATGCCATGCTGTGTGGGAGCTACTGGGGTTTCGCTGATGACTAGGAGTGCATTTCCAACCTTGGTGTGCTCACAGTCCGGTGGGGTGGAGGGTGGTGGATAGACAAGCCTGCCACTGCCTGCAAGTCAGAGATTGGGAGCACAGAGGGGGAGCCATTAAGTTCATTTGTGAAGGTCACAGAAATCTTCGGAGGGAATTTGAACTTTGAGCTGGCAGGCCAGATGTGATAGATATCTGTTGATCTTGCCTGACCAGCTTCCCTTTCTCCCTTCTTTGATAATAGCACCCAGGTTGGCCGGGTGCGGTGGCTCAGGCCCATAATTCCAACACTTTGGGTCGCCTGAGGCGGGTGGATCGCCTGAGCTCAGGAGTTTGAGACCACCCAGGGCAACATGGTGAAACCCCGTCACTACTAAAAATACAAAATAGGCTGGGCACGGTGGTGGGTGCCTGTAGTCCCAGCTGCTCGGGAGGCTGAGGCAGGAGAATGGCGGGAACCCTGGAGGTGAAGCTTGCAGTGAGCCGAGATCGTGTCACTCCACTCCAGCTTAGGCTAGAGTGAGGCTCTGTCTCAAGAAAAAAAAAAAATAGCACCCAGGTTTTCATTGACAACTCCCCTCCCATCCCCCATCCCACAAGGTCGTGATGGAACCAGCTGTTCCCCCCACCCCCACATCACAGGCAAGATGTGGGTCCTTCAGACCTTACACCTGAAAATCTCAATTTGCCATGGCATCTTACAAGGGCAGAAGGCAGTTGCAGCCTTGACATCCCCAAACTGCCCTGGAATTTCTACTGCTGAGATTCAGGCCCTACCTGGGTTCTTTCCTTCTGGAATCTCAGCCAAGAATCCTTTTTAGGGTCTATGAGCAGCTCAGTAGCCAGAGTGGGTTTCTCTTGCTCACAGTCTTACGTGGTACAGTAGTAGGTGGGAAGCACCTTTCTCTCCATCCCACTGAGGAAGAATCCATCTTTCCTCCCTGTCAAGACCACGACCCATGGCCATCCCTCTGTCAGAGCCAAATGCCATGACCTCCATATTACAGTTTCCTCTCTGAGCTCTCCATAGACCTCCAAACTTGTACACTGATATAGTTTGGATATTTGTCCCCTAAAAGTCTCACGTTGAAATTTGATCCCCAGTGTTGGGGATGGGGCCTAGTGGGAGGTGTTTAGGTCATGGGGGTGGATCCTTCATGAACATCATGGTGCCATCCTCATCCTCAAGGTAATGAGTGACCTCTTGCCTCTATTAGTGCCTGAAAGATCTGATAGTTAAAAAGAGCCTGGCATCTCCTCTCTCTCTTTTTCTCCCTTCCTCCCTTGCCATGTGATGCCTCTTCCCCTTCCCCTTTTGCCATGATTGGAAGTTTCCCGAAGCCCTTACCAGAAGCAGATGCAAGCACTGTGCTTCTGTATAGTCTGCAGAACTGTGAGCCAAATAAACCTCTTTTCTTTATAAATTATCCAGTCTCAGGTGTTCCTTTGTAGCAACTCAAGACAGACTAAGACAATATTGAACTGCCTCACTAACATGGCCACTCGAGTGTCTACTACACATCCAAACCACGTATCTCCATTCCCACTCTCCTGTCCCCCCAACCAGCCACTTCTACCCCATCTTAGTAATGATATATATCACCATCCAGCCTTTCGCTCAAGTGGGTTGTCATCTCTCTCCTTGGTCCTCTCTCCACCAGACTAACCCCTATCCATCCACCAGTCCTGTTGATTCCACCCCCAGTTCCATTTGGAACACATCCTTGACCTCACATTGACTCCATCAACCTAGACTGAGGCATCGTCTCTCACCTGGGATCTGCAGTAGCTTCTTAAACCCAATCTTAAACTCTACTCCCCTATATACTCCTCTGCTTAAAACCCTTCTAAGGCACCCATTGCAAGTGAGATAACAATTCAGATTTCCCACTGCAACCTGAATATCTAGCTCCATTTGGCCTCTTCTCACTTCTCTGTCTTCACCTCCTACCTCTCTTCTCTGTGTCTAACCCTCAGCTGACTGTCCTTTCTGTGCTTGGAACCCACAGAACTTCTCAGGGTCTTTGCACTGGCAGGTCCATCTGCCTGGGGTGTTCTTCTTATAAAGGTTCTTAGGTCTGGCAGGGCCTGGAGTAGACCCACCTGCTGCAGCAGTCCTAACACCATGTAGACTATTGCGAGGGACAAAGGAACCCCAGGATCTCTGCCATTTGCATGAGACCAGTGAGACAGAACACTTGCATAAATTAGGCAAAGCAGAGTTATTACTCAGGGATAGGCAGCAAGGACAGACAGAAGCCTAATATTCGTGGTGAGCCAGTCTCCTAAGGCTCAGGAAAGCGTGAGCCCTCGGGAGACCCAGAGAAGGTGTAGTGGCATCTGTGCATGCCCCATTTTGCATCATAGTCGAGAAAACCCAAGGCACTCCACCCTGGGTTTATATACCCTGGGTGTCCCTGGGGTCTCTGAGCTCAAGCATTGCAGGACATCCTGTTCTAGGATGAATGTAGATGCAGGCCAGGTTGTTCTGGACTTTTCCTCCTTATCTCAGGATGTTATATTCTCGGTACATTCTGCTCAAGAATTACAAGCAAGAGGGGAAAGAGCTGAGTTGGCCAAGGTCATCTTAGGACCTGTCCTGTACTTCTGCCCCATGTTTTTTTGGTGACTCCTTTTCATCATTCTGGATCGGGGGCTCAACTCAAAGGTCTTCTCCTTAGTGAAGACCATCTTGGTCATACCAGGTACCCTTTCCTCCACTTCAAGCCAGTCTCTCACATTGTCCAGTCTTATTTTCTTCATTGCAGATCCTGCTGCCAGTTGTCATTGCATTCATCTGTTCACTTGATGGGTGTCTGTCTTCTATTATGATGAGGGCTCCAGCAGAGAAAGGTCTTGTCTGTTTGTCCATCACTGTATCACCACCACCCTGCATGTAGTGTGTGCTCAAATATTTCTTTTTTGCAAACAAATAAGTGAATGAATGAACAATGAATGAATAGCACATATCTCAGTTTTTGCATTTGCTGGATTATTTCTGTAACCATCTCTCTTGGTAGACTGAGCTCCTTGAGGACAGAGATTGACTGTTTTTAAAATATCAGTATTCCTAGCACCCAGCTGATGGCCAACACATAGCAGGTGTTTGATGAATGTGTGTTAAAGGAATGCAGAAATCAATGGCATCTGTGGCAGAAGGAGTAGTACAGGGGAAAGTGTGGAGACTTGATTTGCATTAAACAAATTTACACACTCCATTCTGGGAGAAGCACTGGGCACAACTCTTTTTATGGTACTAAGAGTGCATGTGACATGCACACAAAGTATTGCAGGGAATAGGTGAGGCAACAGAGTTCCATTAATTAAGTGTTTACAATAAACACCTCTCCTACCTGAAGCAGCACAATAGAAATAATTTTCAAGGATTAGACTCCATAGGGAAAAGAGAGAGAAGTCAAAAATTTCCAAGATAAGTCAAGTGGCAGGAAAGGAAGTTGAGAACTTTGATAAAAACCCAGACTTTGTAAGATTGCCGGGCTCAAGGGACTCAACTTTCTTCTAGGCTAGGGGTTCTCAAGTGTTCACAAGCATTAGAATCACCTGAAGATCTTGATAAAGAGGTAGATTCCCTGGGCCCATCCCCAGAGATTCTGATTCTATAAGTCTAGGGTGAAATTTAGATGTTTGAATCTGCATTTTAACCATCACCCCCTGGTGATTCTGACACAGGTGGTCATTGACTCCAGACCACAGAAACCATGAGGTGAACCAAACCCTATTTGATACTTTGAATTATCTCTGTAACATCCCTTCTGAAGGCCTTTCATCCCCCTGTGATACCCCTAGTGACGGGAACTCACTTTTTTTGGACATCTAAGACTGTTAGAGAGTTTTATTCCAATGTGGCAGTGGTGGGGTTGTGGGGTGGGCAGGGAATGTCATTTGAGACAGAAAGCACAGCATATACAAAAACTTCTAAGAAGGAAAATGATGGGTCTATTGCTGAAGGGCAAGGGATATAAAGCAACTGAAGCACAGGATTACAGGAAGATTTGAGGAGCCTAGAAACTGAAATTGCAGGTTGAAACTACGTCAGGGAGACCTTGGATGCCAAATGGTGGAATTTGGACGTCATTGCTAGACTCTGAGGACTTGTTGAAGAGTTTTCAGCACAGAAGATCTTACCTAAACCAGCAGAGCTGGGATAAGATTACTGTTTGGCATGGTTTAGGCCAGGACCCAGTTTCTTTCTTTCTTTATTCTTTCTTTCTTTTTTCTTTTTTTTGAGAGAGAGTCTCTCTCTGTCACCCAGGCTGGAGTGTAGTGGTGCGATCTTGGCTCACCACAACCTCCGCCTCCTGGATTCAAGTGATTCTCCTGCTTCAGCCTCCCGAGTAGCTGGGACTACAGGCGCACGCCACCACAACTGACTAATTTTTGTATTTTTAGTAGAGTTGGGGTTTCACCATGTTGGCCACACTGGTCTCGAAATCCTGACCTTGTGATCTGCCCACCTTAGCCTCCCAAAGTGCTGGGATTACAGGCATGAGCCACCACACCCGGCTGACCCAGTTTCTTTCTCTTCCCTTCTCAACTTCCTCAGTGTTGACTTTGTGACCAGGCCTCATGTCACAAGATGGCTGCTGCAGCTCCAGCTCTTCCACTCTCTCTCTTATTCCTCTCTAGGTGGGAAGAGCCTTAGTAGATTTCTTAAATTCTCAGGAAGGGTCAAAGCATATCTCATTTGCTTTTCAGGAGTCTGTTGCCCACGTCTGACCCAATCACCATGACTAAGAGAATATGATATTTGGTTGGCCAGACTTGAGGCATTTGTCTATGAAAGCAGGAATGGAGTCAACTCTACAGGAAACAAAGGACCTGACAGTGAAGGATAGGTGGTCGCCTAGAAGAAGATTAGATGACTCAGTTTAGAAGTACTTACTTAATATCTGCAGAGAACTGCTCTGCTCTTAGATGAGTGGGTGAGGGAGAGGTGGGAACTCCCTCTGTGGCGGGGGAATCAGGTACTAGGGAAGGTGAAGGTGCAGATGAAGGCAGTGGAGTTGCAGAAAAGGAATGCTTTGGAGACACAGCAGAGTGCATGACGCATAGAGGATCAAGTCCAGACTTAGGCATTTACCTCCTAGGTGGCCTTGGGGCATGTACTCATTTTTCAGGGTGACGGTTTTCATATGTAAAGTAGTACATAAAATGTTTCCTTCTGAGAGTTGCTACAGGGAATTGGGGAATTTATGCAAAGTCCCTGGCACTTAAGTACTCAATAAAATGTAGCAATCATAATATTTCCTTGATTCTATGATAGCATTGATTGTAATTGAACCATTGGTTTAAGTAGATTTGGGAAAGAAAAAAATAAAGCTGCCATATCAATTGCGGGAAGTATCCTGATTGCAGAAATGTTAAAATGTTGGGAAGAAAGTGTCTTGGAATTGAGGAAATGAAGGATGATGGTGATGATAATGATGATGATGATAATCTGGAGGCTGGTGGTCAGTGGATTACGTTAACGAATCAAACTGGGGTCCCCTCACCCAGTGCAGCAAAATGAAACACTGACATTGGGATTGCAACCAGAGAAAGCGAGGCACGTATTGCAGGGCACCAAGCAAGGAGAATCAGGCAGCTCGTGCCTAAGACCGGAACTCTCCGATGGCTTACAGGTAAAGGTTTCAAAGGCAGAAAGGCAGAGGTTACAGGCAAAGTCATAAATCTGTACACGGAGACTATACATCGGTTTGACCTAAAAAAGTGGAGCATCATGAAGTAGGGGCCCACAGGTCATGGGTGGACTCAAAGATTATCTGATTTGTGATTGGTTAAGGAGGTGAAGCTTTGTCTAAAAATTTGGGATCAGCAGAAAAGAGTATTGGCTCTGGCTTGTGGGTGTGACCTCCTCCAAGTCCCTCAGGAAGAAATTTAGAACACAGAACGGTGGTCCGAGTTCAGTCCCCAGCTCCCCCTTCTCTGAGGCCTACATGCCAGCGGATCTGTTTGGTGGGGGTCCAGGTTTCTGAAAAACAACTCAGGGACATATGTTAAGATGTTATCTTTAGTTTCTACAGTGAACAAAACATCTCCTGACTAACTTTCTTGGCTGCTGTTTTAAGCTACTATTACCTACTTGCTTATTAAGTTGCTCATTTACTTCTCACAGCTAGCTAGGTGCCTGGAATTTCCCTTGAAGGAACTCAAAATTTTGCTTTATTTCCATGCTTGGTGGTGGGGGGCTGCAGGCCCTTAAAATGTGGTCGCTGCTCCATCTCAGGAAGAGCACTGATATGGCTAGGCCTTGTGTCCCCACCCAAATCTCATCTTCAATTGTAATCCTCATAATCCCCATAAGCCAAGGGGGAGACCAGGTGGAGGTCCTTGAATCATGGGGGTGGTTTTCCCCATGCTGTTCTGGTGATAGCAAGTTCTCACGAGATCTGGTGGTTTTATAACAGGCTCTTCTCCCTTCACCTAGCATTTCTCCTTCCTGCTGCCATGTGAAGAAGGTTCCTTGCTTCCCTTTTGCCTTCCACCATAACTGTAAATATCCTGAAGCCTCCCTAGCCATGCTGAACAATGAGTCAATTCAACCTCTTTCCTTTATAAATTACCCAGTCTCACCAGCCTGACTAATATGGAGAAACCCCATGTCTACTAAAAATACAAAATTAGCTGGCTGTGATGGCGCATGCCTGTAATCCCAGCTACTCGGGAGGCTGAGGCAGGAGAATCGCTTGAACCCAGGAGGCGGAGGTTGTGGTAAGCCGAGACTGCACCACTGCACTCCAGCCTGGAAAATAAGAGTGAAACTCCGTTTCAAAAAATAAAAAATAAGGCCGGGTGCGGTGGCTCACGCTTGTAATCCCAGCACTTTGGGAGGCCGAGGTGGGTGGATAACGAGGTCAGGAGATCGAGATCATCCTGGCTAACACAGTGAAACCCCGTCTCTACTAAAAATACAAAAATTAGCCGGGCGTGGTGGCGGGCGCCTGGGGAGTCTGAGGCAGGAGAATGGCGTGAACCCGGGAGGTGGAGCTTGCAGTGAACCGAGATCGCACCACTGCACTCCAGCCTGGGCGACACAGCGAGACTCCATCTCAAACAAACAAACAAACAAACAAACAAATAAATAAATAATAAAAAATAAAAATGAATTACCCAGTTTCAGGTAGTTCTTTATAGCAGCGTGAAAATGAACTAATACAAGCACAGACTTAAAATAGACAGAACTGCACATAACCCCTGGCTTGGAACCCGCTAGCTACCCAGTGTTGAGATATGTAAACCATAAAAGGGCTCAACAAGTGGTACTCCTTTCTGTGCCTCAGTTTCCCTCCTGACTCTCCTGTCCCATGACACTACACATCGCTATTTTTGCTTTCCTTATGTGTATTTGTATTCACCTACTTTTCTACAATTTTTTAAAATACTTACATCATTTTTGATAGTTTGGGAAAATTCTTTCCAGAAAAGTAGAGAGGAAAAATATTTGTATTTTGTTTCTGTCCCCTGAAAATAACTGCTTACCATTATTTTGGATTTCCTTCCACCATATTTTTCTGCGTATAAGGTTTTGTTGTTGCTACCGTTGTAATCATCCTGTAATTTCAATTTTGTGTCTGGTTACCCTCTTGGTGATTACCAGCTCTCCCTAAATAGAATTTTAATAACCGTAAGGTATTTCATCATGCGTCTGGAATCAGTTAACTTAATCATTTTCTATATTTGGACATTAGGTAGTTTCCAATGTTCACTGGGGGTTTATCACGTAGTGATGGAAAATTTTCGGTAAAAACTTATTTCACATTTCTGATAACATCATGCGGAAACAATCTTGGAGGTAGAGATATTGAGACAAAGGTTGGGACATGTTTTAGGTTCTTGGTTGCCAATGAGCTTTCCAAGATAATTGTAACTCTATGATCTCGTAGATATCTGTAAGACTTGTTTCAAATGCTTAGCGTGTGCACAAATGCACTTGCACAAACACACACGTGCAGACACATTTAGCATTTGCCATGAGTCACTCCTAGGACTAAGAAGAGTGGGTCTTTGTAACTAGGGAAACTACCCTTCAAAAACTCACCACCCCCAGCTCCGTGTTAGAAAAATCTAAGGAGGAGGCTTAAACAGGAACATATTGGCAGTGAAGGTGGCTTTTATCTTTCAGATCCTAGCTTGGACACTAGATTTTAGCTTTAACCCCCTCTTCTTACATAAGGTACTTCCCTTTTAAATAAGGTATGGTTCCTGAGTCTAAAGCCATCTCTCTTCCCTCTCTGCACAGTGCGATTACCCTGGGCAATTTCCTTGGGGATTAATTGCCCATTTCCCTCCTAAGGCTTTTTGCCCAGCCAAGCTCTCCACTGAGCCTTGGGTGAGTACCTTCCCCAGGGCAATTAGCTCCTAAAACACCTTTCACCATGTATGAAAATGAATTGGGATGTGAAATAAACATTAAAAGCTCTCCGACTGGGCACAGTGGCTCATGCCTGTAATCCCAGCACTTCGGGAGGTCAAGGTGGGCAGATTACTTGAGCTCAGGAGTTTGAGACCAGCCTGTGCAATATAGTGAAACCGCATATCTACCCAAAATACAAAAAAATCAGCCAGTCATGGTGGTGTGTGACTGTGGTCTCAGCTACTCAGGAGGCTGAGGTGGGAGGATCACCTGAGCCCAGGAGGTTGAGGTTGCAGTAAGCAGTGATCACTCCACTGCACTCCAGCCTGGGTGACAGAGTGAGACCCTGCCTCAAAAAAGAAAAAAAAAAAAAAAAGCTTCCATGTTTAAAAAAAATGTGAAAAATAATACACATCCAGAAAAGTACGTATAATACAAAAGAACAGCTTAATGAATTATTTTAAAATGGGTTGGGTGCAGTGGCTCAAGCCTGTCATCCTAGCACTTTGGGAAGCTGAGCATGCAGATAGCCTGAGCTCAGGAGTTCGAGACTGACCTAGGCAACATGGTGAAACCCTGTCTCTACCAAAAATACAAAAATTCGCCTGGTGTGGTGGCAAGCACCTGTGGTCCCAGCTATTTGGGAGGCTGAGTTGGGAGCCTGGGAATTTGAGGCTGCAGTGAACTATGATTGCACCATCCAGCCTGGGTGACAGAGCAAGGTCCTGTCTCAAAAAAAAAAAAAAAAAAAAGAAAAAAAAAAGAAAGAAAAAAGAAAAAGAAAAAAGAAAATGAACATCCATGTAATGTAACCACCACCCAAGTCAAGAAAGAAAAAGTGGTCTGTTCTCCAGAAGCCTATGTTCTCCTTGTAATTACAACCCTCTGCATCCTGCTAAAGATAATAATGGTCCTGGCTTTACGGTCATCACTTCATTAATTTTCTTTATGTTTCTGTTATCTAGGGGTGTATCCCTAAAAACTAGTTTTATCTGGCTTTGAGTTTTCTGTAAGTTGAATTAAAGGTGTATATACTCTTGTATCTGACTTCTTTAGCTTAAAATGCATTTTTAAAAATTCTTTCATTTTGTTGTAGAACATTTTCATTGCTGAGTATTATTCCATTGTGTGAATGTGCTACAATGTACATAATCGTTCTACCAGGGGTCTGCACGCTATGGCCCATGGGCCAAATCCAACCCAATGTCTATGTGTGCTTTTTTTGCAAATAAAGTTTAATTAGAACACAAGTATACCCATTCTTTCATATGTCCTCTAGGGCTGCTTTCACTCTACAATGGCAGAATTGAATCATTGTGGCAGCAACTGTAGGACCCGCAAAGCCAAAATAGTTAGCGTTTGGCCTTTGGCAGAAAAAGTTCGCTAACCACTGCATGCTACAGTTGATGGACAGTTGGGCTGTTGTTTTCTGGTTTGGGGTTATAACAGACAATTCTTCTTTGCACCTATCCATATCTTTCTCTTGTGTCGTTGCTCAAGATTTCCTGGGATGTGTACCTAAGAATGGTTTGCAGGCCCACAGTGGCTGGACTAATTTATACCCCCCAGCTGTGTATGCCAGCTCCTGCCGTTCTACATCTTCCCAACACCTTGTGAAAAGAAAAGAAAATTTCAGGACCTTCCAAATTTATTATTCCCAGGGGAAAAGTTAAGCCCTGGAAACTGCGTCACGTAACACAGCTGTTCTTCCTCTTTGGTACGTGACTGCTATTTCCTGACCTTTGGGTTGAGATGTTACACCTTAACCAGACTCACTAAGCTTTATTCAAACCTAGACTAAATGACATCCAAGACAGAGACTTTGGTGATTGTTATCTCTTTACAAGTGAATGTTAAGTAACTCCCTTAGAGTGTAATCAATCGGTGGCCAACCAAATCTCGTATCAATATGTTAGCCTTTGTATGGAAAATGTTCTAATTCTAGTCAGCACCTCTGTTTTTGCCTATATAAGCCATCCTCACCTTTACCCATGCCAGGGAGCTCTGATCACTATTCTCTGGGGTCTGTGTTTCCTGGCACCACCACTCTCACACTTTGTGCCTGAATAGACACTTAACTTGATCCTGAGCCTTTTCATTATTTTAGGTTGATAACCTGTATGGTCTGACTTTTAAATTTTTGTCAACCTGATGGGCATGAAATAGTATCTTGCTTTAATTTGCACCTCCCTGATAATTAATGAAGTCAAGTGCTTCTTTCTTTCCTCTCTCTCTCTTTCTCTCTTTCTTTCTTTTTTGAGACAGGGTCTCGCTCTGTCGCCCAGGCTGGAGTGCAGTGCTGCGATCTCAGCTCACTGCAACCTCTGCCTCCCAGGCTCAAGTGATCCTCCCGCCTCGGCCTCCTGAGTAGCTGGAACTACAATCGCACACCACCATGCCTGGCTAATTTTGTATCTTTTGGGTAGAGACAGGGTTTCTCCATGTTGCCCAGGCTGGTCTTGAGTTCCTGGGCTCAAGTGATCCTCCCGCCTCGGGCTCCTGAGTAGCTGGAACTACAATCGCACACCACCATGCCTGGCTAATTTTGTATGTTTTGGGCAGAGACAGGGTTTCTCCATGTTGCCCAGGCTGGTCTTGAGTTCCTGGGCTCAAGTGATCCGCCCACCTCAGCCTCCCAAGGGGTCGGGATTACAGGCATGAACCACCGCGCCCGGCCGTCAAGTGCTTTTCCATTTGTGTTTTTGGCTCTTGATGTTTCCTCTTCTGTGAGTTTCTTGTTCATTTTGCCCATTTTTCACTTGGCTGTTTGTCTTTTTATCCTTGATTTATGGGAATTCTTTGTAACACTCTGTTTATCAGTCTGTGGTCTGTTACATGTATTGCAAATATCCCTGCCTTTGACTGATGATTTACCTTGGTGGTTGGACATTTTTACTCATAAGTTTAACATTTTCAATTTTAATCAAATCAATTCCTTTCTCTTGGGGTTTGTGCTGCTTTTTATAACTTTTCCCAAAAATATATTCCTATCTTAACATTATAATTATTTTTTCTATAATTTCTTCTAAATCTTTTCCTGCTGGATGCATTGTATATAGCACCTTAGTCCTTTAGATAGTTCTGTGAACCTTAGGTTCCCAGTTTAGATGAGGCAAGAAGTCCTGAGAGGTCAGTGGCTTGTCCGAGGTGGCACAGCTGCTAAATGCCAAAATGGAGTCACATCAAGGGCTGCCTGCCACACTCCAGAGCACTGGTTCTGGAATCCTCCTCGGGCTACGAGTTTACTTCCTTTTCAACAGACCACAGACAGATGCACTTGGTTCAACTCCATTTTCCGGCAGACCAAAGCTGAAGCTCCCAGAGGGGAAGTGAGCTCCTGCGACCTGCCCAGGATCACCTGACTAGCGAAAAGCACCCACATCTCCTCCCACCTGCACCTTCATGGGGCAGGCGGTGGCCAAGCTGGAAATCACTGGTGCCCCAGTGACCCAACTTCCTCTGGGTTCTCAGGACATCATGCCTGGATATCGGTCAGGCCAACTTCCTACCCCGCAGGGCTGTTTTTTAGGTCCTGGCCAGATGCAGCCTGGCCTCCAGGCTCCCCGGACTCAAATGCAGACAACGTGCTCACTGTTGGGTGGAAGTCTATATAAAGGTCCTCCTTCCCTGCACCCCTGAAATTCCAGCCCTGCCTCCCAGTCTGCCTGTTCCAGGCAGAAAAGCTCAGAGCAAGGTGTTTGACATGCTTCCGGGAAGCACTTCACTGGTCTTCACCACTTCTCTAGGAGGATCCACTTTTGGGTGGCCATCAGGCACTCAAACCCTGAAGACTGTGGACTCTAGGCCTGGCTCTCAGTAGCTCTGCTGGGACACAGAAATGAATCAGATGTGTTTCTTGCCATGGACACCTCTCTTCTGGGGTTGTGATTTGCTATGCAGCACCAAGTCCACAAGCAGCGGGGCCCCCTTAAGGGGTTGCCTTTGAGAGTGGGACATAAATCCAAAATCTCCTATGGAAGTCCAGGAGTCAAATATTCTCCTCAAACCACAAAAATGTCCCTCCTACTTGGCTATTTCACCCCATCCGGAAAGAAGCTACCATTTGGCCTTTACATGCATCAGCTCATCCTATTCCCACAAATGGTCCCATGATGTCCTACTCTACAGATTGGGAGGCAGAGGCCCTGGGGGTCTGGGAGGTAACTTGGCAACAAGGACACATCTCTGCTAAGTGGCAGATACACAATGATATTTTTATTCATTTCACACACATTTATTGAGATTGTGATCTGAGACACTCCCTTATCAACCAAGATGGATCCTAAGGTTAAGAAAACAGAAGTTACCTACAGGTTGGGTTGAGGGTTTGGAGCAACTGGCATGGTAGCTCCCTGAATTCCAACAGCTATAAGAAAACCACGCTCTTGCCAAACACCCTAACAATAGGAGCTATCAGGAAAATGATCCCTGATAGCTCCTATTTCAGGAGCTATCCTATCAACTGTTGATATTCCTATCAACTCCTGATAGAGGAGTTGACCCCTCTCAACTCCGACTTACACCCAGACCACTATAACTGATCGGACAGTGGACCTGCCTCACATTCTTTCCTGAAAAGCAACTGCAGAGCTTAAGCCAGTTTCAGCAGCTTACAGAGACTGCACACAGATTGTCTTTGTGGCCTATAGTTCACCTTTTATTGTAAAGAGCCAAATTCCACCTCTTTTTTTTTTTTTTTCCAAGATGGGGTTTCGCTTTTTTTGCCCAGGCTGAGTACAATGGTGTGATCTCAGCTCACTGCAACCTCTGCCACCTGGGTTCAAGCGATTCTCCTGCCTCGGCCTCCCAAGTAGCTGGGATTACAGGCATGAGCCACCATGCCCAGCGAATTTTGCATTTTTAGTAGAGACTGGGTTTCTCCATGTTGGTCAGGCTGGTCTCGAACTCCTGACCTCAGGAGATCTGCCCGCCTCAGCCTCCCAAAGTGCTGGGATTACAGGCGTGAGCCACCGTGCCCGGCCTCATTCCACCTCATTTTAATGCTAAAACCCACTCCAAAGTGAACATGGGATGCATGTCACATATATTTTTACCCATTGTACGTGCGCTCGGCTTTCCTCATAAATATGTATAGCTTTCCCCCAAACCTGATGAATATGTATGACTTTATTGTGTAATATGGACCCTGTGAGGCATAAAACCAACCTGCCCTTTCCCTCTTCAAAGAGCGAGCACCTTCAGTCCACTCCAGTAAAGCCGTTGGTGTTCTTTTGGACAAAACCCCAGTACATGCCAAGCACTATGCCAGATCCTGGTTCTCGGGAGCTTACATTCTAGAAGTGGAGAGAGGCAAGTAACAGTTAAACATACAAGTGAACAAGGTGAGCACAGGCTGTGAAAGTGAAGGAGGAAGACGGGGCGAAGCGCTGGGGGAAGCAAAGAAGCTGCTTCAGAGAGCCGGGATGGGGGTGGCCTCTCAGAGGAGGTGACATTGCCGCTGAGATCTCAACAAGAAGGGGCCACCCACGCAAGACCAAGGAGAAGCCCCCGGTGTCTGTGGGACGACAATTAGGGGGATGTGGGATGAGGGTGTCGGGGGAGGTCAAGAAAGGCAGGGGACAAGTTGCACGGGCTGTCTATGCCACGGAAGATTGAATTTGAGTCCAAGTGCTGGAGTGCTTTACCTAAAGGAGGGATGTGAAGTGATTTACATTTCAAAAGGAGCACTGTGGGTGCTGTGGGGGGCAGGAGAGGGAGCAGCGGGCCCAGCTGATGGCTGTGGCTTCAATTCAAGGCTGGTGGCTTGGACGAGAGTAGGGAGTGAAGTACTGGCAGAGAGGAAGGGAGGGAGCCTCTGCAGCTCCCAGGGTTCTTTCGTTTAAAATAGATACACAAATTACATCCCATAAAATTCACCCTTTCTAAGTGTACAGTTCAATTACATCCCAATTTATGGGATGTAATTCAATTACAGCCCATAAAATTCACCCTTCCTAAGTTTACAATTGAATACAATTCAGTGTGCAATTACATCCTATAAAATTCACCCCTTCTAAAAGGACAATTAGTGGTGCAACCATCACTAATTCCAGAAACTTTTCATCATCCCCGTACCAGTTAGCAGTCCTGCCCCATTCCCTCCTTTCCCTATGCCCTACTAACCACTAATCTCTATGGGTTGTTGTTTTATGGAAGTTTCATCATATGAAATCACATAATAGGTGGCCTTTTGTGTCTGGCTTCTTGCACTTAGCACAATGTTTTCAACTCGTGAATGTCGTAGCATAAATAAAAACTTCCTTTCTTTTTATCGCCAAATGATATCCCATTGTATGGATATGCCATTTTGTTGATCCGTTCACCAGTTCATGTGCATTTGGGTTGTTTCCACTTCTTGGTGGAAGTGGAATTCCACTATTATGAATCATGCTGCTCTGAACCTTTGGGCTCAAGTTTCCACGTGGACATGTGCTTTCAGTCCTGCTGGGCATAGTCCGAGAAGTGAATTGCTGGGGCATGTGATAACTCTATAATTAACTTTGTGAGACACTGCCAGACTGTTTTCCAAATCAGCTGCACCATTTTAAATTCCCACCAGCAGTGTATGAGGGTTCCAAGTTTCCACATCCTTGCCAACATTCGTCATTGTTCATCTTTTTTGTTCTAACCATCCTAGTGGGTGTGAAGTGGTATCTCATTGTGATTTTGGTTTTGATTTCTCTAATGACTAAAGATGCTGAGCATTGTCTCATGTATTTAATGGCCATTTGCATATCATCTTAGGAGAAATGTCTATTTAAGTTCTTTGCCCAGTTTTTAATTAGGTTATTTGTCCTTTTATTATTGAGTTGCAAGAGTTCTTTATATATTCTAGATACAAGTCCCTTATCAGATATTTGATTGGCAAACATTTTCTCCCATTCTGTGGGTTGGTTTTTTTTTTTTTTTTTTTTTTCACATTCTTGATAGTGCTCTTTGGCGCACAAATGTTTATAATTTTGATGAAGTCCAACTTAACTTTTTTTGGTCATTGTTGCATGTGCCTTTGGTGTAACATGTAAGGAATCATTGCCTTGTCCAAGATCACAAAGATTTGCCCTGATGTTTTCTTCTAAGCGTTTCATGGTTTTAATACTTACGTTTAGGTCTTTGATCCATTTTCAGCTAATTTTTGTATATGGTATGCCCAACTTCATTCTTTTCCATGTGAATATCTAGTTATCCCAGCACAATTTGTTAAAAAGACTGTTCCTTCTTCATCTCCCAAGGTTCTTGAGAGAACCTCATGGGAAACAAGAGGGAAAGTAATGCCCAGAGGAAGGTTTCCCCATGATGGCCCATCTCACGAAGCTCCACCCAGGCCTGGGCCTCCGTGTCCTCCTCTATTTCTGGTGAGAGCACTGCTGACCAGACAAATGGGCTCAGAATTCAATAGGAAGCTCCTTGCTGCCTCAGGGACCCTAGAATGGTGTCCCCAGAGAGTGGGACCGGGAGATCTGCTGCATCCAACGGCCTCACTTTACTGTGGAAGCATCGGCAGCTTGGAGAGAGGTGATGCTCGGAGCAATCTCAGCACCCCTGTGGCTGTGATCTCTAAGCAAGTGCAGAAACAGCCCCGTGTGCTGTGCAGACCAGAGAATCTCCAGGGCATGGCGCTACCTCTGAGGACTTTGCGGGAGTGGGAAATGAGCTGCTGCTTTGGCAAAGACTCAGCAGGAAATAGAATAATTAACACGTTTCTTTTTAAACCAAGCCTAATTGCAACATGAAAAATAATTACAGCTTTTTAAAAGGCAAATGTTTAAGTCTTCTCTCTCTAGGAGGTGTTGGGAGCAGCTCTTCCCTCCCAGGATCCCTCCCTGCATCCCCCTCACCCCACCTACTATCCTCTGCAATGCAGAGGGAGGGGACAGATCCCTGTGGTTGGTGGGATCAAAGATTTCCTAGAAGAGGGGGCTTGAAGTGGACCTTAAATAGGACAAGGCTGTCCTTGCCAGGAGGATGCAGGAGCAGGGAGAGGAAGGCATGTTGGTGGAGAATAGCAAGGGAGAAGGCAGAGATACCTCTCCCAGTGACTTGGCTAGTCTGAGATTCCGTTTCCTCTTTGGTGAAACAGAGTGTGCCCATTGAAATGCTTCTGGCTGCAAGTAACAGAATATTCCACAACAGCAGCCTAACTGTCAGGTTTTATTACCTTGTCACTGGACAAGAAGTCTGGTTCCAGGCTCAGCTTTGTCAGGACTCCCAGGTGGCCTCTCTGAGGACCTCTTTCTTTCTGCTTATGGCTGCAAGATCACAGTCACAGTTCTGCTGTCTAGTAGGAAGAAGATGGGCCACCAACTAGAAAACAAGCACTTGCATGAATGTGATGTGTAATAAATGCTACAGAAATGGACAGAGAAAAGTGATGGAGAATAACAAGGGGATTTCACCTACATAGGGTATCAGAGGAGACGTCTCTGAGGCCTCACATTTAGGGTAAGATTTGAAGAGAAGGAGCCAGATGTGAGAAGAGCTGGAGGCAGAGAGAACCAGGCACCCAAGACAGCACATGTGAGGGCCCTGGTCCAGGGAGCACTCAGCTTCTTACCTCCTGAGCTTGTGACAACTAAAGTGGTCTGCTAGGGGCCACCATGGACAAAGCACACATAGGAGCATGGAAGTCTTGGCCACGTACCCACTTCTAAACTGGTCATCCAGAGGGTTCAGGATGCACTGGCCTTAACTTCCAAATAACAACAACAAACATTCATATCACACAATAAACATACCAAGCTGAGAATAGGGTTTCATGGACACATACGTTCATGAGTCTCCTTGCTTCTGTGTTCTACAGGATATTCTCCAACCAGAAACCAGAGTGATATGATAAAACATCAATGAAATAATATCATTCCTTTGCTCAAGACCCTCTGATGGATTCCCATTGTGCCAGGCCTAAATTCAGAGCCCTTCCTGGGACCAAGAAACCCCTGCACCAGCAAGCTCCTTGCTATTCCTCTGATTCCATCTCTTACCGCCTCCCACTTACTTATTCAAATGCAGCCTTACTGCCTTACTTGCTGCTCTTAGGATCTGCCAAGATGCTTCTGCCTCGGGGCCTTTGCACATGCTGTTCCCTCTGCCTTGAATCCTGCTCTCCAGGTGTCCACATGGCTCACCTTCTCACTTCACTCAGGTCTCTGCTCCAATGTCACATCCTCAGAGCAGCCTTCACTGTATCGACCCTACACTCTCCATTGCCTTGCCTTGATAGATTAGATATTTACTTGCCTGTTTATTGCCAGCTTCATAAGAGCATTTTTCACTGCTGTGTCCCCAATGCCTGCTGTGTCCAGACAGTGCCTGACAACATAATAGGCACACAATAAGTATTTGTTAAGTGAATAAGTAAAAGAACAGAGACCCAAGTTTGATACCATGTAGCTGTTTCATATCCCAACTTCTAATTTCTGAGTATGGGGGCCCTGTTTATAGGTGGTGACTTCAGGAGAAGGGAGTGGCATGGAAAGAAAGATGATGCCCCAGGTTGGAACACGGTGATGCTGGGATGTCACTGAGGCACCTAGCAGGCTATAGACATCTTGGAGAATCAGCAGGAGAGCAGGCTGGGCTGGAGATGGGGACTTGGGAGTCAACAGCAGAGCGATGGTAACACAAGTCACAGGACTCTGTCCCCGGATGGGAAGAAATGGTGGCCAAGCCCAGAGCAGTGGGGACCCTGTCTATCCTGTGTGGACTAGGGGGGAAGAAGAGGAGTGAGGAATGAAGACCCAGACACAGCACCAGGAGGAGAGGGAGGAGGAGCGCCAAGGAGGTCTACTGGTCAGTGGCAGGGGACATGAAAGCACTGAGGAAGAGGAGGCCTGAGCAACAGCTCTGCTTTGAGGTACAACTAGAAAATGTGGCCTGGAGGCCGGGCGTGGTGGCTCACGCCTGTAATCCCAGCACATTGGGAGGCCAAGACAGGTGGATCACCTGAGGATGGGAGTTTGAGACTAGCATGACCAACATGGAGAAACCCCCTCTCTACTAAAAATACAAAATTAGCCGGGCGTAGTGGCACATGCCTGTAATCCCAGCTACTTGGGAGGCCGAGGCAGGAGAATCGCTTGAACCCAGGAGGCAGAGGTTGTGGTGAGCCGAGGTCGCGCCACTGCACTCCAGCCTGGGCAACAAGAGCGAAACTACGTCTCAAAAAAAAAAAAAAAAAAAGAAAAAAAAATATATATGTCCTGGAAATAGCTTTCTAAAATCAATCATTGTTTCGGGCATTCTTGGGAAAATAAACTAGCATTTCAAAAATAACCACAGGGTTTAAAAGTAAAAGCAGACAAGTTATTCCCAGTGGAGGAAAGACCGTTTTTGGCTGCAGGAATGGTGTTTGGCATTTTTCCAAGGTCATAGACTGGGGACCTCTGATTCCCACAAGGCGTTTACTAACAACCCTCTTTATTTTATGTCCGTCTTAGAATGTTTTGGTTGAGCAAATAATAAAAAACTTTTTACTGTGAAAAATATTAAACATACAAAGATGTAGAGATGAGAATAGTATCGGGGTACCCTCATCCAGCTGTATCACCATCCAGCTTGCCTTGACAATTATTCACCTTCTGCCTCTCTTCCTTCCTCAATCCCCATCCCAAGCATTTTTGGAAGTTACTAAAATATTTTAAGTCAAATTCAAGACATTATACAATTCCACCCATAAATACAATAGAATGAATTTCTGAGAGAAAAAGACTTAAAAATCAAAACCTTGGTTGGACGCGGTGGCGCATGCCTGTAATCCCAGCTCTTTGGGAGGCCGAGCCGGGCGGATCACGAGGTGAGGAGATCAAGACCATTCTGTCTAACACAGTGAAATCCCGTCTTTACTAAAAAAATACAAAAAATTAGCCAGGCGTGGTGGCGGGCGCCTGTAGTCCCAGCTACTCAGGAGGCTGAGGCAGGAGGATGGCATGAACTCGGGAGGCAGAGCTTGCAGTGAGCCGAGATTGCGCCATTGCACTCCAGCCTGGGCGACAGAGCGAGACTCTGTCTCAAAAAAAAAAAAAAAAAAAAAAAAAAAAAAAATTCAAAACCTTAATGCTGTCATCACACTCAACAAAATTGTCATTGTGTTCAGCAATTCCTGGATATAACATTTAAACCACATTCGATGCAACCCACACACTTCGTTTGGTTGATGTGTCTTCTAAATTTCTTCTCATCTATTACAGTTTCTTCTCCTTTTCCTCCTCCTTTTTTTTTTTTTTTAATGCTTTTCATCTCTTGAGTAAACTGGGTCATTTATTCTGTAGAACTTTGTATATTCTGGGCTTAACTGTTTGTTTCCTTTTGCTGTTTTTAACATGCTAGTTTATCCTTGTATTTCTTCTAAATTGATTAGAGCTGCAAACTTGATTAGATTCAAGTTCATTGTTTTTTGTTTTGCAAATATGCCTACTAGGTGGTGCTGTTTACCTCCTATTGCCTTTTATCAAGAGGGCCATAGGGTCTGTTGTACAATTTTAAGAATGATGGGTGAGTTCAGATGGTGTCAGTAGATCTCAACATGTCAGTGTTCACCATCAAATCACTGATGATCGTTGTCTGGATTATGGATTCTCAGCTGGGGCAATAATGCCTCTCAGGAGCAGAAGTCTGTTCTTAGAGGAGAGTAAAAAAGAATCTTTTTCTTCTAATGTAAGACACATAGATACACATAGAATGCATAAACAAATGCACAGTACATCTGTGATATTAAAAATTCATGAGGGAGTATGATTGGAGGGAAAATTTCCCCTCCTTAGAGTGAAAACAATGAAAAGAAGGTTGAGAAACACTGACATGTTTTGGGATCTATCCTCATTGTTAAAGCTTCAGTTTGATTATGTGGTATTTAGCATGCGACTCTGGCCTATTGGGGAAGAGTAGGAACTCAGTTCAAAACAATAGCCTCCTATAATTTTTGTTTAACAATTTCCCTGCTTTCTTTTCTTTTCTTTTCTTTTTTTTTTTTTTTTGAGACAGTCTCGCTCTGTCGCCCAGGCTGGAGTGCAGTGGTGCAATCTCGGCTCACTGCAAGCTCCGCCTCCCGGGTTCATGCCATTCTCCTCCTCAGCCTCCCGAGTAGCTGGGACTACAGGTGCCCACCACCATGCCCGGCTAATTTTTTGTATTTTTTGTAGAGACGGGTTTTCACCGTGTTAGCCAGGATGGTCTCAATCTCCTGACCTCATGATCTGCCCGCCTCAGTCTCCCAAAGTGCTGGGATTACAGGCTTGAGCCACCGCGTGCTTTCTTACTTAGATGAGAGCATGACCAAAATTTAGGGCATTAGCACTAACTCTCACCATCTTTTTGGCTTTCTGGTCTCAGTGTGCCATTCATAAATTACAGTGTCCTCATAATCACATATTTCTTTCAGTTTTTGTCATTCCAGTAGAAGAAAGACTATTTGACATTCAATGAATGGCTGAATGCAAATATTTAAAACTTTTGAGAGAAGACAGTGCAGCATGGAGACTACCATTATGACTATCAGAAAGATAATGCCAAGAGTTTGGAGTATTCTATTTAGCCAGGATCCCCATAAACCAAACCAACTAAAATCAAATAGATCAAAGAAAAAACCAGATGAGGAATCTACTCATTTTAACCAAGTAACCTGTTGGTTAATTTTTTCCATGGAGTGTCTACAATACCGGATGTATTTATGCATGTCAACAAGAAGTGTCAGAAACTTCACAGACTCCTCCCTGTTCAGCTAGTAGGTAGTAGATATGCTATTGTCTAGTGTCCCATTACTGGGACATGGAGTAAGAACAAGTGGGAGGCCAGGCACGGTGGCTCATGCCTTAATCCCAGCACATTGGGAGGCTGAGGTGGGTGGATTGCTTGAGGTCAGGAGTTTGAAACCAGCCTGGACAACATGGTGAAACCCTGTCTCCACTAAGAATACAAAAATTAGCCAGGTGTAGTGGTGCGTGCCTGTAATCCCAGCTACTTGGGAGGCCGAAGCAGGAGAATTCCTTGAACCCGGGAGGTGGAGGTTGCAGTGAGCTGAGATCGTGCCACTGCACTCCAGCCTGGGTGACAGAGCAAGACTCCGTCTTGGAAAAAAAAAAAAAAAAAGAACAGGTGGGTCTGGAAATCTAACCCTATAAAAGGTACCACTAGTTTAATTTGAACAAACAGGTTCATTGGGAATGTTGCTAAAATTAGCCACTGGGTGAACTAAAGGATTTCTTAGGTCACGTAAAGATTTAGGTTTGACGTGACAGATCCAACACTCTGCCAAGTTACCCTCAGAAGCTACTTATTGTGAAACTCTAATTATATCATTATCCTTCCAAGTGAAAGAGGTATGTATAAGCAAGGAAAAAATAAGAGGGACAAGAGTCTCATTATAATGGGGATTCTAGTTCCAACATCTTGGGAAAAGCTGTCCACAGCAAGAAGTCATCAACTTTTTATCCTGGTTTGCAGTTGGAATGTTTCTGCTTATGGCACTGGGCATTTTGGTGAATGAACTTTCTGTGCAGCCCACATATCAGGCACAAGGCTGCCCTCTAAATTTACATTGAATTGTCCCGCTTCAGCTTCGAGGGTTTCAAGAACAGAGCAGTTCTTGCTCTTAGTGATTTCACGGGATTGGATTGAAGGAACTTCAAGGAAGGAAAATTGGATTGAAGGAACTTAGAAGAATTCAGGATCCAGTCCAGTATACAGGTAGAGAATAAAAACTTGAAAACAATGAATAAGGCTATAATCTAATGATAGGTATACTGTAGTTTTTCTTCTGAAACAGTCTCTCTCCACAGTCATCCCCATTTCCAAAGATAACCAAAGTATGATGAATTTATTTGCAAAATAAATTTAGCCTCATTAAACTTGGCCTAATTATCTACATAGGTCCAACAAAAATATTGAAAGACCACATAGGCTGCTTTTAAGTTTGCTTTGCAGATTTGTGATAAAGAATCTCAGATTGTACTTTTTAAAACTTCTTAAAGCTAGGAAGCCAAACTAAGGCAGACTTCAGACTTTGCCTATAGAAACTATAGATTCATCCTATGTACATTCTCAAATATGACATCCTAGGCAAAACCTTGGTAATATAACCAATATTTCCAATTGTGTCATGCTCTAAAGGGAGCAGACTCTTATGGAACTTATCCAGATAACTACATTGCCATAAAAATAAGAATACTCATAATTAGCTTCCAAATTCTGGAGGAATTAGATGGGGAGAAAAAGTCAATTTACCAAGGTGGTATAAGTTACAGATAGCTTCAGAAAAAGTTTCCTTAAATCTGCAAAACAAAACATCAAAAGAACCAGTAATGTTTCAAATAAAACAAAAAATAAAACCCCGTAATTCTTCTTTATCAGTTTATTCAGTCTCATTTAATCAATTTGAGATCTAAAAGGGCTCCTTAGGGGGCAACAATAAAATGAAGGTTGAGAAACACTGGCATGTTTTGGGATCTATCTGCATGTTTGAAGTTTCAGTTGGATTGTGTGGTATTTAGCACATGACTCCATTTTGGTTTGGTCTGGTCTATTTGATCCTGGTTAGCACTTCCATAAACCCACGAGTTTCTTCATTAGATTTCTGGAAATCCTTACTCAGTTTAATGATATGATCTAAAAGTTATCAGAAACTTGTACTTGTCAGAGCTGAAGCCACACACTTTAGGATTGTAGTTGCTTGCAAAAAGCTTTCAGAAAAGAATTAGAATAAGCAAATTAACTGTCAACCACAAGACTTAAAATGACCTTTGTTAAAGATTTGATGAGAGTTCATTATAATAATGACACAACTTACAAGAAAATGTTATTTCTGTGGCAAGTATTTTAAAATAATAACTAAAATTATGACTAATAGCAAATCTCTAGGAATTTTGTACAATTCGGGGAACATATACTAATAACATAGCCATGCAAATGGCTATGCAATATACTAATAACATAGCCATGCAAATGGCTAAGCAAAACTCCAAGAAGATTAAATATTACTTCTTATTTGACAGCGCTTTCCATATAATTAACATATTAAATAAGCCTATTAGTTTAATATATATCTTAGAAGACATAATTTAGAATTTGATTTTGGGAAGTTTGTCAAAAATATCAAAGATTTAAAACACTTGAAGCTGGGCATGGTGGCTCACACCTGTAATCCCAGCACTTTGGGAGACCGAGGTGGGCAGATCACCTGAGGTCGGGAGTTCGAGACCAGCCTGACCAACATGGAGAAACCCCGTCCCTACTAAAAATACAAAATTAGCCGGGTGTGGTGGTGCATGCCTGTAATCCCAGCTACTTGGGAGGCTGAGGCAGGAGAATTGCTTGAACCTGGGAGGTGGAGGTTGCGGTGAGCTGAGATCGCGTCATTGCACTCCAGCCTGGGCAACAAGAGTGAAACTCCATCTCAAATAAATAAATAAATAAATAATAAAAATAAAAAAGGGCTGGAGGTGGTGGCTCACCCCTGTAATCCCAGCACTTTGGGAGGCCAAGGCGGGCAGATCACAAGGTCAGGAGTTCAAGACCAGCCTGGCCAACATGGTGAAACCCTGTCTCCACTAAGAATACAAAAATTAGCTGGGCATGGTGGTGGGCACCTGTAGTCCCAGCTGCTATGGAGGCTGAGGCAGGAGAATTGCTTGAACCCGGGAGGCTGAGGTTGCAGTGAGCCGAGATCACGCCACTGCACTTCAGCCTGGGTGACAGAGCGAGACTCCGTCACAAAAAAAAAAAACAAAAACACTTGCTCAAAATAGGATCACAGGTAGCTACGAAATATTAGTTATTTCCTTAACCAGGGTGATAATTAAGACTCAAAGGCAAATACAGAAAGTTACATAGTTATAGATAAAACCTTAGCTCTTTAATAGAGAGGTATGAGGACAAGAATGACTTTAATTTAAAGCTTAATCCTCCTGGCTACCCTAAATCTAGGGAATGCCTCCAAAATGTCTAGTGGGCACATTCTTCTTCTTTTTTGAGAGGGAGTCTTGCTCCGTTGCCCAGGCTGGAGTGCAATGGCATGCAATCTCGGCTCACTGCAACCTCCGCCTCCTGGGTCCAAGCAATTCTCCTGTCTCAGCCTCCCTAGTAGCTGGGATTAAAGGCATCCACCACCACGCCCCGGCTACATTATTCTTTATGTAGGAACACCTATTCCTTGTAAATTTCCTTCAAAACCACCCTTGTTGTGGCAGAAATCGCAGGCTGTGACATCTGTAGCCACCTACACGTCCCTTCCGGAGCATGCATGCTTTTTCTCCAAGATACCTGAGTCCGGGGGATTGTGGTATGGAGATCTACCTGTCTCACAGCTGCCCAAAACCACACTTCTGTCTGTAAGTTCCCCTCATAAATCACCCCAAACTGACAAACTGGATTTTTCTGCCTCTTTTGGTTTATTGGCTCTTTTGGCATTTGGGGGCTACTTTGCATGTATGATTTGACCCTTTCATGGAATTAGATAACTCAGTTTTCTTAAGTGACCAAGATCTAATAAAGCCAACATGAAGCACAGGGAATTTTGATAAAACACAAAAACTTTGTCTCCTGGAATAATTACTTAAAAATGTAAAGAAAAACTTTTTACTATTTCCTATTACTATTTCCTATTTAGTTTTATCTAAAACTCCAAGAAAACTTTGTTGTTATAACAGAGAGAACCAAATTGTAGTTTTGCATCAGTGTACTTTTAATACTAATGCTCAGTTTTTAGAAAAACTTATAACTAATTCCCTTCTAATTTTACCCAATTTGATCACACGTAAGATTCTTTTCCCAAGATTCATCTTCCACAAACTTCTACAACCTTCTTATATCTCTTCAGTTATTTGCCCTGTTCTTTTATTGTTTCTTACGTTGGGACAACCAGTCATTCTACTTTAGGATGAAATTTACTCCTTTTCCTTTAATATAAACACATCTTTCATGTAAGTTTCACTTATTACTTTCTTTGCATAAGGAGTTGTTTCCCTTACTATTTTTAGTTATAATTACAATATACTAATTAGAATTTTTCACTTGTAGTGACCTTAATTTCTAGGTAAGCAATTTTGAACAATTTATGTCAGCATTTTGTAGATGAGTACCATCTCATAATTTTTAGAAACATAGGTTTCATCAATTTCTGTTTATTAATAGCTCCAAATATATTTAGCTTCTCTATACCATGTAAAAACAAGATACCAAAGTATGTATACTTTAACTGATGTTCAGCAATTAATGTTTCAACATTTTAACTTCTATAGAAATGACTCAGACATTTCATAAATATCTATTACTTAATATAACATAACTTTAAGGTTTCAAGTTTCTGAAAAAAATGTGAAACCATAAAAAGTTTATTTATAAACATTTATCCCATTTGCATTTATCCAGTTTACTTGTTCTTAACATTTCTGTTTGAATTGCTCATGGAAAACAAGGCTAGCCATCATCTTAAGTTATTTCTTGACATAGTATCAAAAATATCACAGAAGCAAAGAAACTAAAAAGTTAAATATAGTTTTTCTCTCCTTTTTACTTCCATGACTGACATGCATCAAGCAATTAATTTTCTTTCTTCCTTTCTTCTTCTTTTTTTTTTTCAGACAGGGTCTCACTCTGCCGCTTAGGATAGAGTGCAGTGGTGCGATCATGGTCCACTGCAGCCTTGACCTCCTGGGCTCAAGGGATCCTCCCACCTCAGCTTCCTGAGCAGCTAGGACCTCATGTGTGCACCACCGTGCCTGGCTAATTTATTTTTTAACATTTTGTAGAGATGGGGTTGTTACTGGTGGAATGTGTCCGAGTTACCACAGGGATCTGCAGCAACCTCAATTCTTGGCTTCTCAGAAGAAAGACTGACTGAGGCAGAAAAAAAGACCGAGGCAAGTTTCAGAGCAGGAGTGGAAGTCTATTTTAAAAGTCTCTAGAACAGGAAAGAAAGGAAAGTATGCTTTGAAGAGTTCCAAGTGGGCACCGAGGTCAACTGTGATATTGAACCTTGATCCTAGGACTTTCCGGGCTGGTCCCTTTCCCGTGATCATTCCCTTAGGGTGGCCTGCCACATGCACAGTGCCCTCGTTATTCTTGTGAGGTGAGCAAGTGCAGTGTGTTTAGGAGGTTGTACGCATGCCCATCTGAGGCTTTCTTCCCTTTTCTGGTGGAGTGTCCCCAGAAGGTTATGCTCTGCCATTTGGTCTCTTAACGAGCATACCCGGGCAGTTGCTTCTTCCTAGCATCTGCATTCAATTAACATTTTAGTGCAACAGGTGTGGACCATCAGGAAATGGTCTCTCCCTTGCATCAGCTTTCAATTGACCACTTTTAGAGAGGCAAATGTGGTGACTGCCGAACCATCACTTGACATTCCTAGTGGGTGGGGGGAGAGCCCTCTCCAGCCCTGCTCATGCCTGTCTAACTACCTGTAACAGGGTCTCCTATGTTGCCCAGGCTGGTCTTCAACTCCTGGACTCAAGCGGTCCTCCCACCTTGACCTCCCCAAGTATTCGGATTATAGGTATGAGCCACTGAGTTCAGCCAAGCAATTTATTTTCATGAGGCATTCTGCTCTTGGGTTGAAACTTTAAACATAACAATGTTAGTTTTATAGCCTTAAACATCTAGGAGATAACATGCTTGTTTGAGAAGTAAATCTAGGTTTAAAAAAGTATGTTTGCATTATTACTAATGCTGACAATTTTTTTTTTCTTTCTTTCTTTCTTTTTTTTTTTTGAGACGGAGTTTCGCTCTTCTTGCCCAGGCTGGAGTGCAATGGTCCGACCTTGGCTCACTGCAACCTCTGCCTCCTGGGTTCAAGCGATTCTCCCGTCTCAACCTCCTGAGTAGCTGGGATACAGGCGCCTGCCACTATGCCTGGCTAATTTTTGGTATTTTTAGTAGAGACGGGGTTTCTCCATGTTGGCCAGGCTGTTCTCGAACTCCTGACCTTAGGTGATCCACCCGCCTCGGCCTCCCAAAGTGCTGGGATTACAGGTGTGAGCCACCATGCCCAGCCTTACTAATGCTGACAATTTTAAATATATTCCTGTTTTTATTTTACCAACAATTTCAAAACTAGCTTTATTTACCAATGATTATCTCAGATTACATGAACTAAAACTGAATTGAGTTAGTTTCTATTTTTCTGAGGGAATACTTATCTAAGTGTTTATTTTTTTCTTTATGTCAATTAAATAGAGTTCTTTATACATTTTGAAAAGATTGAAACCGCCACTGCAAAATTATAACAGAGAGAATTATAGTGGTGAAAGGGATCTGACCTAACCAGCTCCACCTTGCTTCTAACCTTGAAGCTGCCCTTGTTCATTCCTGGGTGCAGGTGCAGGCCAAACTAACTTTGGGAGGAACTTTTAGTTTAACTTTGAAACAAAGACGGTAACAGCCCTTTCTCAAAACAAACTCCCTTCCTGCCCAGGAACTAGACTGCTTTATAGGACTGACAAATTAGCCACAAGATTAGAAACTGTGGGTTTAGAAGTCATGCCCCTGGAGGCTGTAAGATTCTGACCTCCCAAATTGCTCCTGGGGATAATATCACTGTTGTAAAACCTAAGATCAGTACTTGAGATATTTTGCAGCACCCCCCACCCCGCCGCCCCGCACTTGATGGATCAGCTGGCACCATCAAGATTGATAAACTGGCTCATCTGGTCTTGTGAATCCCACCCAAACTGACTCAGCACAAGAGGACAACTTCAACTCCCTATGATTTCATCTCTAACCCAGCCAGTCAGCACTCGCGACTCACTGGCCCCTACCCACCAAATTATCCTTAAAAACCCCAGTCCCCAAATTCTCAGAGAGACTGATTTGAGTAATAATAAAATGCCAGTTTTCCATACAGCAGGCTCTGCATAAATTAAGCTCTTTCTCTATTGCAATTCTGTCTTGACAAATTGGCTCTGTCTAGGCAGCAGGCAAGGATAATCTGCTGCGTAGTTACAATATCATTCAAGGTAAAAAATATTACATATACAGGTCGGGCGCGGTGGCTCACGCCTGTAATCCCAGCACTTTGGGAGGCCAAGGTGGGTGGATCACAAGGTCAAGAGATGGAGACCATCCTGGCCAACATGGTGAAACTCGGCCTTTACTAAAAATACAAAAATTAGCCAGTCATGGTGGCACGTGACTGCAGTCCCAGCTACAGGCTGGGACTCAGGAGGCTGAGGCAGGGAATCTTTGGAATCCGGGAGGTGGAGGTTGCAGTGAGCTGAGATCGCACCACTGCACTCCAGCCTGGTGACAGAGCGAAGACTCCATCTCAAAATAAATAAATAAATAAATAAATAAATAAATAAATAAATAAATAAATAAATTTAAAAAAATTACATATACATAACACACATACATATATAGACATACATAAACATGCAGATAGAAGCAGATCTTAGAGCGTTCATTAAGAATGTTTCATTTGCCAGTTTCCAAAATTGTTTCTCTCCTCTTTAAGACTTTTAATTAATTAGTTAGCTTTTTGAGACAAGGTCTCGCTGTGTTGCCCAGGCTAGAGTGCAGTGGCGACATCTCAGCTCACTGCAACCTCCTCCTCCTGGGCTCAAGCCATCCTCCTACCTCGGCCTCCCAAGTAGCTGGAACTACAGGTGCATGCCAGCACATGCCAGGCTAATTTTTTGTAGAGACAGGGTCTTGCCATGTTGCCCAGGCTGGACTTGAACTCCTGGACCCAAGTGTTCCACTTGCTTCCCAAAGTGCTGGGATTACAGGCCCGAGCCACCTTGCTTGTCCATCCCCCTTTAAGACTATCAGTCTTTCAATTACCTGTTCCATTGCCCTAAGCCCAGCAGCGCTAAATTTGTCTTTTTTTTTTTTTTTTTTTTTTTTTTTTGAGACGTAGTCTCGCTCTGTCGCCCAGGCTGGATGGAGTGCAGTGGGCGATCTCTGCGCATTGCAACTTCCGCCTCCCGGGTTCACGCCATTCTTCTGCCTCAGCCTCCCGACTAGCTGGGACTACAGTCGCCCGCCACCACGCCCGGCTAATTTTTTGTATTTTTAGTGGAGAGGGAGTTTCACCATGTTGGCCAGGATGGTCTCTCGTTCTCCTGACCTCGTGATCCACCCGTCTTGGCCTCCCAAAGTGCTGCGGTTACAGGCGTGAGCCACCGCCCCCGGCCTAAATTCGTCCTTTTAAAAGAATGACTTGGCCGGGGGCACTGGCTCACGCCTGTAATCCCAGCACTTTGGGAGACCGAGGCAGGTGGATTACCTGAGGTCAGGACTTCGAGACCAGCCTGGCCAACATGGTGAAACCCCGTCTCTATTAAAAATACAAAAATTAGCCAGGCATGGTGGTGGCACACGCCTATAATCCTAGCTACTCAGGAGGCTGAGGGAGGAGAATTGCTTGAGCCTGGGAGACGGAGATTGCAGTGAGCCGAGATTGGACCACTGCACGCCAGCCTGGCCAACAGAGCAAGAATCTGTCTCAAAAAAAAAAAAAAAAAAAAAAAAAAGAATGACTTTAGGGGGAAAATTTACATCTCAGAGGTGATACAGACAGGTGGCAGCCAAGGCCTCCCCACCCCCATGAAACCCTGCCTTCAAGCCGAAAACAGCTTGAAGGCTGAAAAACCTGACTGCCAGTCCTGGATGAAGCCTGTCCTTTTCCCAGCTGATTCCTTCTGAATAATGCCCACCTGCCCACTGGAAGGAGGAGATGGGGCCTTGGGAAGTTCGCGCCATTTGCAGGGGGGAGGAGCCTGGCCTCTCCTGTTCCTCGGTGGTAACCTGCGATTCAGTTGGTGAGATGGAGAGCCTGTTAGCAGGACCTATCTCAGTTTGCTGTCTTGTTTTTTCCTTTTCACCCAATAAATTCCATTCCCCCTCACCTTCAAAGTGTCTGTCATGTGACAAGAACCTGGTTTTTGGCTGAACTAAGGAGAAAGTCCTACAGCAGATGTACAGAGAAACAATTCAAGTTTTTTGTTTTGTTTCGTTTTTATCTTATCTTTTTTTTTTTTTTTTTTTTGGAGACAGAGTCTCGCTCTGTCCCCCAGGCTGGAGTGCAGTGGCGCAATCTCGGCTCACTGCAACGTCTGCCTCCCGGGTTCAAGCGATTCTCCTGCCTCTGCCTCCCGAGTAGCTGGGACTACAGGCGTGTGCCACCACGCCTGGCTAATTTTTTGTATCTTTAGTAGAGATAGGGTTTCACCCTGTTAGCCAGGATGGTCTCTATCTCCTGACCTCGTGTTCCGCCTGCCTGGGCCTCCCAAAGTGCTGGGATTACAGGCGTGAGACACTGCGCTCAGCCTCAAGTTTTTTTTTTTTCCCCCGAGAAAGAACTTAGGGCATGTTGCCTATTATTAGCGGTCAGTTTGATAGAGACGGTGGACTACATTTTAGATCTGAATGTCTCCAAAGCTTATCTGGGTGGGCAAAACATCCATTTCTGCTAAAACTGAATTTGATGCACTTTCCTTTAATTTGGTCTTGAGGCTCTCTGGAGAGTGGCTTTGAATTCTAGCCCTGCTGTGATCGGATGCCGGGGAACTGATTGTGGATGTTTCTGGTGTGCCTCTTACAGGGCACTTCTGTGTCCTGGTGGGCAGCTTCATGCATAAATGCCTGACCTGGGGCCGGTGTCCCTCCCACAGGAAACTTGTTTGTGCTGGCTGATGCCCTTTTGGCTCTGTCTGACCTGTGTCCAGTTTACTCCTATCCAATTAGTCACTCTCTAGGAGAGCCCTGACTGGGAGGAGCTTTCGATTTTGGTGTGCCAGTCAGGTAGGAAACAAGAAGATTCAGAATGGATGCAGAGGCAATTTAAAATCACAGAAATTCACTACAGGCTTTTACAAGGACGTACGCAGAGAAGCCTAGGAGAAAATTCAGAAGCCTGTTCAAAGTAACCAGCGGAATGCCAGAAAGGCATATTTTGGAGATGAGTTTAGTTAGGTGGCTTTTCAATTTAGCTTTGTTTCTTAACTGGATTACTGAGTTCAGGGTGGGGCCCATTAACGAATTGGACAGATAAAGCATTTTCTATGTCTGGATTCAGCATGATGACTGCTTGACCAGAGGGCCTAGCTTTTATAAACATTTTATCCAGCTTTCTTTTTTTTTTTTTTTTTTTTGAGACAGAGTCTCATTCTGTCGCTAGCTTGGAATGGGGTGGTGTGATTTCAGCTCACTGCAACCTTCACCTCCTGGGTTCAAGTGATTGTCCTGCCTCAGCCTCCTGAGTAGCTGGGACTACAGGCACACACCACCACGCCCAGTTAATTTTTTTGTATTTTTAATAGAGATGGGGTTTCACCATATTGGCCAGGATGGTCTCGATCTCTTGACCTCGTGATCCGCCCACCTTGGCCTCCCAAAGTGGGAGGATTACAGGTGTGAGCCACCGCGCCTGGCCTATCCAGCTTTCTTTTCACCTTCAGGGCAGGACAGTAATGAAGCAAAAAGAAAAATATCGAAAAAGTTAGTAGATTTAATTTTCTTATCAGTCCCTGAAGCTTTTCATTTGTCTTTTGTAAACAGTCTCTTAAAAGAGGCAAAAATGTTTTCCTTGAAATTTTTTAGAAGCTTCTGTAGGCGTCCCTGGGTGAGACTAATTTTGGGAGCCCTCATTTTAAAATGCACTGCTTAAAGTGCAGTGTTGTTCATCTGGAAGGTCCCATGTGATGGCCATTGTAATTCTGAAATATCTATAGTAAGATTTTGGCCACTTTTGTAAATATTTGCGGCTTTGGGGGCCTAATGCTTATACATGTAAAGGCAAGTGTAGCCGGAAAGTGGATTACTCAGTTATTTAGAAATTAAGGATCCCATTTTTATGTTGAATCGTGGGCCTCTCAGGGCCAAGAAAAAAGCTTAACAGAGAAACGCCACGGGGTTGGATCGTGTGATGCTTTAGCTGTGTTCCTTCATTGCATGAAAGTTTTCTTGAGGCTGGTGGGTGGACTGATGTCAACTGCCCCATCCCATGACCCTTACCCCTGACGGAAGCCTTGTGTTTTGGCAGTGAGTGCTCTGATAACTCTTAAGTGCCTAATCCATGTCCACCAGTCGAGTTGTGGCTTTGGGGCTGAGATCCCCCTGGCCAACTTAGCCAATGATTTCCGCCTACGCAAGAGTGCAAGAAAAAGGAAGAGGATAGAACTCAAATTCCTGTGAATTCCTAAAGCTGAAGTTTGTGGCCCTGTAGTAATGACCATGTACTGCAACTGGTGTCAGTGACATTTAAAACCACAGCTCTGCCAGTGACTTTCAGCCACTGTAAACCCCAAGAGGTTTTACGTGGGTTCACAGCATAAACTAAACCCTGGATTTGAAAGCCGAAAAGATCAGGTGGTCCAATGCAAAAAGAGTAGCGTCTGACCCGAGAGGCACTGACTTACGATGTTCAGGGCTCTGTGTGGAACAGAGAGAGCCTCCAGAGGGTCAGCAGCACCTCTCCTGAACTCCTCAAGGAGTCCTGGGAGCCATGAGCCAGGTCCTTTGGGTCCCTTTGTGGTTGCCAGTGATACAGCCAAGTAAAAAGGGCTCCCTTAGAGCCTCTGATTGGCCTGTGCACTGGGAGGCGTGCGCTTTGGGGTGGAGCCTCAGAAAGTTTGTGCCGTTTCCAGGGGGCAGGAGCCTGGCCGCTTCTGTTCCCGGGGGGCACCCTGGGATTCAATCTGTGAGACTGTGAGATGGGGGCCTGTTAATAGGAACCTCTCTGGCTTTGCTGAATTTTTTTCCTTTTCGCCCAATACATTCCACTTTTCTCACCCTTCTATGTGTTCATAAGCCTAATCTTTCCTGGTCGTGTGACAAGGACCCCGTTTTTAGCTGAACTAAGGAAAAAGTCCTACAATGCCAGAATCATCAAAAGACAGAATTACAACAAATTTAGTTATAGATCTGATTGGCTTTTATTTGCAATTCATGAATCAGGGTAGCCTCCACTCAATAAACGAGACTGAGAGCTCTCACTGGGTAGTAACAGAACGGTGGGTTTTATGAGGTGGGAACGAGGAACAGAATAAGAGGGAAAAAAAGGCTGGTTAACATCGGGTAACTTCGGGTTACTTCTTTTTAAGGGTTAAAGCAGAAGGGCCTTCCTTATGATGATGACTCAGACTGGAATCTTCTGATTTCAGGAAGAACTGGTCTCTTTTGAGATCTGTTGCCTTAACATTTCGCTTTGACTCTGTGGTACTTAACATGAGTGTCTCTGTTTTGGTTTGATCTGGTCTGTCGAAGCCTAGAGTATTGAAGCTCAACCCAAAACAGTGGCCTCTCGTAATTTCTGTATAATACTATTTATTCTCTTGTGTTGCATTCCACCCCCATCTTTGGGAACTATTATACACATGTTGGGCATTCTAATCTATTAGGAATATGTTCTATATCTATCACTTTCTCTCAAATCTTTTCTTTTTACTTCTTCATTTGTATTCTATTTCATTTTTTTCTCCTTTTCACTCTGTATTTCTTATGGCATCTATTCACTTTTGTGTTTGTTAGTCTTCGTTTCTTTTTCTCTTTTTTTTTTTTTTGAGACAGGTCTTGCTCTGTCTGGAGTACAATGACACAAACCTATCTCACTGCAGCCTCGACCTCCTGAGCTCAATAGACCCTCCCAAAGTGCTGAGATTGGGATTATAGGCATGAGCCACTGCACCTGGCCAGTCTTCATTTCTTTTTTTTTTTTTTTTTTGGAGACGGAGTCTCGCTCTGTTGCCCAGGCTGGAGTGCAATGGTGTGATCTTGGTTCACTGCAACCTCTGCCTCCCAGGTTCAAGCAATTCTCCTGCCTCAGCCTCCTGAGTAGCTGGGATTACAGGTGTGCACCACCACGCTCGGCTAATTTTTTGTATCTTTAGTAGAGACGGGGTTTCACCATATTGGCCTGGCTGGTCTCAAACTCCTGACCTTGTGATCCACCCGCCTTTGCCTCCCAAAGTGCTGGGATTACAGGCATGAGCTGCTGTGCCCAGCCTCAGTCTTCATTTCTAAATTTAAAATTTTTATTTCTCACTTGTTCCTGAGCACTATCAGTGCTTTTGTCCTACGTCCTCCTACATTTAGCCATCTCATTTCTGGGCTTTTGTGATTCTGTTGCAGATTGTTGTTTCATAGCTGCTATCATTTTTTAAAGTTCCTTAGCTCATTTTGAAATATTAGGTTATGATTCTTTTCTTCTTGGAGCCATATATTTCTGATGTGTTTTTATTTTCATAGATATATTACCATGATTATTATTCTATTCTCTCTTAGTCTTTGACCACAATCTTTTTCTGTTTACTTATAGTTAAGTGGGATGGGTTTCCCTGTAATTTTAAGAGGAAGTTCTGTTGTTAAAAGACAATTTTCTTAAAAAATAAAATCAGGACTCTCATACAGATACAAAAATAAACATATGTTCAACATTACTTTACTTGCTAATCAATGAGAGAACCAGGCAGATGTTATAACTGGTTCAAAGAAAATGTCAGAAAAGCACAAATTTATGTGGAGTCAAGGAATGTGGAAATGAATTGCAAATGAAGACAAACCTCTGTGTGTGTGTGTGTGTGTGTGTGTGTGTGTGTGTGTGTTTGTGTGTAGGGGTGAGATAAATCAATGAAATCTCTATGAGATAGGGCAGAATCTGCATATCTACCACTTACATACTACTTTCAGAGTTAGAAAATAGCTCCCATACAATTAGAATCTAATAAGGCATAAGGGATGCACATAGATAATGCATAACTTTCTTTTCTCTCTTTTTTTTTTTTTCGAGATGGAGTCTCACTCTTTGCCCAGGCTGGAGTGCAGTGGCGTGATCTTGGCTCACTGAAACCTCCCCATCCTCGGTTCAAGTGATTCTCCTGCCTCAGCCTCTTGAGTAGCTGGGGTTACAGGCGCGCACCACCACTCCCAGCTAATTTTTGTATTTTTAGTAGAGACAGGGTTTCACCATGTTGGCCAGGTTGGTCTCGAACTCCTGACCTCAAGTGATCCACCCACCTCGGCCTTCCAAAGTGCTGGGATTACAGGCGTGAGCCACAGCACCTGGCCGATAGTGCATAGTTTTCTACTGAGGAATATGATTTTTTTTCTATACTGTGCAAGAGGTAGGGGTGGACCAGCATTCCTAGCCACTGTGAACTGTCCACCTTCATGCAGCAGAAAGGACTTGCCCAAACATTGTGCTAAGGAGCTTGACCAGACTTTAGCCTGGCTTCCACCTGTACTAGACCACGACCTTAAAGGTAACACCATCCCCTGTGCTGAGGCTTTGGTCAAAAAAACTCAATGCAGCCAAACTGCAAAGTGTTCATAGTTCCAACCCACATTGCCAAACCATTTTCAGTAATTCTTCACTTACATCCCTCTGTAGTATTCCATTTCCCCATAACTCCTTCTTATTTCCTCTTTGTTTTCCCTTTGAAAACCTCACTAAGTCACCTTTGTCTTAGTTGGAGTCGGGCTCTGTTTATGCTGGAGTCTCTCTTCCCTGCTGCAATAGTCAGGGTAAAATCTGTCTTGCCACCATTAATAAGGGTCCAGTGCTATTTCTCTTTGATATCTCACAGTCTATGGCTCTTCTGTTGCTTTCACAAACATTAAAAAATAGGACCTCTCAGCCGGGCGCGGTGGCTCACGCCTGTAATCCCAGCACTTTGGGAGGCTGAGGTGGCCGGATCACCTGAGGTTGGAAGTTCGAGATAAGCCTGACTAACATGGAGAAATCCTGTCTCTACTAAAAATACAAAAAATTAGCCAGGCATGGTGGTGCATGCCTGTAATTCCAGCTACTCAGGAGGCTGAGGCAGGACAATTGCTTGAACTTGGGAGGCTGAAGTTGTGGTAAGCCAAGATCATGCCATTGTCCTCCAGCTTGGGCAACAAGAGCAAAACTCTGTCTCAAAAAAAAAAAAAAAAAAAGGACCTTTCAGTGCAGCAGGTTCCCCAGTACTTTGAGAGATCTTTCTCCTCTGCTCACCACCCCACCCCCTTCCAAGTATCCTACGGATTTATAACAAAATCGAGTTTAAAGATCTTAATTGGCTTTTATTTGTGATTGTAGAATTGGGTAACACCTCATTCTGTAAAACAGAATAAGTGTTCCAATGAGCTCAGCAGATTTTGTAAGCAGAAAAGGGCTGAGAAAAGCAGAAACAAAAACACAAAAAGCAAATTTGTCATTTCGAAGTTACTTTTCTTATAAAGGGGAAAGCAGAGGGAATTTCTGTATCATGCTGGCTAAGACTGGCTGTTTGGAGATTTGGCGATTATCTCCCTCTCTCTTTCTTCTGATTTCTTGGAAGTTTAGATAAACAATTTCATTTCAGCTTGGTAGTGTGGAACTTTAGCATGAGGGACTCCTCTCTGGTTTGGTCTGTTGGGCCTGACTCAGGAGCTTCATCCAAACCAATTGCTCTACCTGGCAATTCCTACATTTTGGCCGGGATTTCACCTAGAAGAGGGTGTGACCAAAACCTAGGGCATCAACTCTACTCTCAGTCAACATCATCTTTGCTTTTTGGTGTCAAAATGTCATTTATAGGTTACACTGTCCTTGTTATCATTAATTTCTTGACATTTTCATCATTCCAACCAGAGACCATTCAATGTTCAGCAAATGGGTGCATGGAGGCATTTAAGGCTTTTTGAGAGGATACCATGAACCAAGGAGACTACTATTATGACTCTCAGGAGTATAATACCAAGAGTGTGGAGAATGCTCCTTAGCCAGGGGCATATTCCATGACCCAAACCGATGAAAATGAAATAGATCAAAGAATGAGCAACGAAACTCAAAATCAAATAGATCAAAGAATGAGCCAGATGAGAAGTCTTTCCATTTTAACCAAGTAGCCTGTTAGTTAATTTTTTCACTGAGTCTCTACAATACCCAATTTATTTATCCATATGTAACAGGAAGCATCAGCAACTGCATAGACTCCTTCCTGTTCAGTTAGTAGGGAAGTCTATTAACCAGTATCCCATGACTGGGTTAAATTAAAGCAGAGAGTGAGAACAAGTGGGGCTAGAAGTCTGACTCCATAAAAGCACAATTTGAACAACAGTTGCATTAGGGAAGCTGCTGAAGTTATTCACTGGGTGGACTAACAGATCCTTTAGGTCATGTAAAGGTTTGGGTTAGGCATGACAGATGCAATATTTTGACAAGTTAACCACAGAAATTCCAACTATAGCATTATCCTGCCAAGTGAAAAAGGTAGGCATAAAAGCAAAGAAAAATTAAGAGGGGTAAGAGTCTCGTTGTGACAGGGAGTTTTGTTCTGAAGTCTTGGGAGTAGCTATCCACAGCGTGAAGCTATCAGCTTCTCACCCCAGTTTGCAGTTTGAATATCATTGGTTATGGCTTTGGGCATTTTGGTGAACTCTCTGTGCAGCCCACACGCAAGGCATCAGGCATGAGACTTTCCCCTTGAAGTTTATATCCAGCTTCTGTTCATAGGACTTGAAGAGAGCAGTTTTTGTTCTTAGTTTGAGTTGTAGCCAGTCCAAAACCATGGCCTCCTATACATTTTATATAACGAAACTTTTCCTACCTTTACCTACAAATGTCCTACCCTGATCATCTTGCATTCTGTTCTCATCAGTGTCCCGTCCGTGTGGCTCTTTTCTCTTTGCATTTTGGAGACCCAGGAAAGCCCACAGAGCTGCGCTCCAGGAGACTCTTACCACTGTCAGTGCCCCCATTCCAGCTTCCTGTATTCTGGGATACTCAGTCACCTGACTGTGTTAAATATGGTGTCTGAGGCTTTTTTCTTTTGCTATCCTAGTTATTCTGTATGTGTTTGTGGGAGGAGTTGGGGAGATAAACTACATTGCCCCTGTCTTCACTGTCTTTAACTTGACCTTTTAGAAGAGACACATGCTATTTACAGGGTCCCTACAAGGCAGCTTCACCATTTTTTTTTTTTTTTTGAGACAGAGTCTGGCTCTATCGTCCAGGCTGGAGTGCAGTGGCACGATCTTGGCTCACTGCAACCTGCACCTCCTGGGCTCGGGTGATCCTCCTGCCTCAGCCACCTGAGTAGCTGGGATCACAGGTATACACCAACATGCCCGGCTAATTTTTGTACTTTTATTAGAGACAGGGTTTCACCACGTTGCCCGGGCTGGTCTCGAACACCTGACCTCAAGCGATTTCCCCCCTCAACTCCCCCAGCCTCTGCTTCGGCCTCCCAAAGTGCTGGGATTTCAGGCATGAGCCACCACGCCCAGCTGGGCTTCACTTTCTTACTCATGCACCCACAGGAGGTTTATTTCTGTGACTGCAGGACCAGCCCAAACTGAGCCTACTGTTAAGAAAGTGTCCTGTTACCTTGTAGGTAGAACAGAGACGAAACTTCAAGTCACTTAGTGAGGGCATGCGCAGTAGGATAAAGCTCTCAACAACACCCAGAACCAATGATCGATCCCTCCCCACAGGACCAGGAAGCCTGGGACTTGGTGGGAACCTGACAAATCGGAACCTGACGACCGGAACTCCACCACCGGAACTCCACCACGGGAACTCTTTCAGAAGCGAGGGGTCCATTGGTTAAAAAGATCCAGGACTAACATCCACCTCAGCATACCTTACCATAAATGGTCAGCTTCGAAGCCCTCCAATCAGACTCTGACAAGCCAACATTCCTAAATCCTTTCCCTTGCCCTCTGATCCCTAAAACTTGCTGCAGACCCCAAACTGGGGAGACAGTTTGGGACCCTGTTCTCCTTGCTGTCTGGCTTTGCAATAAAGCCTTTTTTTTCTCAAGCGCTGGTGCTATGGTATTGGCTTCCGTGCACATCCGGCAGCAAGCCCATTTGCTGGATAACATTTCCACACAGCCTTTATTTTACTGCATCTATTTCTGATACTCAGCTCTGGCTCAGCGTGTGTCTCAGAAGCTATATTCTTATATTTTTCACTTTATAATACCAAATAAGATGCTCCTTCCTTCCTTCCTTCATTTCTTTTTTCTTTTTTTCTCTCCTTCCTTCCTTTTCTTCTTTCGTCTTTTTCTAAATTTCTTTCTAGTAAAAAGAATGGAATTCAATGCCTCCCTCATTCAATTTCTAGGACCTTCTTGAACTCTGTTCAATTTCCTCATCTGTAAAATGGAAATAATATGAACACATCAACTTTGAGGAGATGAAGTGTAACCCTCAGTCAGTGCCTTTCTGCCTCTCTAATTGGTCATAAGATTGAAACTTAAGTAGATTTTCAAGTGTTTTGTTTGCATTTAATGAATAACTTTAGTTTGTTTTGTTTTTTAAAAACAGACATGTACAGATGTTTAAAAATTCCTCTTTGAAGAAATACCCCCACTCCCCGCATTGGGTGGAGAAGAAAGAAAGAAAAGGAAACCAGGAATTCAGTTGCTTTTTTCTTCAGCGGCTGCCAGTCACAGCTCCCTCTCTCTGGGTCTGAGTCCCTCACAGGAAAAGAGAAAAAAGAAGAAAAAGGGCTTTCTGCCCACAATTTGAATTAACCCCTTTTATGACCATATTTCTTTTCCCTCCTGTATTGATATCTTCCTGTGCCACATTTTAGCCTTTTGCAAAAACTGCCAGGAATGATTAGAAGGGAGAACAAAAGGATTGGGGACTCTGAAAGGTAAAGACTCCACACATTTGAATTCAATTACCTCTTTTATGATGCAAATATGCCCCCTTTGATTCTGCCTTCCTTGTATGATTAAATGGGAAGTCTCTTAGGATAAATGGAGCATAGATGCAGAAATTAAGGCTCAACATTTCCCAAGTCCCTTTACCTTGGAAGCCAAGTAACTCTCCACCCCACACCCCCAACTGTTTTCTTTAAAACGTGGTTCGTGTTCCCCGGGGTGGTGGGGGGAAATAAAATTTTCAATTATTGTTCCTGGCTTAGAGCTAAAAACAAAAAACAAAAAACAAAACCCCAATCTTCTGGTTTCCCAAAGCTCACTCCATCCCCTAGGTTAGATCCGGGTGGTGTTTCCCGCCTGATAAAGGAAATACCTGGCTTGCATTTTGCTGAGGGCTTCCTGTGTACAGGGCATGGTGCCAACCTCTCCCCATGCTTTATCTTGTTTCTCCTCCCAGCAGCTCACAAGGTGGGCACTTGCTATGATTATCCTATTTTGCAGATGAAGAATCTGAGATTTGCCCAGGTAGAGTAGCTTAGCTACTGCCAAAACCAGGATTTAAACCTAGAGAAAGGTTCAAACAGCTGTAGCCACGCTATAGTATGCGAAGAATCCCAAGGGCTTTCAGACAAGGACTCAAGCCTGTTTTCTCTTCTTTTAATTTTTAAAATATTACATTGAGACATGAAGACTGAATATATTCAAGGTGTACAAAGTGGTGATTTTGTTACAGTAGGTAGTCAGGCAGACATGAGCAGGAGAGGAGAGGGTCCCCCTTCCTTCCCACCAGGAATGGGAGGTGACCATCAGGTGATGGTCAGGCAGTTGTGAACTGTGTCTCTAAAATAATACTTGGTGGCAGCCGGCGCCAGGGAAAGGCCGTCTCCCAATAGATATAAACACCTGGGGCCGGGTGCGGTGGCTTACGCCTGTAATCCCAGCACTTTGGGAGGCCGAGGCGGGTGGATCACGAGGTCAGGAGATCGAGACCATCCTGGCTAACGCGGTGAAACCCCGTCTCTACTAAAAAAATACAAAAAATTAGCCGGGCGCAGTGGCGGGCACCTGTAGCCCCAGCTACTCGGGAGACTGAGGCAGGAGAATGGCGTGAACCCGGGAGGCAGAGCTTGCAGTGTGCCTAGATGGGGCCACTGCACTCCAGCCTGGGTGACAGAACAAGACTCCGCGTCTCAAAAACAAAAACAAAAACAAAAACACACCTGAAATTGGTGATCAGCAGCTTCCCAATAAGATAGCAAAAGTTGGGCGAGTGGGCTCAAGCATGCACACTAAGAGGCAACATGGCAGGATTTAAACACTTGGCTGGTAAGGGAAGAATGCCTCAAACGAGCATGCATACAACTCCAGTAAACACACTGAGCCTGCAGCCCCTCCCAAATGCTAGCAGGCCACTGTGCATGCAGACAGCCCATCCGAGGGAAGAATCAGGGAAGTAATGCAACCCTGGAAGCGTGTCAACATGTAAAACCCCAAGTCAAAGGAACAGCACAGTTGAATCTCTGAAGTCACCTGCTTGGCCCTCTTCCAGTTTACTTCTTTTCATTCCTGCTCTAAACTTTTCTTTTCTTTCTTTCTTTTTTTTTTTTTTTTGAGACAGTCTTGCTCTGTCGCCCAGGCTGGAGTGCAGTGACGTGATCTTAACTCACTGCAACCTCCGCTTTCTGGGCTCAAGCGATTCTCCTGCCTCAGCCTCCTGAGTAGCTGGGATTATAGGCACGCGCCACCACACCCGGCTAATTTTTGTATTTTTATAGAGATGGGGTTTCACCATGTTGGTCAGGCTGGTCTCGAACTCCTGATCTTGTGATCTGTCCACCTCAGTCTCCCAAAGTGCTGGGATTATAGGTGTGAGCCACTGCACCCGGCTGCTCTAAACTTTTTAATTAACTTTTGCTTCTGCTCTAAAACTTGACTCTGTCTCTCACTCTGCTTTCTATCCCTCAGTCGAATTCTTTCTTCTGAGAAAGCAAGAGCTGAGGTTGCTGCAGACCCATACAAATTCGCCATTGTTAACAATTTCATGTACATATATGTTGTGTTTTAGGGGAGGAATAATGACTTCCCTCCACTCTTCTAGGTTCATTGGCTAGGCTATGAATTAAATTGACATAGGACAGACTAACAGGAGAAAAACTAATTACATATGTATGCACAGGAGTTCCACAGAATATGACACTGGAGGAATGATCAGATGATTGAAGCTTATATAGCATCCTGAGCTACAGAAATGAATAGGAACTTGGGGCTTCTGGAGGGTGGTAGAGATACTAGTTATGGGAGGGTGAGGGAGGAAATGCATGGGGATAAACGCTGTCCTGTTATACAGACAAAAAGTCTCTCAGGTAATGAAAATTGTCTGGAGCAGCTCTTAGAAGAACAGGTGGTAATCTGTCTGGGCTGGTGTCAACCTCCAGCTGCCTCTCCTGTGCTCCCAATTTATCCTTCCTGGTTGATAAAATCCCCAGGGAGATGCCTAACAATTGAGTTTCTTTCTCTTTTTCTTTTCCTTTTCCTTTTTTTTTTTTTTTTTTTGAGACAGGGTCTCAGTCTGTCACCCAGGCTGGAGTGCAGTGGTGTGAACATGGCTCACTGCTGTCAAGCCTGGTTTTTGCTTCATTCTGTATCTTGAACTTCTGGAAGCAGAGAGAAACATAAAAATGGGCACAGTGTGCTCTAAAGAAAAAGAAAGAATGAGTGAAAGATGAATAAATAAATGACCAAATCAACGTAAGAACAATGCATGAAGATCAAGCAGAAAGACCCTGGGCTTTGGAATCAAAAGAGATGTCTGGGTTCTAGTCTCAGCCAGGCCAGGGCCTTGCAGGACAGCCTCTCTGGGTCTTGATTTGCCCTTCCATCAAATAGTGTCATAAACACTTCCTCTTAAGGTTGTGGGGATAATAAAGTAGTCAAATAACCTGTGCGGAAGCTCTTTGTTAATTTAATAGCATTTTGTATAGGGAGACATGCAATGTCTTGTCCAAACCAGGACAGTTGAGAATGAAAGGGAGCACTACTAACAATGAATGAAGTCCATCTGAAGGCCAACCATTCTCATTCTACATATGCAAATTGTCACTTTGGCTTCTGTCATGAGGAGTGCCAGGTTAGAAATAGCCAGGTCCACACATGCTTGTGTCTTTCCACAGTGTCAGCCTTGTATTGATGGTGATTCCATCACAAAAGCCACGAGCTCTGTGGAGTTCCCAAGGAGGCAGTTCTCCTTAATACTTCCCATTTACTCCGTAGTCAGAGCTGCGGGCACTCCGTAAGTCAGTCAATACTGCAAACCATGCGTGATAGTGTACTTGAAGTGTTATAGATTAAACACTCCACACAAACAATATAGCATTTAACATCAAGAGGAAAAAGAGATAGGAGAAAGGGTTAATAAATGAGTCCAGGGGGAGCGAGGAAGACACAAGTTGTCGTGTTCTGGGCTGGGCAGTCTGTTGGTCTTGCAAGGAAGAGTCTTTGAGGTGGCAGAGCCTTTGGCAGCAGATGCCAAGTTCTTATCACAAGTGACAGCAAGATGGTGTCAGTTAAGACTACCATTTTGAGCTGCTGAAGGCCTAATCTTTTATAGTCACAGAGTTCTCTGGTGAGAACTGATAGCGGAAGAGATTGCTTGTTTGTGTCCTTATCTGGTTGGATGCAGTCTTTACTTTTTAAATTTGTTTATTAAACAAAACATCTTATCCTTGTTGGCAGAGTGCCCTATGAATTATCAAGTGGAGCCTTTTCCTGAGATGGAGTTAGTTATGTCAAGGGTACTCCATACAACTTCCCTAAGAACAGAAGAGACATCCTTCTGGTCTAGAGGAAAGCCCTTGGGAGGTGTCTAATAAAGTTATGAACTCAGTCTTCTTTTTTTTTTTTTTTTTTGAGACAGAGTCTCACTCTGTTGCCCAGGCTGGAGTGCAATGGTGCCATCTCAGCTCACTGCTACCTCCACCTCCCGGGTTCAAGCTATTCCCATGTCTCAGCCTCCCGAGTAGCTGGGATTACAGGCACCTGCCACCATGCCTGGCTAATTTTTGTATTTTTAGTAGAGATGGGGTTTTGCCATTTGGTCAGGTTGGTCTCGAACTCCTGACCTCAGAGGATCCACCCGACTCTGCCTCCCAAAGTGCTGGGATTACAGGCGTGAGCCACCGCGCCCAGTCTTCGAACTCAGCCTTCTTGGTGCCTGACTTTGAATGCTGGCCTGCCCCACCCACTCACCAGGCTTCCAAACCACTTCATAGAATCGTGCCATTTTCAGTTCAATTCCACAAAGGTTTAGATGATTGACAGCAGAGTCTTATTTTGTGTATTTGCATCCCATTTCTGCCTCTTACAGGCTGTAGGATTTTTGAGTAAGATATATACCTCTCTTTGCCTCAGTTTTGTTCCCTGCAAAATGGGATATTCATATCCAAGTTCATGAGTTGTGTGAGGATTACATGCTTAGCACAGTCCCTGGCCATGACAGCCCTTAATAAAATAACTGGTCTTTCCTCTTCTTTCCATGAAGCCCGTTAGGGTATTTATCAAAATTCGAGCATCACAGAAGACAATGAGAATTGGACTGAGTTGTCGTGGTCTATATATTTACGTGAATAACACAAGATAATATACCCTGTTACCCGTGTTTGTCATTACAGTAACCATAATGGGAACTGGAGCAGAAGGAATGCTCCCCACACCCTCCTGGCTGTCCTGAGTTGGCCTGCAAGCTGACCATGCTCCTTCTCGAACACTGGGCTCTCTTCACTGGGCTGAGGGTTTCCCTCTTCACACAAGTGCACCCAGATGTGCTGTGGGGCTTGTCACTGCCTCCCAGGGCATCCCTTACAAATGAGGCTTGGGAGTCTGGGGACAAGCCCTCCAGCTTCCCGGCAGTTCTCATGCATATTCCACACTGTTTCTCAGAGGGCCTGAGCCCTAGGTGCCCACAGTAGGAAGCCACTTGGGATGACAACTTTTAGTGGCTTTTCTCCTTTCACTCTTCCAACTGTGCTTCCTGGGATTACCTCATAAGTCAACCTTGAAGTAGAGTCAAGAAGTCCTACTCTTTAAGGGACCCACAATGAGATGGTAACTAAGCCATATTAAGAGCTGGCTTTGTGCCAGGTGCGGAGCTGAGCATACTGCCTGTGATCCTCATGAAATCCTCATTAGGCAGGTACTATTATTATTCCCATTTGCAGATGAGAAAACAGGCTCAAAGAGGTAAGTGACTGTCCCAAATTCACACAGTGACTTATTTTCCAGGACATGGTGCCTGGGCTGGAAGCCAGGTTTGTGCTGGTTGATTCTGTTTTGATTTCATTTCAAAATCAAATTCTTGCTCTGGTCTATTTCATGCGTTGGATCTGCTGAATCTCCTACACAGATGAGACTTCGGAGACCAGCTCCTTGGGGGTGACAGTGGGCTAGAGAATATCTAGACCATGGAGGTCTACAGTTGAAAGTCTGTGGCTGTGAGGTATAGATGAAATTGAGATTCTGACTGACAGAAGAGCTAAGCAGAGCCTCTGGGGCAAGAAGGGTGACTAACCCTGTGTGACTTGGAGACGCAGGCACCCTGCTGGGAACTTCCCCATGCTGTTCTCAGAAGCAGAGAAGCCCCACTCTTCCTCTAACCTGCTGCACCTTCCAAACCCAGGTCTTTGCCTTTCAGGGCCTGTTGATCTTGGGGAAGCCAAAGCAGCTCTTCCCGTGCTATCTGCACAGTGAGTGCTTTCCTTTACTTGGTCAATCAAGTCCCCAAGGCAGGACTTTGAGGGACACCATACTGAGGGGAAGCCCTTAATTTGAGCTCTTGTTAATGAATTTGTGACTAGACCAGGAAACTTCATTCCAAAATTGGACAAATTCCAGGAAGGAAAGTTCATTTTTCAAATCTAGAGGAAATTAGAGCCTGGAAAACATCCAGGGGAAAGGACAGAGCAGTGAGAAGCGTGTCTTCCCCTGTGGAGGGTGCAGATCCGATCCCCAAACCCAATCTTGATTCCATCTCTTCCTGGCTGTGCTTCCCCTCTCCCCACACACAAGGTGAGCCACATCATCCTTCTGTTCCTGTTTCCTCACCTATAACGTGGAGTGCTATCGGTTGCTATCTGATAGGATTGCTGTAGAGACTAAATGGCAAGGCACATAGATCCCTTAGCACAGTGCCTGATGTATAATACATGCTCAGTAAATGTTAGCCAAGCAAAGGGCATATTGGGCACAGCAGCTATGAAAGGTAAAAGGGAGGAAAACCTTCAGACTGTGATGCGGAGCTGACATTCTGTGAATGCAGCACAAAGTCCTAGAGCAAAGATGGGTTTTAGAAGAATCCCACATTTGACAGAAATGGCCCAGCCCAAGTACCCCCACCATGCTCAGTCACTGGCTGAGGGGGGCTTCCTGGGAAGAGTATGGCCTTGGCTAGAACTTGCATGCAGAGACGGACCCTGAAAGCTGTAGCAGAAGGAGCAGCCAGTTGCATGTCTTGTAGCTGAAAGGCACACTCTTCCTGAAGGGAGATTGGAGCATGCACCTTTGTGGCTGCCGCCGGGAGTCCCCTCTGAAGCACACCCAGTTCTTGGCCTTGCTCAGGTCTGCAACGTCCTTAAAGAGATTGTTTTTCTTCTGGTCTTCATGCAGCTTTTGGAAAATTCTCTCCCTACTGGTGGGACCTGTCTTTCACTAGCATTTCCTTCCATTCCTCCAGCAATGCATTGTCCTCAGTTCCTCCTCTGTGTAAGGTAAAGCCTCAGAGAGCAGGGCCCTGTGGGACAGCTTGGGGGCGGGGGGCCGTGGCTCCAGCTCTTCCAGCGCAGTCTCAGGTGGTTGTCCTCCAAATCCACCCTTTTTTTTTTTTAAAAACAAAGTTTCGCTCTGTAACCCAGGCTTTAGTGCAATGGTGCAATCTTGGCTCACTGCAACCTCAGCCTCCTGGATTCAAGCGATTCTCATGTCTCAGCCTTTCCAGTAGCTGGGATTAGAAGCATGTGCCAACACACCCGGCTGATTTTTGTATTTTTAGTAGAGATGGGGTTTCGTCATGCTGTCCAGGCAGTTCTCGAACTCCTGGCCTCAAGTAATCCACCCGCCTGGCCTCCCAAAGTGCTGGGATTACAGGCCTGAGCCACCACGCCCAGCCCAAATCCACTCTTTGACATCTCCCCACCTCTGTGCCGTGGATACATCATTCTGTCATCTCAGTTGTCCAGCCGCTAGGTGAGGATCAGGTTCTGCTTCCCTCTGTCTCTGACTCTCATACATGTTGTGGTGAATTGAAATTGGCCACACATTCCTTACTACTGCTCCCATCAAGAGGCGAGCTCCAAGCCTCCTGCCTGGCTGGCTGACTCTGGGTTTATCCATGTGACTTGGCCAGTGGGACATCAGCAAACATGACCCAAGCAGAGCCTGGTGTATTGCTGTCCTGAGGCCACTGTGCAAGAAAGCCAGTTTGGCCTTTTGCGGGAGGAGAGGCCGTGGGGAGGAGCACTGAGGTGCCCCAGCCAACAGCCAGCACCTACTACCAAGCATGTGGCTGAGGCCATCTCGGAACTGCTGGCAACTGAATGCAGCTACATGAGTGAGCCCAGGTGGGACCAGCCAGAGAATGGCCCAACCAACCCACAGACTCAGGATAAATAATAAAGGCCTTGTCATTTTAAGGCACTGTGTTTGGAGGGGTTTATTACTCAGTAATAGTTAATACACATGTACCCATAAAACACCTTCCAAGGTGAAAAGATAATTCTCTGAAACCTTACAATTTAAGTCCACCAGGGGCAAAAGACATGTTTCCTGGCTGCTGCGTATTTGCAAGGCTGCCCTCCTGCAGAGAGGTCAAAGGAGTCACAATTTCACATCATGCAGCGGAGCAGAGTCCCTCTCCTCCACCCCTCTGCTCTCACACAGTACCTGCAGCATTTGGGAATGAGAAACAGGCCCATCACAGAGCCAGAAGTGTGACATACACTCTCACAGCTACCAAAGACTAGCAGGATCCTGGAATTATCACATGGAAGCAATTGCTTCAGGGTCATGCCCATCCCTAGTCCCTGTGGGAGAGGAAATGAAGGAGAAATCTTCTTTTGGATGCATGAGGAGCTTATGCTTTAGAAGTTAGCCAAATTGTGTGTGTGCTTGACTTCTTTGTTAATTAATGCATTCAGCAACCCCTTATTGAGGGTCGGCTATATGCCAGGCATCCTGGATATTTTCTCAGAGGAAAAGGATGCCTACTTTGACTCAAATATGAACCAAGAGGCAAGCAAAGATTCTTCTCAGAGAGTAATTTAGCATTCTCTAGGTCAGGGACATAAGGCACTTTGCCAGTGGGACAAACTGTGACTCCAGCTCTTCCAGCACAGTCTCAGGTGGTTGTCCTCCAAATCCACTCTTTTTTTTTTTTTTTTTTTTTTAAACAAAGTTTCACTCTGTCACCCAGGCTTTAGTGCAATGGTGCAATCTTGGCTCACTGTAACCTCTGCCTCCCGGATTCAAGTGATTCTCATGTCTCAGCCTTTCCAGTAGCTGGGAGTACAAGCGTGTCCAAGTATGCTTTTTGACTACTTCATAAAGCATAGACTAAGAAATTTCAAAGGAAAAGATGCTAAAAATTAAAGGTATTTTATTTTTTCTCATTATGAAAGTAACAGCTACTCATTGCAAAACATTTAGAAAGCACAAAAAGTATAAAACAGAATAACTCTCACTTGCAAGCTTGTTGTCACTAAGAGTTTGGTGTTATCCTTGGTTTCATCCTGGCTTCAAGAGACGCCATTTAAACTGGGCTTTGAAAAGTGGGTAAGAGTTTGCCAGGAAAATCAAAGATGGAAAGGCCTTCCAGAAAGAAGAAATGGCATGTGCACAGGCTCAGAGATGTGAAAGTGGTGCAGGGTCATGGTTTGGAAAAGCTGACAGGAAGAGGACAGAGGGCCAGAGAAAGGACAGTGGCTTTGACAGGCTGGCAGGGATGTGGTCATGGAGGACCTCAAATAGTAGATCAAGGAGCCAGGAGTTTATCCTGGTGGCAACGAGAGACCAAAGGGCTTTAGGGGCGAGTGTGAGTGTTCTGGTAGTGTGGAGGATGGACCGGAAGGGGAAAGTCTGGGAGCAGGAGTCTGTGGAGGCTCTGGTCCAATAGGGAGAGAAAATGGTCTGAAATAGGGTGGTGATCATGGAAGCCACAGATGTTCACCTCAAGGGGTGAGAAAGCAAACCGAAAAAGAGGTACCTTTAGATTTTCATTCTCACAAAGACAATGATATCCTGTTGGGGAAATGGCCCTGTGGCTAGGGTGAAAATTGGTACCGCCTTTTTGGCAGACAGTTCATTTATTAGCTGTATTATTTGAAGCAAGAACCCAACCTCTCTAGGCCTTAATGCTATTGCATGAAAATGAAGATAACAATAAAATGTATCTTACAGGACTGTTGGAAGGACTAAATAAGATAATGAATATAATGTTCTTATAATGCCTGGCATATCAAAGTAAGTGCTAAATGCAGTTAGCAAGATGATTATCATCATCATTATCATTAAAAAATGTACATGCTCAGGCCGGGTGCAGTGGCTCGCGCCTGTAATCCCAGCACTTTGGGAGGCCAAGGCGGGTGGATCACGAGGTCAGGAGATCGAGACCATCCTGGCTAACATGGTGAAACCTTATCTCTACTAAAAATAGAAAATATTAGCCAGGTGTGGTGGCAGGCGCCTACAGTCCCAGCTACTTGGGAGGCTGAGACAGGAGAATTGCCTGAAGCCGGGAGGTGGAGGCTGCGGTGAGCCGAGATCATGCCACTGCACTCCAGCCTGGGTGACGAAGTGAGACTCCATCTCAAAAAAAAAAAAAAAAAAGAAATGTATATGCTCACATCCTATGAACTAGCTAATCTCACTTCTAGGAACCTCTTTTACAGAAACAATAGCACAAGAATATAAAGCTATGCACAAGGGGACTCATGACAGCATTTTTTTTGTGTGTGTGTAGTAGCAAAATTGTGGAAATAAATGTTCATCAATAGGGGAATGATAAATAAATTATAGGAATTAGTATGTCAGAATTCTATGAAGCTCTTAAAAATGAGAAAGATTAATATATTTTGTCTTGAAAAAAGTTCATGGCATATTTTTAAGGAGAAAAAAATAAGGTTGTAGTATAATTTGTATAACAGGATTTAATTTTTACAGACAATTCAAAAGCAGAAACATTTACAGATGAGCATAATGTTTGTATGAGCCTATGCTAGGCCTGGATGAACACACAGGAAATTGTACCCAGCAGGAGATGGCGGCATGCAGCGTTGGGATGTACTTCGGTGCTATCTTATTCTTATGAGAAAGTATTATTTTACTTTTAATTTTATTTTTATTTTTTAGAGACAGGATCTGTCTCTGTCACCCAGGCTGGAGTGCAGTGGCACGATCATAGCTCACTACAGCCTCAAACTCCTTGGCTTAAGTGATCCTCCTGCCCCAGCCTCTGAAGTAGCTGGGACCATAGCTGCTTGGGAGGTATGCCCACCACACCTGGCTAACTTTTAATTTTTTTGTAGAGACAGGGTCTTGCTATGCCCTATCTTGAACTCCTATGCTCAAGCCATCCTCTGCCTCAGCCTCCCAAAGTGCTAGGATGTGAACCACTGCGTGTGGCCTATTATATTTATAGTAAAAATAAACCAAGTTTTTTAGGTCAGAGAGGTTGAGGTGTGAAGGAGGGCAGAGGGAAGAAGAAGAGTTTGAGGTGGAGCGAGGATGGGAGCGGAGATGGGAATGAATGGAGGAGGCAGGTGCACGCCGGAATAAAGCACGCCGCAGGGCTCCAGACACATCATCTTTCAAATTGCAAACTCCATTCATACTGGAGTCTTTGCCGAGCCATGTTCCCAGTAGCAAATGAATTGCTGTGCGGGGACATCTGCTGCTTGCATTCAGCCTCATTTAGGTTCCTTCTCCCAGGCCAGTCTGAATGGAGTCTTGGTTGTGGTTACCTTGGGATCAGGGCTGGCCTGCCCCTCCCTCTGATGAAACGCAAGTGAAGGGGGACCTGGGCAGATGTTGGTGTATTGACCAGGAGGCCCTAGAGCCAGATGGGCAGGCTCAGTTCTGCCTCTGCCGTTTATTAACTGGCTGATCTTGGGCAAGTTACCTCAATGCTCTATGCCATAACTTCATCTGTGTAGCAGGGGATAACTAGTTATTTCACAGGGTTGTTGTGAGATTAAATGAGGTGTTGTCTAAGGCAAAATAACTGTTCAATGAATTTTAGCCACCACTATCTGTAAACAGGGGCACACTGGATTTAAATGAGATAATAAATGTCAATATTCTTAGCTCAGGTCTGGGCATTCACATCAGTATAATGCATTTAAAAACACCATCCATCAACCTCCAAAGTTATTAAAGTAGATCAAAGCACAATTCTATCTCTAGAACAGCAATTCTCAATCCTGACTGCACCTCAGACTGGCCTGGGGAGCTCAAAATTCCAATTCCCAGGCCTCCCTTGGGTATTGAGATATAATAGGTTTGGATGGGGCCTGAGCAACAGATACTTGGAAACGCTTGGCAGGTGATTTTGGAAGGAAGCCAGGGATGAGAAGCCTTGCTCTACACTGAAATGGGCATGTCCTGTCCATGCTCAGCCAACTTTTAAGGATGGCGTCTTCCATCACTGCCTTTCTCTGCATCTTCTCTCTCCAAAACTGCCTCTTGCCCACTCACCACTCTCAGTTGCTGTGGACCCTCTCTATCTGCCCCCTCTTCTTACTCTCTCTGCTTTTTATTGTGAGGCTCAACTTAGCTGCTTAGGATTCTTTTGTTAATTCCCTATGACCCAGATTTTGTCTTGCAAATGAGCGCAGGTAGCTGAGCTTCCCAGGAAAGTTGAATACAGCCTCATCTTCTCTCTTGGTTATGGTATCTTCTTCCTCCTCATTGGATCTTGATGATCACTGGACTTCCTGTTGTGACTCACCCCTCAGTGAGGGAACCAGATCAGAGGAAAATGTTCTTCTTGGTTCCTGTCCTCCTCACACGTGTCTGCACCTGCACCCTCATGTCCTACCCAGCGCCCAGCCCTTCTCTCACTCACCTGATGCTGCTCCACTCCAGAAGTGGGTCCCAGGATCCCCCCTCCTACATTCTGGATGAAAATTATTATTTAGAGTTTGTATCATGAGGTTGGGTCTTTTGCATTCAATGGAGTTGGCATTTTCTTCTCTAATTTTAATTTTTTTTTTAAATTGTTCTCTCAGCTACCATCTTTCCTGGAGATAGTATTTTTATAATCAGAATAAGATGCATTTTTTAAGATACATTTTTATTATTAACGGGAATAAGAGGGCAGAACTTGTTCTTGATTGCAATCAAACATGATGAAAATGATTTCCTGGCCCCTGGAAACCAGCTGAGATGACTCCCCTGGACTACTAATTTTTGCCAGGCTGACACTGTGGCCGTGCTGGAGATGGCTCGCTTATCTGTCTTTTCCATCTGAATGTTATTGCAGAGAAATAAAAGGACAAATAAAAAAGGATGAGTTCATGTCCTTTGCAGGGACATGGATGAAGCTGGAAACCATCATTCTGAGCAAACTATCACAAGGACAGAAAACCAAACACTGCACATTCTCACTCATAGGTGGGAATTGAACAATGAGATCACTTGGACACAGGGCAGGGAACATCACACACCGGGGCCAGTCAGGGGGTGTGGGGCTGGGGGAGGGATAGCATTAGGATAAATACCTAATGTAAATGATGAGTTGATGGGTGCAGCAAACCAATATGGCACATGTATACCTATGTATCAAACCTGCACGTTGTGCACATGTACCTTAGAACTTAAAGTATATAAAAAATAAAAAGAAATAAAAGGACAAGGGAAGGCAAGTCACACATACTGGGCATTGACTCAGGGTTCTCTGTTTACCCCTTTTAATCTTCACAAAAAGACTGTAAGGTAGCTTTTATTGTACTCATTTTATAGAGGAGAAAACTGAGGACCAGAGAAGGCAAGTGGCTTGTCTCGTATCACAGAAACAGTGGCAGAGCTAAGATTTAACTACTGCTCCTTCTCTGCACAAAACTTTTCCGAAGGAGCCCCAACTTTTAGGATGAAATCCATGCTGCTTCTGTGGGCACTGCAGGGCCCTCATGACTTGGCATCCTGGTGGGATCTTCCTGCACACTACTCTCAGCCACACTTTCCCTGGTCTCCAGGTCTTAGTATGCACTGTCTCCTAGACAGTGCATACCTAGAAGCCCTGGTTTTTTTTCTGCCATTTGCTGCTCCCAGTGAGGAGGTCCTGCTCATCCTTCTGGTGTGGCTGAGGTTTCATCCCCTAAGGCCCTCCCTGTTCCCTGCTCCCTTCCCACCGCCAAGGTTCAGGGCTCAGCCTCCGTGCTCCTGCAGAACCTGGTGTTAATTGACCTGTGTGTCACAGTGCTGACGATGCTGAGGGCAAGGACAGGGGCTGGTCCACCCTGGTTTTTTGTCCTCTCCTCCCACCCCCAACCAGATGCCCGGTACAATGTACCCTAAAGAAATGCATCCGGAATGGACAAATCCACTCCTATCCGTGGGACGCCAAGCCAGGGCATCTTCCCAGCTTGCCGCAGCGGGAGAGACCATATCTTTCTTGTAGCTTCCGCTGCCTCTTTCCTGACTTCGCCTGGTAGATGCACGTCCGCGGGAGGCAAGCGGTTGCCCTGGGCCACCTGCCGGCAGCTGCGGGGAGCGCCCGGCTCCGGCAGCGCGATCTTGCAGACAATGCTGCGCCCTGGCGTCGCCTCTCAGCGCTGCGCCGCTCTCCTGGCTCGGAAATCAGAGCCTGATTCAGGCCTGACAAGGCTCCTGAGGTCCACGCTGTTTCCATCTTTTCCAGTAGGGAGCTGGAATCTAGGGAAGGGTCCACGGTTGGCTCAGTATCCCCAAGGCTTTCGAGCTGGGAGAGCTGAGGGTTGTCCCAGGGCTGCCAGCATGGGAACCTGGGCCGGAATCATCGCCCACCCTGCGAGGAAGCCTGAAGACTTGGGTGTTGCTTCAAGCTATGACATTACTCAAAGGCCTGAACTGGGTGGTTTTTTGATTATAATATGAATACAGGTGCATTCCAGAAAATTTGGGAATTAGAAAAGTGTAAATAAAATAAAGATTACCTGCAAACTCAGAGACACCAACTGTTAACCATTTTGGTGTATATTCTTCTTATATGTCTTTTATGCATATCGATGTATTTATTACAAAATTGAGATTAGAATGTACATAGAATTTTTAAAATAGCATTTAATATGTCCTGAGTGCAGAGGCAGAAAAGAATCTGCAAAAATAGAAAAGCATAAAGAAGAAAATTTAAAAATGACTTTCAGTTTCATCACGTAGATAGCCTTCCTTCCCAATTTAGTTTATATTTATGACAGTCAATCATTATATATATATCTACTTAGCAAGAATTCAAATCAGAAATTTAAAAAAATTCCCAAGATAAAAATTTATTTATTTTTTGAGACGGAGTCTTGCTCTGTTGCCCAGGCAGGAGTGCAGTGGTGCAATCGCGGCTCACTGCAACCTCTGCCTCCCAGGTTCAAGCAATTCTCCTGCCTCAGCCTCCTGAGTAGCTGGGACTACAGGCGCATGCCACCACGCCTGGCTAATTTTTTGTATTTTTAGTAGAGATGGGGTTTCGCCGTGTTAGTCAGGATGGTCTTGATCTCCTGACCTCGTGATCTACCTGCCTTGGCCTCCCAAAGTGCTGGGATTACAGGCGTGAGCCACTGCGCCCAGAGAAAAATTTATTTTTGTACGTTGGATTACCCCATAGTAGTATACACTTAGTATTTTTTTCTGCCTGAAAATTTCTCACCATCTTTGGAAAACATCCTCCAACCTCCCCTTCCTCCAAATCCACCCAACAGGCTCCATTCATATGGCTTCCATAGGAGTAGCCTTGTTCTTCTGTGAACATGAGTGTATACATCTGTGGGATTAGGTTTCAGGAGTGAAACTGCTTAAAACAGAGTTATGCTTTTATACCTTTTGATAGATACTGCCAAACTCTTGTAGACATTGTAGCAATTTGCACTCTGATCAGCACTCATGAGAGTAGCTGTTTCCCAAAAGGGTTACCAGCAAAATGTTGTCAGCCTTTTGTCCCAGGGATCACGCATCCATCTTACATTTAGCTAAAATGTATTGGATGTGCCCTGTGCCAGGTACCAGGTTAAGGGCTGCCTATTTGCTAATACTCACTGCATCCTCACAATAACTCAGTGAGGGAAGCAGTAGTATCTTCATTTTACAGATGAGAAAACTGAGGTTTAGAGAGGTTAGCCTACCTCAGTTTGAAGAACTGAGCTGAATCCAAGCCTGGGAGGTCCAACTCCAAGCATTCATCCTCCTGACCAATGGTTCTCAAGTTTGAATGTCCATCAGAATCATTCAGAAGGCTTGTTAAAAGTTGGCTGGGTCCCAGCTTGAGTTTCTGATTTGGTAAGTGCGAGATAGGCTTGAGAATGGGAATTTCAAAGGTCCCAGTGATGCTAATGCTCTGGTCCAGGGACCACACTTTGAGAACCATTGCTTCTATGATTCTCATATGAGGCCCCACCTGGAAATTACCTTTGACCTTGGCTGGGTGCTCATTGGAACTCTACATATTCTACATACCTTGTATGTATGTGTATGTGAAAGTGAATAAAACCCTTCGTGGTCTTTTGAATATCTCGGGTAAGGTTTGTGGCAAACAATTTCACTTCTTTAAGACTTTCCCTACCTTTTGAATGGAGATGATGCTCAGAGGAACCCTTGGGGGAACTGCAAGGAAGAATGCATGTAAAGAACACTGTGGAGATTGTGAAATGTTGTTCTAAAGCTGGTTATAATTATTCCTGTTGATGGGGAAGCTATGAGAATTTGGGAGGTATAAATTAAGATCGTGGTTCTGGGCCAGGTGTGGCGGCTTACACCTGTAATCCCAGCACTTTGGGAGGCCGAGGCAAGCAGATCATGAGGTCAAGGGATCGAGACCATCCTGGCTAACACGGTGAAATCCTGTCTCTACTAAAAATACAAAAAATTAGCTGGGCGTGGTGGCGGGCACCTGTAGTCCCAGCTACTCCGGGGGCTGAGGCAGGAGAATCACTTGAACCTGGGAGGTGGAGGTTGCAGTGAGCTGAGATTGCACCACTGCACTCCAGCCTGGGCAACAGAGTGAGACTCCGTCTCACAAAAAAAAAAAAAAAAAAAAAAAAAAAATCGTGGTTCTGCCATGGTGTGACACTGGGTAAGTCAGTCCACTTTCCTGAGCATCAAATTTCTTTTCTTTGAAAGTGGGGATATTATGGGTTCAGTGAGGATTAAACAAGCCCCTATGTGTATCAGCCCTGGTTTCCTTCTGTTCCAGAAACTCAGAGGCACTGTGTCCTCTGCAAGGAAAGGGCTCATTCCAGAACAATGCTTATAACGTGGTTGCTCACAGTCATTTCCCCTCTAGCCCTCTTCTCAGAAAATCTCATATTCCCTGTTCTTTCCACATGCTGGTGATGACCTCTTTGTAACACAAAATGGATTCTTTTCCACATTTGGATAGGAGGTTAAGTATACTTTGCATATTCCTAGAAATAGCCCAGGTTGAACCCAATGACCACATGGCCCCCGGGTTAGTGTCAACTGTTCTAGGTGCTGGGGATATGGCAATGGACAGAACAGAAATCCAAATCCTTGCCGTCATGAGCTTATTGTTATGTGCCCCCAAGTACGTCAACGATGACCCTTCCCATGGTTTCTTGGAATCTGGTGAGGGGTAAATATTCAAATTCATGGAAAATCACAAGTTTTCCTCTAATTGACCCAATGAAGCTCACTGACCCCTGGGAACACCAGGAATGTGGCTGTAGCCAGAACTTCTCAAGCTGCGACATGTTCAGGGATCACCTGGGGCTCTGGGTATCCGTCAGATCCTGGCTCAGCAGGTCTGGGGTCTGGTCTAAGAATCTGCATTTCTAACAAGTTTGGATGTCTCTGGTCTGCGGACCACACTTTGACTATCCAGGGTTTAAGTGATGCTTTATCTCATCCCACCAAATGTAATCTTATTTTCCTGCAGCTTTTAGTAAAACTCTGAATATGCAGAAGAAAAACTAATTTTATTAGCATATTCCAGTTGTCTACATTTTTGGACAGGGCTGTAGGTGTGGGTGTCAGATCTGGTTTTCAAGTGACCAGGAGCAGCCTGGAGCATGCACTTCACTGATGCAAGCCCGTTTCCTCATCTGTGAGTGGAGACTCTTCCTACTTCTGTCTCATTTATGCAAAACCTTAATTGTTGGACATTTTTAAGGGATGGATTTAAAGTCTCCACTTGACCATTTTAATCTGTGATTTTTAGTTAAGTTGTGTGCCATCTCTGGCAAAGTTGCCAGGGTTCTGAAATCTTACCTTTAGCAATGATATACTGGCATTTTGAAGGCATACCCGCTGTCTCTAGAGCAAATATACAAGAGGCAACCATTCATTGACTGTTCACTAAGTGCCAGGCAATATGGTGACAGCTGTGCAGGGATTAGCTCATTTAATCTTTGTAACAACTCTATGATTCAATGATTTCTCCAAACAGTCAAAACAAAAGCCACAAAACTGAAGGTCACAGAGAATGTCATTGGCCCAAATGCGTATTTTATAAATGGGCGCAATGTAGATTGGACCTGGCTCTGTCTGACTTCTAGACCTACGCTCTTGCATATATTTAAATAATTTCAGTGACAACAGAGTTACTGTAGCAAAACAAATGCAGAAACATGGCCAAGGAAGTTAAAATGCTCAGCTCTGTATCAAGTCTTTTATTAAGGCACTCCCCAAACTTAGGTTAATTTAGACTTTCTCTGTTAGTAAATGCCAGTGCCAGGTTAGAATCAGATCAATAATATAGAAGCATGTTTCCATCACCGTCATGTGCAGAGGTGTTGGCCATCCAAGTTTCAAGCTGAAATCCATCCCCCACGCCCATCATTAATATTCCTGGAATCACATTGTCATAGGAGTTTGGGGGGTGGGTGGGTGTGCCTTTATGTATATGAGGTTCAAAAAGGTGGGAGACTGGTAGCCCAAAATAGAAATATATTTCTTGTTAAAGGCATAATACAAAAATATCTTTTCATTAGGAGTTGCTGATGGTACTGTAGATATTAACTTTGAATGAAAAGTACCATCAGTTGTAACACACAAACTGCTTTATCCTTTATGTACAAATAAAAGAGAGAATTTATTTTCATTCTGAGTTTATTTAACATTTCATCCAGTTGAACTGAAATAATACATGGCCTCCAACACTGGCAAGACGCTGTGCTAATACTGAAATAAAAGCTGCCAGTCAGTAAACACTTACAATCATCATCCTTTGTATCATGTTAATAGAAATATTAATAACTACTTAGCTTTATAAGCTTATTGCACTTCATGTGGATTTTTTTTTCTCCAGAAAAGGTATTTCTAAAAGATCGGCAAGGATTGCCAATCTTGATTTGTTCTTTCTTATAAACTGTGATCAACATACAGTTGATAGCTTTATATAAAAGCATTAAGAGTCTGAAGCATCAAAAAACAACGTTTAAAAAGATGCAGCTCCATGTTCATCATCCCTTTTATAATCTCTTTTTTTTTTTTTTGAGATGGAGTTTCGCTCTTGTTGCCCAGGCTGGAGTGCAATGGTGCGATCTTGGCTCACTGCAACCTCCAGCTCCCGGATTCAAGCGATTCTCCTACCTCAGCCTCCCGAGTAGCTGGGATTATAGGCATGTGCCTCCATGCCTGGCTAATTTTTTGTATTTTTAGTAGAGGCGGGGTTTCTCCATGTTGGCCAGGCTGGTCTCAAACTCCTGACCTCAGGTGATCCACCCGCCTCGGCCTCCCAAAGTGCTGGGATTACAGGGGTGAGCCACCGCACCCGGCCATTCCTTTTATAACCTTTCACACACATAACCGGAGTGTGTAAAATTTTGGTTAGTTTGTCAATCTTCTAACCAGTCATTAGCTCTTCACTGGAGGTTAACATTCTGAAATGGAGCTACACACTACCTGGTAGGGGGAGGACTCTGAGAGGAGCGGGACACCTGGGGCAGGCAGCAGTGCCTTAGCTTCTTATGAAAAGAGCCCTTCAGCACCTCATGGAGAGCTGCCCTGAATTTCAGGCTTTTACCACTTTATAAAGAGACGCGTCGAGGACAACAGAATCTGTCCAAGGCCAGAATGTCATGGGAAAACCGTTTTGCTTCCAATGGTTTAAGACAGAAAATCTAAATAAGAAGACTCTGGCAGCATCAAGGAAGGCTCTGAGTGGCCCAAAGCTTCAGATCTATTAATCCTTTCAGAGAAAAGAGAAACACAGACACAAGGCACGCCATTTTTTCTTTATGAGGAAATTCAGTCTGGTCACATTGTCAGAAAAAAAATCTACCAAAACTAAATAGTTTCTATATTTTTTTCATTTACAATCTCTGAATACAATGATCTACACTTCATGAAATGTCACCCCTCAGTATCCGTGGATGCTTGGTTCCAGGACCGCCCTCCGATACCAATATCTGCAGATGCTCAAGTTCCTGATATAAAATGGCACAGTATTTGCATATAACCTAGGCACATCCTCCTGTATACTTGCTAAATCATCTCTAGATTGCTTATAACACCTAATACAATGTAAGCACTATGTAAATAGTTGTTATACTGTATTGGTTTTTAAATTTGTATTATTTTTCATCGTTATGTATATTTTTTATCTTTTTAGAAAATATTTTCAGGCCGGGTGCGGTGGCTCACGCTTGTAATCCCAGCACCTTGGGAGGCCAAGGCGGGCGGATCACGAGGTCAGGAGATCGAGACCACAGTGAAACCCCGTCTCTACTAAAAATACAAAAAAATTAGCCGGGCGTGGTGGCGGGCGCCTGTAGTCCCAGCTTCTCAGAGAGGCTGAGGCAGGAGAACGGCGTGAACCCGGGAGGCGGAGCTTGCAGTGAGCCGAGACTACGCCACTGCACTCCAGCCTGGGTGACAGAGCGAGACTCCGTCTCAAAAAAAAAAAAAAAAAAAAAATTTTCCATCCAAACTTGGTTGAATTCACAGATATAGAGCTCACGGATACAGAGGGCCAACTGTCTATGACGTTAAACATCTACAGAGTTGAAACATAATCTGTCATATTAAATATATTATCTATGAAATCACTACAGATGATGTAAACAGTGGTACATGGTTTCATTATTTTCAAATGAAGTGGAATGCAACATACAATATTCAAGTAAAATTCATTGTGACTGATTCATACACACATTATCACTGTATCTTTCTGAAAGCCAAAGAGATCTATAAGGATGACAAGAAAAGACATGTAGGTAGCTGGAACTGTAGTCTCACTTCTTACCAAAAAAAAAACAATGAACTGGATTCAGCCCACTCATACAGCATTGGTATTGAATATACTTCCAAAATTTGACATTTGTACATTTCAGTTATTTCATTATTTGATGTAAATAATTGAATATAAAGTCAATAACTGCAAGGTAAGATTATCATCTTTATAAGAACAAAAAACAATAAATTAAAAGTCAACCAAGGCAATCCACTCACAATCTGAATGTATATAATGATCCAGCAGGGAAGGCATGTTGCAGTGGTCTGTGACTGACTTTTGGAAGGGGTGTGAAGGAGCTTTTACCCTCCAAATCCAAAAGCTTCATCACCTTCATTGGGCTAGCGCAATCCCCAAACTAGAAGCAAACTGCCCTTAATATTTCAGGGTAAGTTTTTATAGATTAGCCCAGAGCTTTTGTATTTTCCCAGTTCACTGCTGAGATCTCCTTGATTTGCAATGGGAGTGAGATGAAAATTCAGTATTTTAAACAGATTTCTTTTTTCACTGATTGATAATCAATAGAACATTTACTGACCATATACTGAGCACCTATTCTATGCCTACCAGTGCTTTTTTAAAACCTGGGTGAGGGCTGGTATATCGTCTTTGAAAAACAATGACTATAAAAGCTACAGGAAAGGTATTTCTATAAATCATAACATGATTCAGTGTAAGGGAGTATCAGGCACTTGGCCCACGCCAGGTGCTCTGTTAAAGTAGCAGCTTTATTCTAAAAGGCTAATGTGGATCTTTAAAAGGTTTCCGTAACTGGGAGAACCCAGGTTGAACAGGATTTTTCTCACCAGCATGGCTACACCAGCTTTGCAGTGGCAGAATGAGCTGCAGAGGTTTCCTCCCTGCTTTACAATCCCTTATTGAAGTACACGCGTCGCAATTCAGGATGGCTCTCTTGGATCTTAGCTTGCAACTCGGCCTCCAAGCTTGTCACAGACATGGAACTGGGATAAGGGAGAAATGACAGGGTTATTACACAGGCAGAGGTGAGAATCAGGACCTAGAAAGAGCAGGGAGAAGGCACAGGTGTGGAGATCCCAGGACTGGTACAGTGGGTCTTGTTGGAGAAATGCTTCATGCGGCTAGAAAACGAGATCACGTTCCTTTCAGAAAAATGTCACTCATAATGAAAGAAATGCACTGGAGAACCCAACACCCAACTTTTCCCTCTCATATCATTAAAAGGTGAAATCTCTTATTGCCGGCAAGAGTGTATGGTGATGACACTCTCAGGCCCTGCTGGTGTTGGAAAAACCATTTGTGGCAATGCCACTTCCTAAGAAAAACGTATCAATCATTTGCAATGTTCACCATTGATAAAAAAAGAGATATGCAATCAGTGAAATGCATAACATTGATAATCTGCCTACATTAATGTGCTTTTGTTTACTGTATGTAATACACGCTTATTAAAAAAATTTCAAAAAATACTAAAATGTACAAAAAAAAAAAAAAAACCAAAACATTTATAATCCCGCTGAGAGATAACCACTGTTAGTCTTTAAGTGCTTAAAAATGTATTTGAAGGTATTATGGGTGTATATATATTAAAGCTTATTCTTTAAGAGAAACGCACACTCATTAAAGTATAAAGAAAAATTGTCCAGAATACCTACCAGAAAAACTGCTAATATTTTGATATGTAATTAGTTTAAAAAAAATATTTGAGGCTGGGCGCAGTGGCTCACACCTGTAATCTCGGAGCTTTGTGAGGCTGAACCAGGAGGATTTCTTGAGGCCAGGAGTTTGAGACCAGCCTGGGCAACCTGGTGAGACCCAAATTTTTGTATCTATAAAAATAAAAAATAAGACAGGTGTGTTGGTGTATGCCTGTGGCTCCAGCTACTCAGGATGCTGAGGCAGGAGGGTTGCTCGAGCCCAGAAGTTCAAGGCTGTAGTGAGCTATGACTGTGCCATTGCACTCCAGCCTGGGCAAGAGAGTGAGACCCTGCCTCAAAAACAATAAAAAAATTGATTAATATAGTTGACATGTGATAGACTGTAAGGTTAAAAAAAGTCAGGATATAAGCTTATATTTAAAATATGCAAAACAAATTTTAAAAATTACGAATATAGAAAAAAGGTAGGAAAAAAAATCCCATGATGGCTATTGTTTATGTAGTGGGCCTTTGAGTGATTTTAAATGATGATGACGACACTGATGATGGTAATGATAATGGCTATGACTTACAGCTCACTTGCTGGGCCAGACGTTATGCATTTTAACCCTTAGGAAAACTCTGTAAGTCCAGTATTATAATTGTACAGGTAAGGAAACCTGAGGTGCAACTGAGATGTTGAAGGCAGATCTTTCTTGATCCCAAAGCCCTGCTATACCACCTCTTGGTCTTTCTGTTTTGCCACTGATCTCTAAGTATCTGTAATTACTATGAATGTATGTTAAAGGCCCAAGTCTGATCTTGGAATTAAAGTTATTCAAACCTTGGTGGATGATGGGGAGTATTCTCTTTTTTATCTTCCAGGAGAGTTTGTTTGAAATTGGAATAATCTGTTTCTTGACAGTTGGGAGAAACTTACCTGTAAAACTACCTGTTTCTTGTGTTTTCTTTGTAGGAGGAAGATTAAATGCTGCTTCAGCTTCCTTAATGACTATCTGGCCTATTCTGACTTTCTAATTTTTCAGCTTTGCTAATATTTTTTCCAGAAATTTGTCTATTTTGCTTGTTTTCAAATCTGTTGGTATAATGTTGGTATTATTTTTAATCACTGCTGAACCTACAGTTATACCTCTTTTTCATTCATATTATTTGTACTTTTCTCTTTCTCTTTTTGTTTTGATTAATCTCACCAGACAACTGTCTATTTTGTTTCTATTTTCAAAGAACCAAGATTTCACTTTGTTGATCCTCTACTCTTTCTGTTATTTATTTTATTGATTTCTGATCTTCATCTCCTTCCTTCCTTCTTTTCTGATGTTTATTCTTTTGTGCTTTTTTTTTTTTAAGTTGGGACATTTAGTGCATTGATTTTCAGCTATTCTTCATAATATAAACATTTAAAGCTATAAATATCTCTCAAAGCAACACATTTGCTGCTTCTCAAAAATGTTAATAAAGAATGTTTTCATTATCACTTGTTCACATAGGAGACGGGAAACTGTGGTGCATTCATACAATGCACTATTATACAACAACAACAATGAATGGACTATAGGTACACACAATAATGTAGATGAATCTTAGTTCTGACACTGAATAAAAAGAACAAGTACTAGAAGACTATACATCTTATGACAGTGTGACACCCTTGTCTAAAAAGTTCCTAAGACAAACTAAAGATACATACACAAATATAAAATGCAAGAGCATGAAATTCAGCATAGTGGTTAAATCTGCAGGGGAGGCAGGGACACAGGTTGGGAGGAGCCTATAAGATGTAACTTATTGGAGATATATATATATATATATATATATATATATATATATATATATATATTTTTTTTTTTTTTTTTTTTTTTGAGACAGAATCTCGCACTGTTGCCCAGGCTGGAATGCAGTAGCGTGATCTTGGCTCACCACAGCCTCTGCCTACTGGGTTCGAGCGATTCTCCTGCCTCATTGGGCACTGAATTTGTGGATATTCATTATATTATTAGTATAAGTAAAATAAAAATAAGCAAAACAGGGTCATGCTTGGATCAATGAGGATACTATGTTATGAGCCAAGGAAAAACTGAGGAGCCAGAGACCTCAAGAAGCCAAACATACAATGTATAAACAACAAAACAGAGTAAGAAGCTATTTTAAAATACAGTAAAACAAAAGAGGATTGGTTTCTCAAATGTAAAACCACACGCTTTCTGAGGGCCTTGACCTAAGGACACTAGTAGTTACAGAAAGCTTTCCATTTCTACCCCTAGAGTTTCAATGAATCATAAAAAATAAATGTTGGGCTATATTTTATTTCTTGCAGCACTCAAAGAAAAAAGGCCAAAGTAGAAAGTTTCTCTATGGGTTTTCAAATCTAAAACCCTTTCAATCTGAAAATAATTACAGCTACATTTCTTAGGTGTTTTACAACTTGGTATCAGGCACACCCCTTGGCATTTTATGTGCTCAAAGTCTAAACTGCTAAATCAAGGCCAGCTGCTGAACACCAGTGTTCATAAGCCACATACTACAGAAATGGACATTCTCAGGTTGAGCCCCAAGACTCTGGGGTTTGTACAATTAAGCAGGTATCATTATCCCACTGTAGAGATGAGGAAATTCATCTGAATCAGGCTCCCAGAGCAAGTTCTGAAGGTCCTGCCCTCTTCAAGGGGGGCTCTTCAGTAGGCTCCAAGGTGATGAAGGGCTCCTGTCCATGAGGTTTAAATTTCTATTCAAGAACAGCAGGGTCGGAGACAGAGTGGGAGAGCAGATACAAGGTGGAGTTCTCGATCAGGTAGAGGGATCTGACAGCATTAGTTCTAGAACAGAACACCTCATCCAAAACCAACTCCGCAAGGCTGGGGGATTAAAGACCATATGTTCGGGACCTACTGGCCCACAAAGGAAAGGGTATTACCAAGGCAAGGGGCCTGGTAACACTTACAGAAAATGACAGACAACAAAATGCCGCTGCTTTGTGTGTTGGAGTCAGGTCAAGAGCAGGCTGGAGACCTGATGTAGAAAATGCCGATTTAACGCCAGTTAGTCCTGTTCTCACATCAAAGGCAGGATTCAAGGGCAGTTTGCGATGAGAGGCGTGCACAAGAAAGCTTTTAAGGCAAAAAACTAAGTGGGAAGAAAGGAAGCAAATATACCAACCACCTAAGCTAAGTGCATATAATTGCTGTCCCTGGGGGTGGAACTTGCATCCTATCATATCTGTATTACAGATGCATTTGCCAGTGGATTGGACCATATTTTAAATTTTCATAAAAGCAAATTTGCATCAGAGTTAATCTGATTCTCACAAAAGAATAAAGCATTTTCAAATTTAATGGAAGGGGGTAGAAAAGAGCTGGGTGCATCTGAAATTAGACAGATGTGGGTTTGATTTCTGCCTCCATCCCTTCCTTTTAAGAGACCCTGGCTTCAGTATCTTTTGAGTCTCAACTTCCCTGCCAATGAAATGGAATAATGGCACCTGCACCTTCAATTGGTTTTTAGGATTAATACTCATGATGATTCTGACGAATAACAAATACATACCTTTTCTGAGGAAACAGGGCACAACACAGGGGTGTAGCAAACACCAAACTTAAAAAAAATACAAAAAAAAGTCAGACCATTTTAAATGGTTAATTTTCAGCTTATTTTTCTATTTTACTTTTATAACAATCCCTTCTTTCTTCAGAGCATTACGTTCTGTGTTGTCTAACAAAAATAAGTCCTGTTTGTGTAAGTTTTATTACCTAGGATTGCCAAAATAATGAAAAAGTCACAGAGACAACAATTTAAAAAAGAATCACACGAATAGCCCCCCATGTTGTAGGTTTCTCTAAAGACAGTTTACTTCTATTTAATTATTTGGGGCCATGCATTCCAGATGTTCTGAGATGGCCTCATTTTCAAAATTTGTATCCCATATTACCCAGTCACCTTTCATACGCTGTGTATTTATATTTTAAAAGAAATTAATTATGTAAAAGTAATTTCTACTCACCAGAAGCCAACTAACCCAACTTGAATGGGTGCACTCATCCATGGGAACCTCTGTGTTGAGAAATAAATGGCTTTGAATACTTTTTATACAGGGTCTTAGAGGCAATATCTTCTGATTAACTGGAAGGAACCTCTCACCACATTTCAAGATTCAGATAGAACATGGTTAGTGAAATTTGGGGGAAATGCTGCAACAAGGGTGTTAGCCTAACTTCCTGTAACCTTCTTTGATCTGTAAATCAGCACACACGCAAAGATCAAGTGGCTTCTATTTTTCCTCCCAGTCCCCCATTTAATCTGAGCACTGCTTGGGTATATAATGGAGGTGGGGAAGTAGCTGTCATTTAATTGTAATGAATCCCCTGGCTGGGGAGGTAGGACAGCCTGGTGCCAAGGTCTCAAGTCTCCCGCCTTCTGGTTAGTTCCTGACTGTGGGGAACCACAGGCAGAGCCTAGCCTCTCCAAGCTTCCGTTTCCTTGTGATGGTACAAAATGAACATCACTAACAGCTTCCTAAAAGTGTGTGGATGAAGATATGCCAGATCACATTCATAAAGCACCTAGTATGGTGGCTGGAACATATCAGAAACCCAACAAATGCTTACCATCCCTCACCCCACTTTACACCTCGTCTTTCTTGGTTTTAGTTGCTGTCAGTATGGTTAAAACTATTTCTGGCATAAAACATTTTTGCTAGTCACACTTTTTTTTTTTTTAATGGAAATGAACAAGTTGGTTGGTCTTCTGGAGAATAAATGCTGTTAGATTTTTAGTTTTAAAAAAGGAGTGGTACTTAAATACACAATATAAAGAGTGATGAGATATATGGTTATATAAATAAGGCCACAGAAATCACTGCAACCAAGGTGTGAGCTGGTTGTAATGAAATCAGCCAGCTTAGTTAGGAGTCAACACAAGCTGTTAGAAGACAACATGCATGGGAGGCATACCCTGGTCCCCAAAGAGACTCCTCTGGGGAAAAGGTTCATCAGGAGGGTTGGCGTAAGGGGGAAAGGGATGGATTGGAGAGGAAGGGAGCAGCATCGTCAAGGAAACTAGTCTTCACAGGTTACACAGAGGGGCCCCTCTCCTCAAAAGATAGAATGAAAAGGAAAACACTGTATCTTTGGCAACTGTCTCTGTTTGATGATGAAGGATTGTCATAAGGAGATGCTAAATACTCCCCAGCGCTTCCTAGCCAGGTGACATCTGGGCTGGGACAGATTTGGTGATGGGAGGGTAAACATAGTACTTAGCGAGAGCCTGTGCTCTTGACCCTGTGAGAGCAGCCTCCTCATTGTAAGTAGACTCTGGTCTGCAGCAAACTGGGCTAACCTGTTACTCAAAAGAGAGCAGCTGTGTGCCACCTTGGAGGTGGGCATGTGCAAACTACGTGCTGACTGTGGCTCATGCAGAGGGTTTTGACGGAAAGGCTCTTTGCACAGCCAAGGCCCCTAGACAATTTCAGTATCCTGCAAAACCCAACCTGATGCCATGTCTTCTTCCAGCACCACCCCCGCACCCCATCCTGCCTTATTCACCCCTACCTTGCAACCAGAAAGTCTGATACCACATTAGTCAGCTGAGGATGTTTGGTGTTTCGCTAGATATTCACAACATTTCTCAAGGTAGGAACATATCTTACCTAACAGAACTGTGCAAACAGAGCAAGTTTAGATGAAAAGTCCAAATGAATTAAAGAGAGTAATTATATGTTTAAAAGATACATAAATATATATATGTGTGTGTATATATATATATGTACATATATATATTCAATGAAGTAAAAAACTCAAAAGTCAGGCTGGGTGTGGTGGCTCATGCCTGTAATCCCAACACTTTGGGAGGCTGAGGCAGGTGGATCACAAGGTCAAGAGATCAAGACCATCCTGGCTAACATGGTGAAATCCCGTCTCTACTAAAAATACAAAAATTAGCTAGGCATGGTGGTACATGCCTGTAGTTCCAGCTACTCAGGAGGCTGAGGCAGGAGAATTGCTTGAACCCGGGAGGCAGAGTTTGCAGTGAGCCAAGGTTATGTCATTGCACTCCAGCCTGGTGACAGAGCAAGACTCGGTCTCAAAAAAAAAAAAAAAAAAAAAAAAGCAAAAAACCCCCTGAAAAGTTAGTGACTCTAAATTCTTTCTTCCCCAGTGATCTAATAGCTTTATTGACATACAACTGCCCATATTTAATGTAAGTTCTGACATACATATATGGCTGTGAAGCCATAAGCACAATCAAAATAATGAAAATATTCACCACCCCGAATGTTTTTCTTGTTCCTTGTACCACTTTGCAGTTCCTCCCTCTTCCATAAACCCTGCACCCCATTATATGGCAACCTCTCATCTTTCTGTCACTAGATATTAGTTTACATTTTCTAGGACTCGATATACAGTATCTATTCTTTTGTGTAATTACTTTGAGACGCCTTCATGTTGTGTGTAGCACTAGTTTGTTACTTTTTATTGCTAAGTATTCCCTTGTATTCACAAGATGTTTATCCATTTTCCTTTTATTGGCATTTGAGCTGTTTCTAGTTTTTGGCTATTACAAATAAAGCTGCTATGAATATTCGTCTTTTATGGACATGTGCTTCTATTTTTCCTAGGTAAAGATCTAGGAAGGAAATGGCTGGATCATAGGGCAGCATCTGTTTAACTTTGTAAGAAACTGCCTCACTATTTTCTCACATGACTGTACCACATTAATTCTACCAGCAGTGGGGAGGGTTTCAGTTCTTCCATTTCCTCACCAACACTTGCTATGATCAATCTTTTTAGTTTTTGACATTCTAATAGGCATTTAGTGGCAGCTCCTGTGGTTTTAATCTAGGTTTCCCAACGACTAAAGACACTAAGCATTTTTTAGGTGCTTGAGAACTGTATGTACTTGGTAGAGTGTCTGTTCAAACCTTTTGCCCAGCTTAAGTGTTGAGGGTCCTTTATGTATTCTGGACACAAGTCCTTTATCACATACGTGCCTTGTAAACATTTTTCCCCATGCTGTTTCTTCTCTTTTCATTTTCTGTATAGTTTTAAAGAACAGAATTTTAAAAATCTGATGAAGTCCAATTGATCAATTTTTCTTTTATGGACTGTGCTTTTTGTGTTGAGTCTAATAAGTCTTTGCCTAGCCCGTGTTCTATTGTATTTTCTTCTAGAAGTTTTACAGTTGTAGACTTTTACATTAGATTCTATGAATCACTGAGAGCTAATTTTTATATATGGTATAGTCAATTCCTTACACATTGCCTACATCCCAGCCAACCTAACCATCCACAAACTTCCAACAATTCATGCTCTGTGTACTTGCTGAGCTTCTGTAGAGCATGTGGCCCTCAGCCAGTCCTCTTCAAAGAAGTCTCTGCTCACCTACACCAGTTGGGTAAGATACCTCCTATGCGCTCCCTCTGTGCCCCAAACTTTAAACGCTGCGTATTTTAACAATGTGTCTTGCGCCTCTTCCCCATATCATGCTACATGCTCCCTGAGATCAGGGGTCGTATCCTCTTTCTGGGACTCTAGTGTCTACCATATTGCTTGGCATAAACAAGCATTCAGCAAAGGGCTGCTGAAAAAAACATGAATGAACAAATAAATGTTACATTCCCATTCAATTAGCAGTCCTGAAAGCCTACTGAGTAGACACAGCAGTCTACTTTTATAAAAGGGAATATAAAAGAATTAGAACTTAAGGAACAAGAACTAGCATAGGACCCAAACCATATCAATTTCACTCCCAATGAAAGTGCCATCAAGAATGACCCAAGTTTAAAGAGACAACAGGAACTATTCTTCAAGAAAACTGTTCACAGAAGCACCAGATTTTAGGCGGTGAACTTCTTGGTTTACTGCAAAAATTTCCGTGAGTCACCTGCCCACAGCTGATGTGTTTTTTCCAGCTCTCCACTTGGGGAGAGATAAGGCGTAGGGGGATGGATGAGTCATGCTGAATGCTCCCCAAGCATCACCGTTTAAAAAAGCCCAGAATGTTCAATTAGTTTCATGTTTGCGGAGGAGTCTGGTCATTTCTAAGGTAAAAGCCCAGATAAGTACCTCCTTGCAGAGGAGGCACACCTGGCCCTGGGGCAGTGGGAACAAGCGGAAGGCCAACCAAGGCACACCACCGCATGGGCATCATGAGCTGCCAAGGAAGTGACCTCTTCAGCCTTTGCGGAAGAGGCATGGTGAAGCCCGCCTTCACAATAGAATGTGAAAGTGTTTTGAACGTGGAAAAGTAGGGATTTTAATATAAGCTGCCTCTGTGTCTATTTTAGCAATGACTATACTATCATTTCTGTCCTATGGTCCTCTCTACATGGGTGAAATGCAACACCGACATATACCAGCAACTGTGAACTTGGGGAGTGGTAGGTATGTATGGGTACCTTAATGGTAGTTAGCCATTACTTTTTCAGAGCAATATCTCTCATTGAGGTCTGAAGGAGTACACCTACAACCAGGCTCCCTTGTAGCCAGTGAGGTGCCAGGACTGAGCCATGAGCTGTCCTGATCATCTCTCTGGACCTTCACAATGGGGTTCTGAAACCAGTGGGCCCTTCCATGTGGGGCGTGGGGCAGGTAGGGGGCTTCGGTGGGAAGAGTAGGCATGGCAGCACACTTCCAAATGATGATCAAAGGGTACAATATCAAGCAAAGCTAAAAAAACCACAGCTTAAGATGAAAGTGGGGAGAACACAATAGTTATTCATCTTATCATTGTGTAACAGCCTGGAACAATGCGGCAATGGTGGGCTAAGACGGGGCTAACTGCTTTTATCATTTTCCAGCTCCTTCGCATGAGAAAATGCCAGGGTACATCTACAGAAATTTCCATCTGTCACAGCAAGAAACTTATGCAACATGCCCAACTATGTCTTCTGTTCAGTGTTTGTCACTGAGATGAGAGGAACTGTGCTAACTGTTCCCAAACTGAGACCCCATGAAGCTGCTACTCCGAATGATTTTTTTCATTCCTGATAGGATGACTACTGACTTGTACACATGTCATTCCAAATTCACATCATCTCTTCATTTTTACCCAGTCAGGCATCCAATAGATGACTGTGTGTGTAACTGAGTTACAACCTCTCAATAGTGGCAGTCTTTATTTACAAAAAGCTTTTTCAAATATCTGAGATTAGAAATAAAATCTTCCTGGGAACATCTTTTTATTTACGTAAGAGCCCAGGAAACTGGCCTTCGGCTTCTTTACTGTTTAGGTAGCAAATAATCTATACGGTTTGAAATCTGAAAAGAAATAAAAAGGGTTGAGAAAATGACAAAAGAACCACAGCTTACCTTCAAAAAGGCTTTCTTTTCCAAAGTGTTCATAATGAATGGAGGGATGGCTGGAAATAAAGATAGATCCACTTAAATCTTTATTTAATGCCAATTTTCAGCTTACTTTTTTTTTCAACCATTTGACAGAAAGCTTCTGTCACTTTTAGGCTATTTCCACTGTCACAGTAAAAACAGTTTGTAGCAATTCTTTAAATTATTACATTTGAATTCATTAGATTGAAAACTGTTCTGATTTTCTAAATTTTTGAACAGTAATATCACATCCTCTGCCAGCCAGAAAGTTTTATAATCTTGAAAAGAACTTTACTTTTAGGTTTAAGTAGACAAAAATAAAAATATCAGGAACTTTTTCTTCCTATATTAATAAAACAAAGGGCACAAGGCAGGGAGGATGGTGTAAAGAATCCTGCCTTGGAGTCAGGCAGAAACTGCTTCCGTACAGGCTAGACCAGGGGCCCCAACCCCTGGGCCATGGACTGGTATGGATCTCTGGCCTGTTAGGAATAGGGCTGCCCAGCAGGAGGAGGGCAGTGGGCAAGTGAATGAAGCTTTAGCTGTATTTACAGCTGCTCCCCATTGCTTGCATTACGCCTGAGCTCTGCCTCCTGTCAGGTCAGCGACCGCATTACATTCTCACAGGAGCCTGAACTCCATTGAGAACTGCACATACAAGGGATCTAGGTTGCCCGCTCCTTATGAGAATCTAGTGCCTGATGATCTGTCACTGTCTCCCATCACCCCCAGACGGGACTGTCTAGCTGCAGGAAAACAAGCTCAGGGCTCCCACTGATTCAACATGATGGTGACTTGTCTAATTATTTCATTATATGTTACAATGTAATAATAATAGAACTAAAGTACACAATACATTTAACGTGCTTGAATCATCCTGAAACCATCCCCCTGACCCCTGGTCCATGAAAAAATTGTCTTCCATGAAATGGGTCCCTGGTGCTAAAAAGGTTTGGGACCGCTGGGCTAGACCACTTGCTAGCTGGGTGACCCTGGAGAAGTTACCTAACTTCTCTGAGCCTCAGCTTTCTGTTTTCTTTTTCTATAAAATGGAGGAAATTGGAGACAATACTGCATGTAAAACACTGGGTATGCGGTGGACAGCATTCGTTCATTTGCTGACAACTTTTATCAGGCTAAACTGTCATATCCACTATTTCAATATGTCAATTACTCTTATAAATTGCACTAGGACAGAAAGATTGTATTTCTTCTCTGGGGACTAAATAGTGTTTAAAATAACCAAATCACTAGAAATGGATTTGTCCGTCTGGACTGGCTGAACTCTAAGAGGAGTAAGGCAATTCAAAACAGAAAAGACCACAATCAAAAGCAAACCCAGGGCCGGACATGGTGGTTCACAACTGTATACCTAGCATTCGGGGTGGGTGGATCATTTGAGCCCAGGAGTTCTAGACTAATTGGGCAACATACCAAAACCCTGTTTCTACAAAATATACAAAAATCAGCTGGGTGTGGTGGCGCACGCCTGTAGTCCCAGCTACTGGGGAAGCTGAGGTAGGAGGATCACCTGAGCTCAGGGAAGTTGAGGCTGCAGTGAGCCATGATCACAGCAACTGCACTCCAGCCTGAGGGACAGGGCAATATCCTGTCTCAAAAACAACGACGACAACAACAAACCAAACCCAGGGCAGAAGCTGGAGCCGCAACCTCGATTTCAGCAAATCTGGAAATCAGGGCTCAGTAGGAACACCGGGGTGGGCTCCATAGCCTCCTTTTAGGTTAGTGACAAACGTGCTGGTCCCTGGACTCAGGAGATGCTTTCCCATGTTTCAGGACTGTGGCTGTGCAGCCACCCCTACAGAACACATTAGCCTCAGGCAGGGCACCAAGGCACTCCTGTGTTAAACCAGATAATAGCAGTTTTCCCCCAATTTGCTGGAATGTGAATATCATATTCCTCAAAGTTTTCCTTCATGCACTTTTCAACTTTTGTTGCCTGCTCTTCCTTGCCTGCTGATGAGCAGTCACAGTGACAAAAGGAATTTAAAAACCGCAAAACAGTATCAATGGATGACTTGACAGCAGCTGATGAAGTATACTTCATTGGAGAGCTTCATTTTAATTGCCAAGCGCTGTTTGCATTCAGTTTAGATGATGAAAATTAAACATACTAATTTCTGTTTTTTTTCTGTGAAGAGCACTCTAACTGCCAGGCCCTCTGATTTCTCAGTCTGAGAACTTTCTTTAGGCCCCTGGTCTGAAGGTAGCTCTAAGCAGCCTTAGGGTGGACTAGAGATTCTCAGCAGAACTAAATACAATGTAGACTTTCTATTTTTGGTCATTCTGACCCCAGTCCCTATAGGGAAACCTGAGCAGTTGCTTGGCACACATTTTATCAGTAGCTGCTCTAACCATTCCAATTTGCTCCATCAGTTCCTTCTGGTCAAATTCCCACTGTATGGCCCTGGTCCAGCCCATCACTGCCTCTTGCCTGGATTACTGAGGCAGCCTCCCCGCACAGCCTCCACTGAATATTCTCATTCTCCTTCAGCCTATTCTCAACCCACCACCCAGAGTCACACAGATAAAACCTAAGTCAGACTGTGCTGCTCCTGTATGCAAAACCCTGCCTGGCTTCTTACCTCTCAGACTAAAACCCAGGTGTGAAACGCCAGGGCTGCCATCCACGCTCTGCCGTCTGTGGCCTCCTGACTCCCTTCCTACTGCTCCCCACCCCTCCCACTGTGCCCCAGCTGCACCTGCACCCGTAATGCCTGTAACACACCAGGCAAACTCCTGCCTGTGGTTCCCTCTGCCAGAATATTCATCACCGATACCCACTTGGCTCACTCCCACACCTCCACCCAGTGCTCTTCCCCGGCTGCCCTACCCACACGCCCTAGCCCCATTGCCCCCTTGCCCTCATCACCACTGCACATACTACATACTTTATTTACTTGTTTATTTTCTGCCACCCCCAGTGGAAGGCAATTTCCACTAAGAGGTGTGATATATGTGTTTGTTTTCTGGTTCACGGATCCGTGAACGCTGGTTCAACCTGTATTTATGGAATAAATGACAAAGTCCTGCTAACCCATGCCAGGGGCTGCCATGAGAATCCTGGACACGACAACTTGCGTGATGGCTTGTTTCGCAGCGTTCGCCGACTCCCCCAAGCGGTTCCCATTCTCATCCGTGACGGGAATGCCAACTTTGAGTTCCCTGCAGAGCAAAACACATACAGAGAGCTCCACCAATGCCTTCAATAAACGTCCTGAAATAGTACTATGTTGGGAAAGATCAACCCTCTACTTAATTCAAATACCCACTCAAGTGTCATTTTTGGTACTGACACATCTGTTTTTTTTTTTTTTTTTTTTTTTTTTTTACAGTCTCACTCTGTTGCCCAGGCTGGAGTGTAGTGGTGGCTATCTCCACTGACTGCAACCTCTGCCTCCCGGGTTCAAAGCGATTCTCCTGCCTCAGCCTCCCGAGTAGCTAGAATTACAGGCATGTGACAGTGTGCCGGCCAATTTTTGTATTTTTAGTAGAGACGGGGTTTTGCCATGTTGGCCAGGCTGGTCTTGAACTCCTGACCTCAGGTGATCCACTCGCCTCGGCCTCCCAAAGTGCTGAGATTACAGGTGTGAGCCACTGCGCCCAGCAGACACATCTATTTTTAAATACCATGGATAAGTTTAATCCTCCTTTGATAGAAATAAAAGTAAAACAACACTAGTAAACTTTTAAAACAGGGTGTACCTTTTTCAGGAACAATATGATTCAAAGGGTGGACACACTAACTTCAATCTATGCTCATGTGCAAATTTGAGCAACTTTCCAAATGAGAAACAGATATAATACACAGCATTATTAAGTCAACAAACTTAATATGCTGACATGGAAACAGTCACTCGCACATGGCCCTACTGTATATTTATTAACTATATTTACTAACACTAAGTATAACTTCTACCGTTACCCCTGTTTTTCGTTATCCATTCCAAAATGCTTTTGTTGTTCTTTCTTCTCCTTTAATTTTTGCCAGTTCTACAACAATACTTCCAAAGATATAGAATAATGTACTTTAAGCCCCAAAAGAAAATTCTGGAGAAAAAAAAGGAATCTATTTTAGAGAATAAACTTTCTTTGGATAGACTTTGTCCAACCCAAGCACAACTCAATGTAAGCTTGAGATATATCTTTTAAACTTTTTATTATACGGACATAGAAAGACTATTCCAGCATCAGCCCCCTCCCCGCACTCCTCAGTCTGCTTCAATAATCAGTAACTCATCGCTAAGCTTGTTTTCTCAAGACGCCCATCCTCATCCCCAACCCCAGAGTATTTCAAAAGAAATCCAAGATCTCATATAATTTCACCTATACATATTAAAACAAGCATTTGAAAGTTTCAACAAAGCTAATTATTACAAGAGACTCTCCTGTCAAGCACATGTCCCTACTAAGAGTGCATATTCGTCTTACCTTTGCCTCATTAATGGAATATTAATGCAATTAGCAGCAGCTACGGCAGCAAAGGGAACAAAACGTCCTATCAGTGGTGAGACATGCTGCAGAGGAGAAAATTTCAAGAGCTTTATCTTATTTTTCCTGTACTAGTAAATGGAAATAACTTATTTCTTCTTGAAAACTCTGAAAAATGCAGAGTCCCATTTGCATAGAAACTCAGGCCAAGAATGCTTTCAAAACTTTTCCTAGCAGTATTTGTATATTTCCCACATGGGTGTGCTGGGACCATGCAAGCTTCTAAGGCCTTGTAGCTAAGTGTGGTTGCAGGAGTATGGGCTTTGGAGTGGGGAGAGAGAGAGAGAGAGAGAGATGCTCTTGCCTCTCTTCAGAGCTGTGGCCTGAGGCACACTGCCCTCTGCAATGCCTCTGGTGGGCTGTCAGGATGGGTGAACATTTAGCACTTCGTACACAGAGTCAGGCACAGACCACAGTCCTGGTAGGTGTTACTGGTGACAACTCTTCCCAAACTTATTGGAAGATATAACTAAAATATGCAGCTGAAGATAAGCACTATAACAAGAAAGCCATATGACTTGAACTAGTTTAAGAAATAATAGAGGGATTTAGAGCCAGGCAGGTGATAACAAATTAAACAGCTTTATTATGGAAATAAAAATCTGAGTACCTTGGTCAATGCATTGAGTCCTAGAGCTGTTGCTACGGCACCAGTTGTTGCAGAAACGTAAGCTGTTCCCAACTCACTGAAAAGAAAAAAGGATATCGTGTGGACGACGAGGGCATGTCAGGAAACTCTGGTGCAACATTATTTGAAGAAATAAAAGGGAAATATAAAAGAGCATGATTCAGAATGAAGAGTCTACAAAACAACATTCACTATCACTCCACAAGTAGGGGAATCTAGAGAAAAAGCAAGCAGATCCATAAACAATGGGATTCTTCACACGTATCTTGACTATAACTCCAAAAAAGTAGACATGTATTCTTTGAAGTGAGTTGGTTAAAATAAATAAATAAACATACAGACTTTGTATTCGTGAGAAGGAGGGGAGCTGTGTGTAGGAAGCTATGAATACAGGGGAATGCATATTGGGCTAAATGTTTGGGGCATATTTGCTTAAAAATATTTCTCAAAATATTAATATACACACTGAAAGCAAAAATGAAGTGCTGCCATTTAAAAAATGATATCTTAACTGTATAAAAATACTAAGTCTTATCATCCAAAAACTATAAAGCCCAAGCAATTCTCTCTTCTTTTAAAAGAAATTTTAATTGCAATAAACACCACTTGGCTGCAGATTTCAAGATCCTTTGTTCCATATAACAATAGTAGAAGAATATGTGTTGTCAAAAGCAATTTTAAGTGATAAAAAAGAGAAGCACTTTTCTTTCAAGTGTAATACAATTATGCTAACTAACGTTTTTGGTTAACTAATCTTGTGAGCCTATTTTTTTTTTAACAGGTGACAAAAAATTAAAACTCATTGCTTTCTTTTGGACTCCACAGATGAGCTATTTTAAAAACATATCAGATATAAAGTTCACACCGCCATGGTCTCCCCTTGATTTCTGCAGAGACCACACTTTGTCTCCTCTACTCTTAACGTTGGTGTCTGTCAACTCAGGCAGGGTAGATGGCGGAACAGCCTGTCACTTATCAGAGGCCAGGCCGGTGCTGCCTGCCATGTGTTCTACAGGGCCATGAGCTCCAGGGTGAGAAGGAGGTAACATCCTACCAGTACCTCCAAAGGCACGAGTAATGTCTGAGAAGGCAGGCTGGAAGAAGACTGTTTTCTTGATAGGGAGAGAGAAAATGAAACACTTTACTTTAAAAAAGAAAAAAGCTACAAAAAAGGATGCTACATAATATTCTGAACAATATAAAAATATGCACACATAGGCTTTTTTAAACAGGAGAGTATCACCACTTAATAAAATGAAGGTTGAAGAACTGCAGAGAGTGGTCAATTCTCGTAGCCTTACTTGACAGTGAGGGGTGCGTCTCCACTTCTGTTGGTGTAATTGACGACGGCATTGAAGGACTGGTTAATCCACTGCCAGAACAGCACAGCCGGCGTAGTCCTAAAACAGAGGCATCCGTCACATACCCACCATCACTGGGCCCAGCCGCGGCATGGAACAGAAAACGTGAACACCAGTAACCAGAGAGGAGACGTACTGGGGAAGGGAGAAAGCCATAAGGCCACACAGGCTTAGGATCTGTGTGCTGGGCAAGCTTTTATCCTCTGGGATCATCAGTTTCCTCATTCCGTAGATATAGATAACACCAAGCTCAGAGGGTTACTATGAGGATGAAGTAAGATAAAATTTGTAGAGAGCCTGGTACAGAATAGACATTCAATAAATGCCAGATCCCTTCTCTTGGGGAAAAAAGATACAATTTGTAGGCTAAGCGGTCCTGGGCCCTCCTAACAGCACTTGCAATGCTATATGTCTATGTCTACACATACACCTTTAATGTGCCTATATCTACACTTATACCTATACCTATATCTATATGAATGGAGTCAAAGGAGAATTTGCCTGCAGACTCTTTATTTTCCTTCTCCACTTCATTCTCTTTTGGGGCTAAGATTTAGAAAAAAAATTCAACCTCCTTTTGAACAACTAAGAAGATGCTATTTAGCAGAGGGGAAGGGTTAAAAAAAAAAAGAGTCCCAGAGTAGCAACATTCAAACATAATGGAACTAAAAGTGAAATGACTTCTTTTCTTTTACATCAATAATACCCCATTTTTTGTTTTTTATTGTCTTCAATTTTATTTTTTATTGTATATACTAAAGGAGTTCAACATGATGTTTTGATTCATAAGTACATTACGGAATGATTCAATCAAGCTAATTACCTTGTTTGTCACTTCATATACTTATGAAATAATACTTATTTCAACAAAATTATTTACATACAAAAATATACTTTGAGCTTCTGTAATGGTAAACACACTGTTGCTACATATTCATAACATACCTGTAAAACGTCATCATACAACCTGTGATGGTCATGTTCATGGGAACCTGGGCTGACATTCTTCCTATCAAAATCATCTTCTCACCAGTGTCAGGATGAAAAGCTGAATCATAGATGTACTTTGCTCTCCACAATTCATTTTCTGTAAGACCAGGAGGAACAATTCCTTGCCTAAGAAAACAACAAATAATATGGCAATTGCTCATTTCAAATATCTCCCCAGTGTCCTAGAGACAAGTGGCTACAAGGTTTTAAAAGTTTATGCTCTGGCTGGGTGTGGTGGCTTACGTCTGTAATCCCAGCACTTTGGGAGGCTGAGGCAGGTGGATCACAAGGTCAAGAGATAGAGATCATCCTGGCCAAGATGGTGAAACCCGTCTCTACTAAAGATACAAAAATTAGCCGGGTGCGGTGGCACCCGCCTGTAATCCCAGCTACTCAGGAGGCTAAGGCAAGAGAATTGCTTGAATCTGGGAGGCAGAGGTTACAGTGAGCCAAGATCGCACCATTGCACTCCAGCCTGGTGACAAAGCGAGACTCTGTCTCAAAAAAAAAAATTTATGCTCACCTAAAACACTTGTGCCTAGATGGAGTGACAAATTTGTTACATATAGTCAGTAAAAATTTCAAAACATACAGGACAATAAACACTTAAAATGAACATTTCAGGCTGGGCGCGGTGGCTTATGCCTGTAATCTCAGCACTTTGGGAGGCTGAGGCAGGAGGATTGCTTGAGCCCAGGAGTTCAAAACCAGCCTTAGCAACATGGTGAGACTCTGTCTCTATAAAAAAATAAAAATAAATAAAAACTAGTCAGGCATTGTGGCATATGCCTGTGGTCCCAGCTACCTGGGAGGCTGAGGCAAGAGGATCACTTGAGCCCGGGAGGTTGAGGCTGCAGTGAGCAGTCATCATACCACTGTACTCCAGCCTGGGCAGAGAAAGACCCTCTCAAAAAAAAAAAAAAAAAAAAAAAAAATCAAATCTATTCATCTCAAATTATCTGTAGTTTGGAAAAGCCAGAAAAGAAATTATATATAGGGAATAGGAAAGCATTCAATTTTGAAATATTCTTCAAGTGACATATTTTATAATGTATTTTGAATTTGTAAACTCTAAAATACTTTAAACAATTAGACAAAAGTTATGGTAATCAAGGATATTAATTCATTTTTATACCTATAGAATGAAAAGCTAGTTCAGGAAGAATTTTTTTTTTTTTTTTTTTAAAGACAGGGTCTCACTCTGTCACCCAGGCTGGAGTGCAATGGCATGATCTCAGCTCACCGCAGCCTTGAACTGCTGAGCTCAAGTGATCCTCCCACCTCAGTTTCCTGAGTAGCTAGGACTATAGGCATGCGCCACCATGCCTGGTTAATTTTTTTGCATTTTTTGTAGACACAGGATTTCACCATGTTGCCCAGGCTGGTTCTGAACTCTTGGGCTTAGGCGATCTGCCTGCCATGGCCTCCAAAGGGCTGGATTACAGGCGTGGGCCACCATGCCCAGCCTCAGAAGACTCTTGATGAAAAAAAAATTAGGTGCCTCATTCTTTACTTCTTCTCTTTATCAAAGAAGCACGTATTCATTGTCAAAAATTGAGAAAAAACAGGAATCCATTAGAGCAATTAAAATCACTCAAGTCTTTACCTACTCATCTCCACTGGTAATGTTTTCATGCATGTATTTTCAGTCTCTCCTCTAGAAGCTAAATGTGATGTGTTTACTTAAAGGCATCACACCAGACCTGCTGCTTTATAACCACCTTCTTTACTCAGTAATATACTGTAAACATTTCTCTCTGTCTTCAGATATTCTTCTATATAATCTATACTGGGTTGAACAGTGTCTCCCCCAAAATTCATGTCTCACCTGCAACCTCAGAATGTGACCCTATTTGGAAATGGGATCTTTGCAGATGCAATTAGTTCAAATGCCAAACGGCATACTGGATTAGAGTGGTCCCTAAATCCAATGAATGGTGTCCTTATAGGAAGGCCATGTGCAATCAGACACAGAAGAAGGCCAAGTAATGAAGGAGGCAGAGATGACAGCAATGTACCCATAAGCCAAGGTGCATCAAAACATTCCTAGAGCCTCTAGAACCTTGGAAGCCCCAAGGAAGGATTCTTAGAGGGAGCATGGCCCTGTTGACACCTTGATATCAGACCTTGAGCCTCCATAACTGTGAGGCTCAAGTTGGTGGCAATTTGTTATGGCAGCCTTAAGAAATTAATAGGCTGGGCATGGTGGCTCACGCCTGTAATCCCAGCACTTTGGGAGGCCAAGGTGGGTGGATCACGAGGTCAGGAGTTCAAGACCAGACTGGCCAACATGGTGAAAACCCGTCTCTACTAAAAATACAGAAATTAGCCAGTGCAGTGTCAGGCAACTGTAATCCCAGCTGCTCAGGAGGCTGAGGCAGGAGAATCACTTGAACCTGGGGGGCAGAGGTTGCAGTAAGCTGAGATTGTGCTACTGCACTCCAGCCTGGGCAACAGAGTGAGACTCTGTCTCAAAAAAAAAAGAAATGAATACACCAACTTTTTAAGTACTGTATAGTATTCTCCTACATGATTATAAGATACTGTAATATATACCAATCTCCTAGTGTTGGGCATATTAATTGCTTCTAATTTTACTCCATTTGTAAAGGATGAGGAAGTAAATAAACCCTCATACATAAATCTATCCCCACATCCAAGATTATTCTGAAAGAAATGAGTAAATATGCTGGAACAAAAGCTATGTACAACATTAAAACTTTGGCTATGTCTTCTATCTTTTTTCTCTACTTGACTAGTCTTTTTTTAAAAAATTACCATCCACAGCAGCATCATTGTTATTTATGTAATTTGTACGCGTATTTTATACACTGCGATTAACCCCAATTTTTATTTTTTTGGTTGTGTTATCTGCTGTCCTGAAAATTATTATTTTTATGTAATCAGGTAGGAATAAAGTTTCTATCTAGAAAGATTATACAAATGTTCACCGATATTTCTAGCATTCTCAGAATAGTTGTTTTCTTTTTGTCATTTAGGTTTTTAATGAATTTGGAATTTATCTTAATATGAAAATGTGGACCGAGCACAATGGCTTACGCCTGTAATCCCAGCACTTTGGGAGGCCGAGACGGGCAGATCACCTGAGGTCAGGAGTTTGACACCAGCCTGGCCAACATGGTGAAATCCCATCTCTACTAAAAAATATAAAACTTAGCTGGGCATGGTGGCAGGCGCCTATAATCCCAGCTGCTCGGAAAGCTGAGGCAGAATTGCTTGAACCCGGGAGGCAGAGATTGCAGTGAGTCAAGACAGTGCCACTGCACTCCAGCCTGGGCAACAAGAATGAAACTAAGTCTCAAAAGAAAAGAAAAGAAAATGTGAAACATTCTTAACTTTCTCTTTTGGCTGGCCTGCATCAGTTGAGAGTTTGTGAATACCAGCCTTGATTTCTAGACTTTCTATTGTGTTTCCACTTATCTACATATTCTGATGCCAATACCCACCATTTTAACTTGACAGTCAATTTTAATCTTGGGTAGAGCAACCGTCCCACACGCTATTCTTCTTTTTCTTTTTCTAAGATGCCTTATACTAATTTATTCTCCCAGATAAACCTTAGAATTATTATTATTATTATTATTATTATTATTATTATTGTGATGGAGTTGCACTCTTGTCGCCCAGGCTGGAATGCAATGGCGTGATCTTGGCTCACTGCAACCTCCGCCTCCTGGGTTCAAGCAATGCTCCTGCCCCGGCCTCCTGGGTAACTGGGATTACAGGCACCCGCCACCACATTCAGCTTTTTTTTTTGTATTTTTAGTAGAGATGGGGTTTCACCATGTTGGCCAGGCTGGTCTTGAACTCTTAACCTCAGGTGATGCCCCTGCCTCGGCCTCCCAAAGTGCTGGGATAACAGGCATGAGTCACTGCACCCGGTCAGAATTATTTTATCAGTTTTACAGGTGACCACAGTTGTAATTTGACTGAAATCGTATTAATCTGGAGACAACTGACACCTCTACAATCTCCAGCCTTTCTCCCCAGGCCTACTGCACATTTCTCCATTTACTCAAACTTAACATGATTCCAAATGTTTTCATCATTGACGCAAATTTCTGGGTGCGTTTCTTCCCAAGTACTTTACATTTTTAAAAAATTGTTCTGGCCGGGTGCGATGGCTCATGCCTGTAATCCCAGTACTTTGGGAGACCGAGGCAGGTGGATCATGAAGTCAGGAGATCAAGACCATTCTGGCTAACACTGTGAAATCTCGTCTCTACTAAAAATACAAAAAATCAGCTGGGCGTGGTGGCGGGCGCCTGTAGCCCCAGCTACTCAGGAGGCTGAGGCAGGAGAATGGCGTGAACCCGGGAGGCAGAGCTTGCAGTGAACCAAGATCGCGCCACTGCACTCCAGCCTGGGCGACAGAGCAAGACTCCGCACCCTCCCCGCCCAAAAAAAATTGTTCTTATGAAGTGAATAAAAAACAATGTCTAATTGCTTGTTGCTTTTATACAGGAAACTACCATTGTGTCTATTATAAATAGCCCCCTCATTGTATTTTAATTTGTTCTATGGTTGTTCAGTTGGTTATGGTCTCTTCTTTTTTTTTTTTTTGAGATGGAGTCTTGCTCTGTTGCCAGGCTGGAGTGCAGTTATGCAATGTTGGCTCACTGCAACCTTCACCTCCCAGGTTCAAGCGATTCTCCTGCCTCAGCCTCTGGAGTACCTGCGACTACAGGTGTGCGCCACCACGCCCGGTTAGTTTTTGTGTTTGTAGTAGAGACGGGGTTTCACCATGTTGGCCAGGCTGGTGTTGAACTCCTGACCTCAGGTGATTTGCCTGCCCTGGCCTCCCAAAGTGCTGGGATTACAGGCGTGAGCCACCTCGCCTGGCCGAGTATTCTCATACATATTACATACATTATGGAAAAAAAACAAAGGGCTCATGTCCAAGTTTGGGAAAAATGATTAAGCAGCTTTATTTTCACTCCTGGACTTTTTGGAAACTTCGAACAGTTAATAGAATGTGACATTCTCAAGAGTGGAATGCAAACTTTCTCAAATTTGACTACCAAAATCCTCTCCCTTTTTCTCTCTGCCTCTCTTGATCCCTCTCTCCCTTCCCCCACCCCCCTCTTTTCTTTCTTTAAGTATTCCATAGGATCCCTTTTTTTTTTTTTTTTTGAGATGGAGTGTCACTCTTGTTTCCCAAGCTAGAGTGCAATGGCGCAATCTCGGCTACTGCAACCTCTACCTCCCAGGTTCAAGCAATTCTCCTGCCTCAGCCTCCCGAGTAGCTGGGATTACAGGTGCGTGCCACCATGCCTGGATAATTTTTTGTATTTTTAGTAGAAACGGGGTTTCACCATGTTAGCCAGGCTGGTCTCGAATTCCTGACCTCTGGTGATCCACTTGCCTTGGCCTCTCAAAGTGTTGGGATTATGGGCGTGAGCCACCACGCCCGGCCAGGGTTCCTTTCCTTTAGAGGTCTTTTTGGGAAGTTCAGCTCTAGTGTTCCATTATTTCGTGCATTGCTCACTACTGATGTGGGATATGCATTCTTCATAATTAAAGAAGTACCACCCATTATGCCTAGCTGATTAATTATTTTATGGGAAATAGATATATAATTTTACCTTCTTTTGGGCATCTATCAAGATGTGGCTTTTTTGCTCTGACATATTGATGTGATAAATTACACTAATAAATGTCCTAAATATAAATCACCTTTTCATTCTCGGAATAAATTCTACCAGTTCATGTTTTAACACAAGGTTGGATGCTATGTGTTGGTGTTTTACTTTGGATTTTTGCATTATCAATTTGTAAGACAGGCCACTGTTTCTTTTTGTATTTTTTAAATCATTTATTGTATCAGGGTTGCAATGAATCGGGAAGCATTTCCTTTTTTTCTATGATCTTGTAACATTTTAAAATTAAATCAGCTTTATTGAGGTATAATTTAAATACCATAAAAGTCATCCACTTTAAGTGTCCAATTTGCTAAGTTTTGAAAAAATATACTCAGTGGTGTAACCGCCCCGGAATTGTGGTACAGGATATTTCCATGTCTCCAACAGTTCCCTTGGGCCCCTCTGGAGTTATTTCCTCACTTCCTGCCAACCAATGGATCTGTTTTCTAACACTATATTACCTTTTCAAGAATTTCACACAAATGGAATCATACAGTGAGTAGATACATATTTTGTGTATTTTGTGTCTGACCTCTTTGACTTTGCATAACACTTTTGAGAAGCACCCTGTTGTTTATATGAGTTGGTTAATCTGTTCGATGGATGGATGTACCAGTTATTTATTTATTTATTATTATTATTATTATTATTTTGAGATAGAGTTTTGTTCTTGTTGCCCAGGCTGGAGTGCAATGGCGTGATCTTGGCTCATCGCAACCTTTGCTTCCCGGGTTCAAGCGATTCTCCTGCCTCAGCCTCCCAGGTAGCTGGGATTACAGGCATGTGCCACCATGCCCGGCTAATTTTTTATATTTTTAGTAGAGACATGGTTTCTCCATGTTGTCCAGGCTGGTCTTGAACTCCTGAGCTCAGGCAATCCTCCCGCCTCCGCCTCCCCAAGTGCTGGGATTACAGGCATGAGCCACTGTGCCCGGCCAGTACGTTATTTATCAATTCTCTTTTTAGTTATTCTGAAACTGCTTTTGCAAAATTATAACTAAGGAAATTATGACAGTGAAAGAAATCAGAACTAACTGACTCTATCTTGCTTGTAATCCTTAAGCTGTCCTTTTTCATTCCTGGGCATAGGCTGAACTAACCTTGGGAAGGAATTCAGTTCATGGTCTGGCTCTGAAACAAAATTGATAACACCCCCCAAGACCCCCTTCTTGCCTGGGGTCCAGTCTGTCTTTACAGGACTACCAAATTAGCTACAAGATCAGAAATTACAGTTTAGGGGTCATGCAGTCTCTGGCTCCAAGAATCTGAACCTCCCCAAATTGCTCCTGGGGCTAACATCACTGTATTGTAAAACCTAAGATCAGTGTTTGAGATATTTTGCACTTTGGATCAGCTGACACCATCCAGACCAGTAATCTGGCCCAACCAGTTCTGCCATCGCACCCAGGAAGAGAAGACATTAAAAAACCTTGCTTCAACCCTCTATGAGTCCATCTACAACCTGACCAACCAGCACTCCCCACTTCCCAAGCCCCTAGCCACCAAATTTTCTTCAAAAACTCTGATCACCGAATCAGTCGGGGAGACTGATTTGAATAATAATAAAACTCCGGTCTCCCTCACAGCCGGCTCTGCATGAATTCCTCTTTCTCCATTGCAATTCCCGTCTTGATAAATCGGTTCTGTCTAGGCAGCAGGTAAGGTGAACCCACTGGGTGATTACAAAGTCTAGTAGGTGAAGTAGGTGTGAAGTAGCATCTTCTTGTGGATTTGCATTTCCCTAGTAACTAATATGCTGAGCATAGTTCCATATGCTTACTTGCTATTCCTGTATCTTCTATGGTGAAGTGTCCTAAGTCTACTCAAATCTTTTGTCCATTTAAAAAAATTGGGTTGGGTAATTACTGGATGGATATAGTTCAAGTGATATAGTTCAATATTGATAAGAGTTCTTTATATCTTCTGGATACAAATCCTTTACGAGATACAAGTTTTGCAAATATTTTCCTTGTCTGTGAATTGCATTTTTATTTTCTAAACAGTGTCTTCTGTCATAAAAAGACTTTACTTTTGATGAAGTCCAATTTATCAGTGTTTTTCTCTTCTTTCCGTTTCAATTGATAATTGTCCATTCTTATATCTTATCTAAGAAATGTTTGCCCATACTGCCGGGCGCGGTGGCTCCCACTTGTAATCCCAGCACTTTCGGGGGCCGAGGCGGGCGGATAACGAGGTCAGGAGATCGAGACCATCCTGGCTAACACAGTGAAACCCTGTCTCTATTAAAAATACAAAAAATTAGCTGGGCGTGGTGGCACGTACCTGTAATCCTAGCTACTCGGGAGGCTTAGGCAGGAGAATAGCTTGAACCTGGGAGGCAGAGGTTGCAGTGAGCCAAGATCGCGCCACTGCACTCCAGCCTGGGTGACAGAGCGAGACTCTGTCTCAAAAAAAAAAAAAAAAAAAAAAATCTTTGCCCATATCAAAGTCATAAAGATTTTCTCCCATTTTCTCTAGAAGTTGAATAGTGTTAGCTAGTATATTTAGGTCTACTATCCATTTCAAGCTAAATTTTGTTTACAGGATGAGTTAAGCATCAAGATCCATTTTTTATACAAGAATCTAATTTTTCCAGAACTATTCATTGAACAGAGTATCCTTTCCTCATTGAATTATCTTGGCTCCTTTACATAAAATCAGTTAACTATACACATTTGTGCCTATTTCAGGATTCTCTTCTGTTACGTGGATCTAAATGTGTCTCCTTACAACAATGCTAAACTGTCGTTACTACGAGAGCTTTATAGTCAGTCTTAAGACCAGGTAGTGTGAGTTTCTCAGCTTCATTCTTTTTCAAAATTGTTTCCAATATTCTAGGCTCCCTGTATTTCCACATAAACGTTAGAAGTAGCTTGTCAGTGTCTAAAAAGAGCCTGCTGGGGTTTTGATGATTACAATGAATCTTACAACAATTTGGGAAGAGATGACATCTTAACAATATTGAGTCTTCCAATACAGGAACACTGTATATCTCTCCAGTTTTTAAAAAAACCCAAGCTCTGTTTTTTTCTCTGTAATTTGTGTGTGTGTGTGTGTGTGTGTGTGTGTGTGTGTGTGTGTGTGTGTGTGTTGGTGTACAGGCATTTTATATATTTTGTTAAAGTGATCTCTAAGTACTTAATATTTTTGTTGCTACTGAAAATGGTATTATTTTAAAAATTTCAAAATTACAGTTGTTAATTGCTACTAGATAGGAATGAAATTGATTTTTGTATATTGATCTTGTATCTTGTAACCTTACTAAACCCATTTATCCTAGTTGGTTTTTTTGTAAATTCTTTTTTTTGAGACAGAGTTTTCTCTTGTCACCCAGGCTGGAGTACAATGGTGCAATCTCAGCTCACTGCAACCTCCACCTCCCAGGTTCAAGTGATTCTCGTGCCTCAGCACCCCAAGTAGCTGGGATTACAGGCATGCACCACCAGGCCTGGCTAATTTTGTATTTTTAGTAGAGACAAGGTTTCACCATGTTGGCCAGGCTGGTCTTGAACTTCTGACCTCAGGTGATCCACCCGCCTTGGCCTCCCAGAGTGCTGGGATTACAGGCATGAGCCACTGCGCCTGGCCTGGTAAATTCTTTCTATATAGATGATCACGTTTTCTGTGAATAAGGAAAGTTTTACTTTTTCATTTCCTATCTTTGTCTTTTTTGAAAAAAAAAGTTTAAATTTTCTCTTATTGCCCTAGTTAGAACCTCTAGCACAATGCTGAAGAAAAGTTAACGAGAGCAGAAATCCTTGCCTTGCTCCCCAATCTTAGGAGGAACGTATTCATACTTTCACCATTAGGTTTGATGTTAGTCGTAGGGTTTTTGTAGTTGTACCTTCCCCTTCTATTCCTAGTTTGCTGACAGCTGTATCATGAATGGATGTTGGATTTTGTCTGCTTTTTCTGCATCTATTGATATGATAATACGGTTTTCTGTTTTAGTCTACTGATACAGTGATTTTTAAATGTTAAACCAATCTTGCATTCTTGTTATAACTCCACTTGAGTTCTGCTTATTTTGGGTATTGCCCTTTCCGGGTAGATTTGTTAAATTCTGTTAAGAATTTTTGTGTCTATGTTTATGAGGGGTGTTAGTCATTTTTCCTCTAATCCCTTTTTCTGGTTTTGCATCAGGGTACTTGTAGCTTCATGAAATGAATAATGAAGTGTTTCCTGACTCTTCTGCTTTCTGCTGGAGTTTGTGGTTTGATATCCCTTTTTTTTTTTTCTTGAGACAGAGTCTCACTCTGTTGCCCAGGCTGGAGTGCAGTGGTGCCATCTCGGCTCACTGCAACCTCCGCCTCCTGGGTACAAGCAATTCTCCTGCCTCAGCCTCCCGAGTAGCTGGGATAACAGGCATAAGCTACCACACTCGGCTAATTTCTGTATTTTTAGTAGAGATGGGGTTTTACCATGTTGGCCAGGATGGTCTCGAACTCCTGGCCTCAGGTGATTTGCCCGCCTCAGCCTCCCAAAGTGCTGGGATTACAGGCGTGAGCCATTGCGCCTGGCTGGTTTGATATTCTTCCTGTGAAAAAATTCTTTCTTTACCTGTGTAAAGCCATCTGGCCTTTGAGATTTTTGTGGGAAAGATTTTTATTTTATTACCATCTTGCTATTTGTTTTCTGTTTGTCTCATCTCCTCCTCATTCCTTTTCCCCTCTTTCCCTGCCTTCTTTTGGATTGAGTCAATTTTGGTAACCTATATACTGTATTCATAGAATGTTATATATTTCACTAAGATTTTTAAAATCTTTAGCAAAAAAGCTATACAGTAGGCTTTATTTTTATATTCTATTTCTCTGTTAGGTAGCTTTCTTACTCCTTTTGTTATATATTTTGAGTTTTATTTGTTTTCTTTAGAATGGTTAGACTTACCAGAGGCTTATCCTTTTCTGGATTTATCAAAGGACAATTTCTTACATTTATTTTTTAATCCTATTAATTAATTTCAGACTTTTAAAATGAACTCCTCTCTGTTTTGAAAAGCAGTGTATGTAGTAGTTAACAGCATGAACTCTGCGGTCAGATCGTCTGGATTTTAATCCTGGCTCTACCACCTACCGCAGCAGGATTCTGTTACCACCTCCGTTTCTTAATCTGAAAAATGGAAATAACATTATCTACCCTCAAAGGTTGTGAGGGTTAAATTAGTAAATGTGAAATGATTAAAGCCGTCAGTATCCAGCACTCAGGAAGTACCTTGCAGGGTTTACTATTTTCCTATTATTCTGCTGTTCTCTAATTTCTTAGGCTGGGTTCTCAGTTCATTCATTGTCAGCTTTTATTGTTTAATCACAGAGATATGTAAAGCTATAAACTTTCCTCAGAGTACAATTCCTTAAAGTTTCTTATTAATTTTCTCATTAATAAGATTAATAATTAATTTTCTCATTAATTTCTCATTGTTTTTACTTTGTGATTTTTTTGTTTTGATCAAAGAATTAAAACAGCATAAAAATTCTAGTGTGATTAGATGATCTATCAAAGATGATAAAAGGTATGTTAGAATTTCCTACTACAATTGTGGTTTTTTTTTTTTTTTTTTTCTTTTTGAGACGGAGTTTTGCTCTTGTCACCTGCGCTGGAGTGCAGTGGCGCAATCTCGGCTCACTACAACCTCCGCCTCCTGGGTTCAAGCAATTCTCCTGCCTCAGCTTCCCCAGTAGCTGGGATTACAGGTGCCCGCCACCTCACCCAGCTAACTTTTTGTGTTTTTTGCACAGACAGGATTTCACCATGTTGGCCAGGCTGCTCTCGAACTCCTAACCTGAGGTGATCTACCCGTCTCGGCCTCAAAAAGTGCTGGGATTACAGGTGTGAGTCACTGCGCCCGGCCCTGTGATTGTGTTTTAATCAAGTTCTATTTGTATTGCTAACCACCCTTTCTTTGTATATTTTGATGGAACACCACTGGCTCATGAATACTGTCTGTTCGGCATTCACTATATCTTTATCAATATCAAAATATTTGGATCTATTTGCCCAGAATTGTAATTTCCTACTTTTTATTTGCAATTACCTTTGTCCTGCTTTTTAATGTTAGCCATTTTTATTACTTTCTTTTTGGTTCATATAGCATTGTTCAAATAGCATTGTGGGTATCCCACTAGAACTATATATTGGCAGTCATACTTAAAACATGATACCTCTTCAACCCTAACTAGCCCTTGAACTAATCTCCCCTGAAGGCTCATGGCTGATTTATCTCTTGATGGGGAGGTAGGAAACTCTGAGTTATTTCTTACATACTGATTTAACAACTGGCTTACTGATTTATATATATAAAAGTATATAGGCGAGGCATGGTGGCTCACGCCTGTAATTCCAGGACTTTGGGAGGCTGAGGTGGGCAGATCACTTGAGTTCAGGAGTTGAAAACCAGCCTGGCCAACATGGTGAAACACCGTCTTACTAAAAACATGAAAATTAGCTGGGCATGATGGCAGGTGCCTGTAATTCCAGCTACTTGGGAGGCTGAGGCAGGGAGAATTGCTTGAACCCGGGAGGCAGAGGTTACAGTGAGCTGGTGTGCCACTGCACTCTAGCCTGGGTGACCGAGCAAGACTCCATCTCAAAAAAAAAAAGAAAGAGTATCTATCAGCACAGAACCTAACAAATACCCCAAAGCTAATTTGGAACAGGCCTAGGCAATTTATCACCCAGACTTTAAGGGTCTATATGCTCTAAAAAGGTGAAGAGAAAAAAAAAGGGAGACATTTAGGGATTCTTGGAAAAATGTACTGTAATTTCGTAAGTACAATTACATCATGCAAGCTTCAGGTATTCTAAGTGGGATGTCATATCATCACTGAGCTTTTTAAGTGTTTCCACCCAATTTTAAAGTCTTTGATTTGATTTTTAAAATTTTTAATTTGTTGTTATGTTAGTAAATTATTAAGGCTTACAATTTTCTGTTCATGCATATTCTACTAACTTTAAAATGAAACATGTTAATGCATTTATTGAATATAGTAAGGAGCAAAATCATGTATATTTCTGAGTTTTGTTCCTATTTGAGACAAGATGTTTTAATTCTTCCATTTCCTTTTTGTTTTTTGACACTATAATCTAGGGCTTTAGATTCAGATAGCTATTACTATTTTTTTTTTTGAGATGGAGTCTCACTCTGTTGCCCAGGCTGGAGTGCAGGGAGCGATCTCGGCTCACTGAAACCTCTGCCTCCCGGGTTCAAGTGATTCTCCTGCCTCAGCCTCCCGAGCTGGGATTATAGGTGCGCGTCACCATGCCTGGCTATCTATTACAATTTTTTATAAAACACTTTTAAGGCCGGGAGTGGTGGCTCACGCCTGTAACCCCACCACTTTGGGAGGCTGAGGAGGGCGGATCACTTGAGGTCAGGAGTTTGAGACCAGTCTGACCAACATGGAGAAAGTCCATCTCTACTAAATACAAAATTAGCCAGGTGTGGTGGTGCGTGCCTGTAATCCCAGCTACTCGGGAGGCTGAGGCAGAAGAATCGCTTGAACCTGGGAGGCGGAGGTTGCTGTGAGCCGAGATTGCGCCACTACACTCCAGCCTGGGCAACAAGAGCGAAACTCCGTCTCAAAAAAAAAAAAAAGCCACTTTTAATCTCTTTTATTCTATACAGTATTTCATACTAGAGATACAACTATTTCTATGTGTTTCAACATTCATCACTTGTCTATTTATATGACTTTCTTATATGTTTCTTTTTTTATTGTAGTAAAAGATTCGTAACATAAAATTTACCATTTTAACCCTTTTTTTTTTTTGAGACGAAGTCTTGCTCTGTTGCCCAGGCTGGAGTGCAGTGGTGCGATCTCAAGTCACTGCAACCTCCGCCTCCCGGGTTCTAGTGATTCTCCTGCCTCAGCCTCCTGAGTAGCTGGGATTATAGGCGTGCATCACCATACTCGGCTAATTTTTGTATTTTTAGAAGAGACGGGGTTTCACCATGTTGGTCAGGCTGGTCTCAAACTCCTGACCTCAAGTGATCCTCCCACCTTGGCCTCCCAAAGTGCTGGGATTACAGGCATGTGCCACCACCCCCAGCCATTTTAACCATTTTTAAGTATACAATTCTGTGGCATTAAGTACATTCACATTATTGTGTGGTCATCACCACTATCCATGTCTAGAACATTTTCATCTTCCCCAACTAAAACTTTGTCCCCATTAAACACTAACTCCCCATTCCCTCTTCCCCCAGCCCCTGGCAACTTCCCCTCTACTTTCTGTCTCTGAATTTGACTACTCTAGGTACCTCATATAAATGAAATCACACAATATTTGTCCTTTTGTGACTAGCTTATTTTACTCAACATAATGTCTTCATGATCAACCATGTTGTAGCATGCATCAGAATCTCCTTCCTTTTGAAGGCTGAATGCTATTTCATTGTATGGGATTCCACTGTATGGCGGGAGCACATTTGTTCATCCACTCATCTGCTGACGGACACCTGGGTTGCTTCCAACTTTTGGCTACTGTGAATAATGCTGCTATGTACATGAGTGTACAAGGATCTGTTCGAGTTCTTGCTTTCATTTCTTTCAGGTATATTCCCAGAAGTGGAACTGCTGGGTCACACGGTGATTCATGTTTCACTGTCTGAGGAATCACCTTATATTATGGCTTATTTTTTTTAACTCTATTTGGTATTATCTTTTGACCACCCAAGAAGGGTTTATGAAGAGTTTATGTTTGATGCACTTGCATATTTTACATATTTTTTCTTTTTTTTTTTTTTAGGTGGAGTTTCGTGCTTGTTGCCCAGGCTGGAGTGCAGTGGCATGATCTCGGCTCACTGCAACCTCTGCCTCCCAGGTTCAAGCGGTTCTCCTGTCTCTGCCACACAAGTAGCTGGAATTACAGACATGCACCACCACGCCCAGCTAATTTTTTGTACTTTTTTTTGTAGAGACGGGGTTTTACCATGTCGGCCAGGCTGGTCTCGAGCTCCTGACCTCAGGCGATCCACCCACCTTGGCCTCCCAAAGTGCTGGGATTATAGGCATGAATCACTGTGCCCGGCTGCACTTGCATATTTTCTGTTGCTGTCGCAAATAAAGATGATCTATTGTGAAATTCCCAAGTGACAACTCTCTCCCCTGAGAACTTGGCACACATCGCTTACTATCTTCAGGCATTCAGCGTAGAGATGAAAAGATTGAGCCCTTTCTGACATGTTCCTTTTTAATAGCTTTTCGTTGTTTTCCTGTTCATGGATGCTTCTGGAAGTTTTAAAAGTTTATAGAAAAAACAAAAGGAAAAAAATTGCCATGTGTGGGTGTGTCTGCTTGAAATAGGGCAGGTCTCTTTAATTAGAGAAATGGTTTTCCTCACCTGAGGAAAATTCCATTTTACTTTCTGTTGCTATGAAATATATTTAATATTGCTTATTTGCATTTTTCTAGTTTCTCTTTTAGGAGCACCAATTAATTTTATCTTCAGTCTCCATTCTCTTTTCCTCTTACAGAGTCTTTTTCGTACCCTTCTTTTCCATCTATATCAGGGATTGGCAAACACCAGTCCACGGCCTGGCCTGTTTCTCTATGCCTGTGAGCTCAGAATAGCTTTTATGGTTTTAGAGGGTTGTAAAAACAAACAAGAATATGTGACAAAGAATGCATGGCCTGTAAAGCCTAAAATACTTGTCGTCTGGCCCTTTACGGAAAAAGTTTGCCGACCTCTGTTCTTCACCCCGGCAAGCTTCTCAGGTTCATTCTCTCTATCGGTAATTGTACTTTTTCTTACGTGTAATTTCTGATGTTGGTCCTTTACCACTGCCTCCAGTAAACATTTCAATTTCAATTACATTTGTACGTTCTTGGCAATCTTCCTTATGCCATCTTCTTTTCAACCATGCAGTTGTCTTTTCATCTCAACTTCTCTGCTTTCTACGGCTTTTGCCTGTCTTCACTATTTTCTCGTAAGGTTCCAGGATGTTCTGCTGTTCGTTTATCTGCTGTTTGTGTATTCCCTCTTTACGCACATTGGCACATGGCAGAACTTGGCCAGACTCAGTGTTTATTGACTGTCGTCGGTTCTCTCTCTACCTAGATGATGGTTAAGGACCTGCTTCTGATGTGTCACTTCTGGGCATGTTTAGGCACAAAGCTTCTAGCAATCCAATCCCCAGCTTTGGATTGACTTTCCCCCAGTGCAGGAGTCAGCAAACTACTGTTCGTGGCCTGTGTGCCCTGCCAGGTAAGAGTGGTTTTTACATCTTTTTTTTTTTTTAGATGGAGTTTCGCTCTGTCGCCCAGGCTGGAGTGCAGTGGCGAGTGGCACGATCCTGGCTCACTGCCGGCTCTGCCTCCTGGCTTCATGCCATTCTCCTGCCTCAGCCTCCCGAGTAGCTGGGACTACAGGCGCCCGCCACCATGCCTGGCTAATTTTTTGTATTTTTAGTAGAGACGGGGTTTCACCGTGTTAGCCAGGATGGTCTCGATCTCCTGACCTCGTGATCTACCCACCTCAGCCTCCCAAAGGGCTGGGATTACAGGCGTGAGCCACCGTGCCCAGCGGTTTTTACATTTTTTTAAAGGATTGTTAAACAAACAAAAAAACACAAATAAAAACTTAAGAATAATATGTGACAGAGATCCACAAAGGCTGAAATAGTTCCTATATGATCTTTTACAGAAAAAGTGGCCAACTGCTGCCTTGGAATATCTCTACACCGGTAGCATCTTCTCCTCCCTCCCGCATGGTTCTCTCAACTGATGGCGTGCATCCCACATCTGCATTCCCTGTAGGCATTGCCACCAGCACCCTTCCCATCTGAGCTCCTACCTACAGGACTTTACTTACTGGGCCTATAACTCAGAAGGAACCAACCTACCCCTGATTCTTGGCAATTTGTTTTTGCATAATGCTGTTTCTGTTCAGAGACAGAAAAATGCACGGAGGGGTTGTGGATGTCGTAGTGGAGGTGGTGGTGCTATCGGAGAACAGAAGGCAAGCTGCCAGGAGAAAGGGATTGGTATCTACAACTAAGAGGGATGACTCCCATTGTCAGGTTAATATGAACCCTAGATATCTGTGTTAAGGGCGAGCAATGGGGGATATAACAGGTCTTTTTACTCTTTTCTTCCTTTTTTTTTTTTTGGTCAAAAGAATTCCATTGCAAAAAAAAAAGTTGTAAAATCACTAAGTGAAGGTTTAAAGATAGCAGCCTAACATGATGATCTATTTATACATTAAACCAAAAAACAATAATTAATGTTACCTGTAATCATGTACTATTTTTCTCGCACTCTCGAGTTGTTCGTTGGTTAACAGAATGTTCCTGGGGTCAGTTACAGTGAAGAAATGATTGGCTCGTCCAATGAAAGTGCTTTGATCCCATCGAGGTTCCTTGATGTTAATGTTTGGTGGTAGTTCTCCAGACATGGTCCCGGACTGCAAAGAGTCAAAAAGGCAAGTTCGTGTAAGGCTTACAATGTCACTACGTATTTAGAAACTTTACAGTCACCTTAAATTTTTGAGTAAATATGTACATACTCTTCCTATTTATAAAGATAATTTTGCTATAAATGGCAAAAAGGCCATCTAAATTCAAAGCTAAGTTTGTCTATAAATCTCAATTGATCTTAACTAAATTTCAATAGTTTCCTACATATTTCTCTTTATAAGTACATAGTATTTTAATATTTACTTGTTGGATACCTAGAATTACTCTGGAGAAAATAAAGGTACGAAAAGTTTTAGGATGGGTGCGGCAGCTCACACCTATGTTCCCAGCACTTTGGGAGGTCGAGGAGGGAAGATCCCTTGAGCCCAGGCGTTTGAGACCAGCCTGGACAACACGGCAAGACCCCATCTCTACAAAAAATTTTAAAAACTTATCCGGGCATGGTGGTGCACGCCTATAGTTGCAGCTACTCAGGAGGCTGAGGTGGCAGTGGGGTGTGGGGATCGCTTGAGCCCAAGAGTTGGAGCTGTAGTGAGCTATCATCATGCCGCTGCACTCCAGCCTGGGTGACAAAGCAAGACCATGCCTCTAAAAAAAAAAAAAAGTTTAAAAATAAATAAAAACAGTAACAAGGTCCGAAGTTTGAACCCATTTTTCTGAGTGAAACAACCAACGTCAAACGCCTACTAAAGCTGTTATTCCTACTAGGAGAAATGACTAATGATTAAAAAAAGGTTTAAATGCTAAAAATTACACAACTAAAAAAGACGCAGATTCATTCAGCCTTGTTTAGCACATAAACCACCAATCAAAAATTAAAAATTAAGTTCTTCCAGCTACCAGGAACATAGCAGGAAAAACACAGTTGCACAGTCCCATGAATAGGAGTAACTCTGCAGCATGTAATTATCCTCATACAATTTTTATTTTCTGGCTAAAGAGCCATTACTTTTTTTCCAAAAGTAATTAATTTCTTTCTCTGAGTAATACATGTTTATTTTAGAACTGCCCTGTATTGTTGTAATAGATGCTCACTGTGGTATTCCGAAAAATACAAGCTTATTACAGAAAATAGAGAATAAAGAAACAAAATCTCCCATAATCCAGGCACTCTGAAATCATCGTTACTGTTTTGGTACATTTCCTTATAGACATTTTCTATACATGTTATTATACAATTTAAAAAATTAGTTGATATCATACTATATATTTTAAGATCTTGTTTTTTTTGCACTTATTTCATGAGCATCCTTGTGGCCGCTGTTCATTTTGGATATATAACTACACCTTTAATGTTTAAGTGGTTTTTGGTTTTTCACCATGACATATAATGCTTATCCCTGTCTATGCATCTTTGTCCTTACAGCTAGTGATTTCCTCAGACTAGCTCTCTTTGCATGATATTAGCAGGCCAAAGGATTTTAAGCACTATAAAGGCTTCAAACCATGGCTTACTTATACCTGTTTCCCTTCCCTACATTTCTAATACCAGTTTTAATTTTAATTCTCCTTTCAGGTCACTTTTCCTTAAGTTACTTTCTTAGTGCTTTACAGGTTCGGAGGTACATTAAGATGTCGGATGTGAATGCTGGGCATTCTTGTATACTTTCTCAAAATCTCCAATGAACACATATCATGGACCACAGGATCAAAACTGAGCATGTTAGGTCTGCAGATGTGAGGAATCTAGTGAGAAGGTAAAAATCAGGCCTGCTATTCCTAGAGCAGGCTGGGGTAACAAACACAGAGAAGCCCAGCTACAAAGCTAACGGGAAGCCTATTTCCCCAAGGTCAGAATGCAGCTATACGGTGTCCTAACAGTTCTCTTTTTTTGTGACCACTGTTTCTTATCTCACTGAGAAATCTTGTTCTCTGTCATCACAGAGGGTCAGAAACTTTGCTACCTGAAATCATAACGTGAAGAGTGAAACATCCCACTCTTGACATAGAAAGCTGGCCTGGATTTCCAGCCCAGGTGCAGAGTTTCAGATTAGGAAACTTTTGGACACAACATTGCAAGTCCATCTTAACTTTGTAGTTTCCAAGGAAACAGGGATGTGGTAGTGATAGTGAGAATTACAGTTAAAAGGGAAGAGAGATTACTTTGTATTCAATTTTCTGAGAAAAATCTCTATCAGATCTCCACCGGGGAACATCACAGTCCACCTGGGCCCGAGGGCAGGCACAGGAGGGTAGAGAAGGGTGCGGGGAAGGAAATGGCTCATGGTCTCATGTACAGCCATAGCTTGGTGCCCATCAGCATGAGGTCCACACCCAGAGTGCAGGCTGAATCCCATGCCCAGCCTTGTGCTGGACCTCCTGGATCAGAGTCTCTAGAAGGAGGATAATATTTGTCTTTTTAAAAAGCTCTCCAGATGATTTTGATGTGTTCCACTGGATCAGAACCATCGATCTGCACTAGCAGCTTCACAGGAATAAACAGTTCCCCAAAGAGGGGAGTTGAATGTGTTTTGCAGTGTCTCCCTTCTTGCTGCCACCATCATGGGGATACAAGAAATGTATGTCATTGTATGCAGACATGACTAAATTTTGAATTAGAATATATCAAGTATATTACAGAAAGCAGAGTCCAGTTCCTATCCTGAAAAGCAGCACTCTTCAGACTCGTCTACAGAGGCTTGGGCTCTGCTGAGGCATATTAGCTACCTGCAGGGCGTGCAGGGGAATTCAAGCAGGTGGGTTCACACACTGGCTCCTGTCCATGAGCCACATTTTGAAGTTACAATTACGTGTATTACTCAGCATTTGTTTCTATCCTTAGAAGTCACACGTAATCATACGTAATCATACAACAGAATAAGACAGATAATCTGGCCTAATTTCCTCCCATTTCTGAATGAGCCAATAAGATATAATTCCTACCTTCAAGTAGACCATAGTCTAAATGCATAACAGACTAAATACTTAGGAGAAAAAAAATCTGTTAGCTTTGTTTTTTTCAGAAGGTCTAAAAAAAGGCTGCTATCTTTAATATCTATTTATTGAGCACCTACTTACTACACGACAGACTCTTGGGCCGCATCGGTGAACAAAGAAGACAAAAATTCCTGCCCTATTGGTGCTGACACTGGGATGGCAGAGTGAAAGGAAAACAGGCAACAAACAAAAAACACAAAAGATAAGTAAACTATTCATTATATTAGAAGGCAGTAAATGGTTGGGGAAAACAAACAAACAACAAACAAACAAAAATACCCCAGAACAGGATAAGAAGGATCATGAGCAGGGCCTTGACGTCCTGGGCTCAGCTGATCCTCCCACCTCAGCCTCCCGATTAGCTAGGACTACAGGCATCTGCCACCATGTCCAGTGTAGTCAAGGCACGTCTCATTGAGAAAGTAATACTGCAGCAAGATCAGAGGAAAGTGAAGAGTTGAATCATGGGGATATCTGGGGGAAGAGCATTCCAGGCAGAGGGAAAAGGCATTGCCAAGACCTGAAGTCAGAAATGCATCTGGTGTCGGCCGGGCGTGGTGGCTCACACCTGTAATCCCAGCACTTTGGAAGGCCGAGGCGGGCGGATCACCTGAGGTCAGGAGTTCGAGACCAGCCTCAACATGGAGAAACCCTGTCTCTACTAAAAATACAAAATTAGTCAGGCGTGGTGGTGCATGCATGTAATCCCAGCTACTCGGGAGGCTGAGGCAGGAGAGTGGCTTGAACCTGGGAGGCGGAGATGGCGGTGAGCCGAGATCGTGCCATTGCACTCCAGCCTGGGCAACAAGAGCGAAACTCCGTCTCAAAAAAAAAAAAAAGAAATGCATCTGGTGTCTTCAAAGAATAGCAAGAAGGCATGAGCTGGGGCGGAGTGAGGAAGTGGGAGATGGGAGATGAGGAGGTAAGAGATGTAATGGCTCAGGTTGGAGTCAGATGATGTGGGTTATGGAGCCACTGTAAGGCCTTTGCATTTCACTCTGCAACAAATGGGAGTCACTGGAAGGTTCTGATGAGAGGACCGAAATGAACGGACGCACAATTTAAAAGGATCTCTCTGGCTGCTGTGTGGAGAACAGACAGTGGGGAGATAAGAGCGGACACAGGAGGAACAGTGACAAGGTTACTGCAGAGATCCAGACAGAGCTGGGGGGCAGCGCAGGTGGCAAGAGGTACTGGAATTCTGGGTATTTCTTCAATGGTGCCAGCAGGATTTCTTGACATCTTAGATGTGGGATGTGAGAGAAAGAAAAAGCATGGTTCCTGAGGTATTTAGTTGGAAAAACTGGAGGTGGAGAGGGCCGAGGGAGAAGACAGGAAGCTCAGATTTGCACGGAGTAAGCGTGAGGCACCCAGGAGGCAGCAAGTGGAGATGTCCAGCGGGCAGCAGAGTAAGTAGGTCTAAGTTCAGGGGAGAAGTGTAATCTGGAGATTATCCGTGGGAGTTGTCAGACAGAGATTATATTTAAAGTCATGCGATGTGATGAGATCACCAGGGAAGTGAAGGTAAATAAAGAGATCCAAGGACTGTGGTGTGAAGAGGTCAGAAAGGACTGAAGGCACAGCAAAGTGGGCTGGGGAGTGACTGGTGGGTGCAAAACCAGGAGAGAGTGGCATCCTGAAAGATGAGAGGTAAATCTATTGGTAGCCCGACTGGCCAAAAGGAAGACACCTTGGTAGCCGGTCACTTCCATTTCTGGATAGTGAAGCGGGAGGAGGTGGATTTAACAGCAATGATGGTGGTAGCAAGAGGAACAACACGTTAAACCTCCCCTCCTTGGGAAACCGTTTATTCCTGCAAAGCTGCTAGTGCAGACTGATGGTTCTGCACCAATGGAACACATCAAAATCACCTGGAGAGCTTCTTATAAAGACAAATACTATCCTCCTTCTAGAGGTTCTGATCCAGGAGGTCCAGCATAAGGCTGGGCGTGGGATTCAGCATGGCTCTGGGTGTGGACTTCATGCTGGACGGACACCAGGCTGTGGCTGTACATGAGGCCGTGAGCCATTTCCTTCCCTGCACCCTTCTTTACCCTCCTGTGCCTGCCCTCGGGCCTAGGTGATCTGTGATGTTCCCCGGTGAAGATCTGATATGGGTTTTTCTCAGAAAATTGAATACCAAGGAATCTCTCTTCCCTTTTAACTATAATTCTCACTATCACTATTTTTCCTTCATGCTTAACATAAATAATGAAAACAAAAATTAATATGTAGCTTTTATAGAATTCTAGTTCCTAATAACAAACTATCCCTAATTTGTTAAATATAAGGCAACCTTTAGGGCAAGCTGCCGCCATCACGGTCTCATTTTAGAATTGGTTACTTTATTATTTATTTATTTATTTTGAGACAGGGTCTCACTCTGTCACCCAGGCTGGAGTGCAGTGGTGCAATCATAGCTCACTGCAGCCTTGACGTCCTGGGCTCAGGTGATCCTCCCACCTCAGCCTCCCGAGCAGCTAGGACTACAGGCGTCTGCCACCATGTCCAGCTAGTTTCTGTTTTTTTAAATTTTTGTACTGGTTGTAGAGACAGGGTTTCACTCTATTGCCCAGGCTGGTCTCGAACTCCCGGGCTCAAGTGATCTGCCCACCCTGGCCTCCAAAATGCTGGGATTACAGGTGTGATTCCCTGCACCCAGCCAAAAATATGGTTACTCTATAAAATATAAGTATTATCATGTATAAGAACTGGATAGTCTGAAAAATGATTTATCCAATGCGCTTATTATGCGGAAGCTGAGGTCCAGAGGGGAAATAACTTGCCCAGGTTGCATGGCAGATGCTGGCAGCAGAAACAAGTCCGGGAGAACTCAAAGCAGGAGCAGCCTCCAGGGCACTGGCCAGCTTTCCACTCACCACTCTTTTCTAGCCATTTTTCTTGAAGTATGACACCAATTAATGTCTGCAGAGAAATGATATCTTGGAGGCCCCCCCACTTTTTTCCTTTAAATAAAAACTTGACCTTTACACTATGAAGTTCTATACTACAATAACCTTAAGGTTACTCTAAGTACAAGTGATCAAGAATGCTGTGGAGGCCTCACAAAAGATGTCTTCCTTTGTAGGCGAGGAAAAAGGAGAGAGAGGGAGAGGGGAACCCTAACATCTTAAGAATTTCCATTATATACAAGGAATTGGGCTAGATGCTGGCCTAAGCTTGCCACATCAGAGAATATTCTACCTCATTTCTCACGACAATAGTGTGATTCAGACATCCTATGCACATTCCGCAGACGGAAGAATCAGATTCTGGGATGTCATTCAAAGCCACCCCATCTTTCCAGCAAGGGAAGCAGCAGGAGTTCTTGACGCCAACTACTTATCTGCACACTCCAGTTAAACCCACCGAAATCCTGGCACTGGAAGCGCCCACTGCATGTTACCCATGATGGGGAGAACAATGGCTGCCAAAGATGTCTCATTCTAATCCCCAGAAGCTGTGAGAAGGTCTAATAAAAAATGCTGCTATCTTTAGTATCTATTTATTGAGCACCTACTACTGTGAATATGTTACCTCACATGGTGCAGGGACTTTGCTGATATGATTAAGTTAAGGATCTTGAGAGATGCAGGCATGATCCTGGAATATTTGGTTGGCCCAATGTCATCACAAGGCTCCCTATAAGAGATGGAAGGAGGCAGAAGAGGCAGAGCCAGAGAAACAGATGTGGGAACAAGCAGAGGTTGGAGTGATGCTGGGCTGTGAGCTGCAGCCCCTAGCAGCTGGAAAGGGCAGGGAAAGGGGCTCTGCCCTAGAGCCTCCAGAAGGAAGGCCCACTTGTTCTAGACTTCTGACCTCCAGAACTCTAAGATAATATATCTGTGTTGCTTTAAGCTACTCAAATATGTAGTAATTTGTTATAACAGCAATAGGAAATGAATACAACACTGTTTCCTCTACTTAAAAGGGATTTCAAGTTGTACTATAGTGGCATAAGAAATACCAACTGGATTTGATAATCTGTGTTCCTCTGCACCCAGAATTAAAAATCAAACAAACAAACATACAGACTAATCAGGAATGCCACATTAGCATTCTCACAAAAACAGCTGATCTCAAATCAGATAACATTTTAATTATTAACCGTGATGCCATGTTTCAATTAGGCAAGACTTCTTTCACGCATGAACTGACTTCCACCTTCAAGCTCAGGAGCAGCCTGCACTCCAGGTAAATTGATCCATTTTTAAAAAACAGGAGCCCCACTTAAAAAACAAACAAACATCAAAACTTATTTCCTATTCACATTAAAGTCAACAGCACTGAGCGTGGTGGTGCGCACCTGTAATCCTGGCTACTTGGGAGACTGAGGTGGAAGGACTGCTTGAACCTAGGAGGTTGGAGACCACACTGGGCAACATAGTAAAACCCGTCTCTAAAAATCAATGGGGTCTAGCAAGCGCGCTGACACGGAGCGCTCCTTACGCACGGGGCCTGGGCTGAGGAGGATGCGCCGAGACGCGCCCTGTGCTGGCTCCATTTTGTGTCTAGAGTCTATTCAGGGAGCGAGATGCTGGTATCCTTAAGGCCTTGGCCGCTATGTGGGGATCCCCAGGGTGCACCCTTTTCCACCCGCAGGGGTCAGGGCTGGCCGGGCCACTTGGTTGGTCCGCAGCATTCCGGCGTGCACCTGCTGGCCCCGGGCAAGGCAGAGATGCGCTGAGGGCATGTGCCCCGCACACCTGGTACTGACGGGTCAGGAGGGCCGGGTTGTGGGGCGGGACTGCTGCGGGCACCATCGTGGGGAGGGAACGAGGTCATGGGGTGGGGGTGATTGTGCAGGAATGGCCTTTGTTTTTCCATGGTCTGGCTTATGCAGCCATCCATCTGGCAAATTATGGCCCCTGGGCTTGTCTGGAAGGTTGAAACTGGGTAAAGATCAAACATCTCGTTACAGAGGTGTCTTGAACATCAATCACAGTCTTTCATGACCTAGGATAGGGACAGTGCTAGGACAGAGGCTTCTCGACTCCGGATTTCTGCAGACTGCGCTGGAGGAAGTCATGCTGCACAGCCTTGTGCTGACACTGGGAACAGGAATAATCATGAAACCACAGATACTTCAAAAGAAAGTTTTGGAGAACAAGATGTTTGCGTTCCCACTGCAGATGCGGCAAGGATCATGAAGAATGTCCCTCAGAGGGACACACTACACGGGACGCCAAAGAATGTGTTCCAGAGTGTGTGGGTTCATCAGCTTCACGGCACCTGAAGCAAGTGAAAGATGCCAGGGAGAGTGCGGAGACAGTCAGTGGGGAGGGTGCTCTCTTTGCCCTGTTCACCTGAGGCTTTGAGAGTTATGCAGAAGCGCTGGGGTGGTGCCTTCAGGCACTCAGAGAGGCTAGGAGACAGGGGAGCAGGCCCCAGTCCACCAGAGACACAGAGGGACCTAGGGAAGCTGTGGAAGAGGCGCTTACTGAGCAGTTATTAGCTGGCTTCAGGACTGCAGAAAGGCAGCAGCAAAATGTTATGGTTTACACAGCGGCACACTGGCAGGTTTCTCATGTCCAGCAAGCTCAGTTTTCACGAGCTGAAGAAATGGTGCAATGGGGTGTGGAGGGAAGAGAAAGGGGCTAGAACAGACGCGCTAGAAGAAAATGATTGGTGACAGACGGTCTCTGTGTATTGCACTAGCTGTAATGTGGCTTCCTGGTGCTCGGACAACTGAGGTGTTAATTCTAAGAATCTTTTTCATGAATGATTTTAAAGAAATTTTTGGATTTTAACGGTATTAAGAAATTTTGGTGGGGTATGAGAAAAAAGTGGGACTTAAAAAAATTCTGTGGTTGGCTGATGCCACTTATGCTAAGAAGAAAAATGACTTTGAGGTTTTATCACATAAAGACATTCTCACAATGATGTCGGCTACCTGGAACTGTTAATAATTATGACATTATACTGCATTTGAGTGAACAGATTATTTTAGAGATGATATATGTTGAAAAATTATTTTACCCCTAAAAAGAGACGGAAATAATTTCATAGAGAAATTAAAAACTGTTTAAATTCAATCTTTTAACTAAGGTTTTGAGTAAATATAGTTTCATGGAGCCTCATCCCAATAGATTTCTCAAAGTCTTTTTATTTATTCATTCACCAACAAAATTAACTTACGCCTTCCATATCCACTGAAGGCCTCTTATGTACTCAACACTGGCTTGGTCCTGGGTTTGGAAAGACCGAACACACAGCTGTTTTTTTCTGGCTGGTTTTTGCTGATGGAGGCCCCCCGCCCTGTGGTGTAATTTCCCGAGCATCTACCCTGATAACCTATGGAATGAGAACCGGATTTAAGCAAATATAATCTAGATTTCAGTCCTGATTCTATCATTTCCTTTCTAGACATGTGACTGGGTGAATTACTTTACACCTCTGAGCCTCAATTCTGTCATCTATAAAACACAGGTAAGAGTTGGCTCATAGAGTTGGTAGGATCAGCAAACTGAAGAGTATAAGAGGCCTTTATTAATCTTTATTAAGTTACCAAACAAAAGTGGGATCATTATTAACAAGCTGGTTTTCCACGAGTGGAAGCTCCTGTCCTCACTGGCCACAGTCCCGTGCATAAATGCAGCTCCTGGGGCCAGGAATGGCTCCTGAGCTTCCTGAAGATCATCAGAAACATGTAAGAAAAAGAATTTATCTCCAAGATAAATTTTATTTCAAATTTTTAGCTGCATGCTAAGAAAATGCTTAACTGCTGGAGAAAAAAAGAATTTTCCAAAATTTTGTAGAAAACAAGTTAGCAGGGAATGTGCTTTATGAGGAATTAGTACAAAGACCTTTAATCTTGGCTAAAGAGTACCAATGATAACTGCGTTATTAAGCTGGAAAGCTGTTGGTCAAAACTACCGTATTTTGAAAGAGTTATGAAAGGGTCTGATTGCCCAGTTTGTTTCACTAGGGCCAGGCAGGTGTGAGACAGCCGGTCAGTCACTGCTGTCCACTGTCCAGGGGACATGACGGAACACCCAGACACTAGGCTTTCCATGCATTGTTAGATTGCTAACTCCTTATGACAGCCCTCCAAGATCTTTTCCCCTGTTTTATAGAGCCGCTCGGAGAAATTTAGTACCATGCCCAAGATGACACAGCCTTCACAGTTCTGTCTGACTTTGAAACTCAATTCTGACCCTTGGAGGCCAGAGAAGATGTGTCTGCCAAGGACAATCACACTAACTCAAGGAGCCTAAAAACCAAATTCCCTGATTTCTGTTGGGCTGGTCATCTGCATATAGTGGCCTTTTTTATGGGCATGGCCACACAGGAGATCGAATTATAGATCAGAGAGTTGAATTCTGTGCAAAGCATTAGATTCATTCTATTTCCACTCAGCAATGGATTTGTGTTGCATATGCTTCCCTGTTCCAGGATAGTTCTGCATGGAGACGTTGGGCCTGCCTAGCATCAGGAAGACATGGAGAATCAAGGCCTCCTGCCTTTCCCACTGCCATGTTCTCCCCTCCCATGCAGATCCCACTATTCTACTAACTTTAAAACACCCATGTGCCAGGCGCGGTGGCTCACACCTGTAATCCCAGCACTTTGGGAGGCTGAGGTGGGCGGATCATGAGGTCAGGAGATCGAGACCATCCTGGCTAACGTGGTGAAACCCCGTCTCTACTAAAAATACAACAGGCGCATGGTGGCACGCACCTGCAATCCCAGCTACTTGGGAGGTTGAGGCAGGAGAATCACTTGAACCCGGGAGGCAGAGGTTGCAGTGAGCTGAGATCGTGCCACTGCACTCCAGCCTGGGCAACAGAGCGAGACTCCATCTCAAAAACCAAACAAACAACAACAAAAAACAAAAACACGGATGTAACATTACAACCATTGCTCATATTCCAGTCCTCAAGATCAACTATGGGCATGGATTTCTTAAGCAGTATCTTAGGATGGGTGATGTTATTACAGTTAAAAAAAAATCTTCTGATTTCTATTTGAGATGGTGATATCAGCCTGCAAAAAATGAACAACACTAAACTAGAATTTTAGACATATTTGGATGAAGTTTTACCATCCATGTATAAGAATCAACTCGGAGATGCCATATACCAAAGTCTATAAAACTATTTTACAAATTAACAGCTGCTAAAGAAAAACTTAGTAACTTTGAACTTTGTGTAATTAAGTGCAGGTTTGACACATGGTCTAATTTAATGACTTTTCACTTTCTGGACAACAGCCCTTTGTTCCCCCCTTTTTAAAAAATGGATTCACTACTTTTGATTTCTTACCTTTAACCACAAAGGAAAAATTGGTCACACTCATGGTTCTACTCTAACTGAATGCAGCTCACCACTGCTACACAACAGGATACAGATGCCTGACTTCAACGTAAGTCTTCCAGAACAACAACGTTTGATGACGGGTCTGCTCTTACCACCTTTGCTGTCCAGGCTGTCCTCTCAGCTTTCTCTGCAGGAAGTGAGGAGCAGGAAGGGATATTCCCTGCCAGTTGGTGCCTTTCTGTATCCATCCCCATGGGGTTTCATAGAACTTTTACAGAAAATTAAGAACAGCTAAACACTTCACTGATCCTGAATTATGACACCCTTTGCCATATAGGGTCCTCTCTGACAACTGTAACCACAGATATCATCCCTTTTCTGAACATCCATGTGGCCTGAAAGCCTCAATCTAACCTCTGAATACGTACTAAGCTGAGATGGGAGCTGATAGCTCCTCCCTGCCAAACACTGTATTTTTTTTTTTTTAAGACGGAGTCTTGCTCTGTCGCCCAGGCTGGAGTGCAGTGGCGCGATCTCGGCTCACTGCAAGCTCCGCCTCCCGGGTTCAGGCCATTCTCCTGCCTCAGCCTCCCGAGTAGCTGGGACTACAGGCGCCCGCAACCACGCCCAGCTAATTTTTTGTATTTTTAGTAGAGACGGGGTTTCACCGGCTTAGCCAGGATGGTCTTGATCTCCTGACCTCGTGATCCGCCCGCCTCGGCCACCCAAAGTGCTGGGATTACAGGCGTGAGCCACCGCGCCTGGCCCAAACACTGTATTTTTGAAAGTGAGACACCTGCTCAGTGCTGAGGAGAGAAAGGATCTGCTTGAGGTCCCAGAACTTCTTGGTAGCCACCCCATTCATCCTCCCAAACAGTTCCCTCTCATCTTTTATATCAAGTCTGAAGCTGTAGGAGCTGCAAAGCCTCCTCATTTACCTGCATCCTCCCTGGGCACCTATAACAATGCCTAGAACACTGAAGCAGATCAGTAAAAGGGGGATGGACAAAGAAGGGAGAATCCAAAGGCACCCAAGTCAAAATCTAGAAGTCAACGCAGAAGAGGGACTAGGACTGTGAGAAATGTGCAGGGAAAAAGCTATGGGGGCGCAGAAAAGAGTTGCCTACGGAGCAGCTAAGTGCCCAGGCTCTGGAGTGAAGCAGAGCTAGGCTTTTTCGTTCAGGCAGTCAACAAATACTCATTGAGGGCCTTCTTGGTGCAGGCAATTGTTATGCGCAGGGGATAGATAGGCTGAGCAACACAAAATAGGCCCTGTTCACATGAGGAGAAGAAAACATGTAAACACCTTTAATTTCAACTAGTGACAAAAGACACTAAAGAGAAAAAACCCAGAGTTTGTGTTACAAAGGGTGTGTGGGGGGATGGGGGGTGCAATTTTAGACAGCATAGCCAAGGAAAAGCGTCTTTGAGAACGCAGTATTTACGACTGAGACTCAGATGGCCTTGGACTATGGATGGCCAGCTGTGTGACCTTGGGCACTCAACCTCTCAGAGCCCCAGTTTTCTCATGTGGATTATAGAGCCAACACCCAGTACCTCGCAGGGCCGGAAGAGTGTAAAAGTATATGGACCTAAGTCACCTGGCACGCACTTAGTAGACTGTTTATTGTCATTCTGGGCAGGTTAGAGACCTGTGACAGACGTGAAAGTTCAGGAGAAAAGCGTGAAAATGCAAGGTCCCTGTAGGACCAACTACTACTCCAAGAATCTACTTCCTTGCACATCACCTCCCTACTGGATTGCGAGTTCTAGGGCAGGAACCAGGTGGTCTCCCCTCCGACCCCCAGCACCAGGAGGCAAAGCCGAGAGCGCGGAGCGCTGGGCCAGGCACTGGGCCACCTGGCTGCCGCTGCCCCCGAGGCAGCCATCTTGGTGTCCCCGGAGCGAGTTCGCCACGCAGGCGCCGAAGACAGCGCGGCCAGGCGCGCGGGGACGCGGCGGAGGGCCCTTCCCACCGGGGACGAGGCCCACGGGATGCTGGGCCTCGGGATGCTGGAAGCGTGGTGTTGTCCGGCCGCAGGATGCCAGGGATCCCCAGGTGCAGGGACCCCCCCCCCGGCCCGAGGCATCCCCGGCCCGCAAAGGGGCTTCCGACCTCCGAGCCCGGGGTCTCCCCGCAGCCGGCCCGCGGGTGCACGGCCCGAGCCTGCCCAAGCCTGCGCGCCTCCGCCGGGCCCCCTGCGCGTTTCCCCACCCACCTGGCTGGGCCTGCCGCCCGCGACTCACCGCTTCCCCCGGGCTGCCGCCCGCGCTGCTCGCAGGTCCCGCTCAGTGCAGCCTCCGCCGCCACCGGAAACGCTTCTCCCGCCACGGCGTCCTCGCGCGTCCCCGGAGCGCGTCCTCGCGCGCGCCTGTGAGCGCGCGTCCGGGCCCGGGAGCTACGAGGCCCAGGGACCCGCCCTCCGGGTCCAGGCCCGGGTCCAGGCCCCGCCCCGCGCCCGCGACTCCGCTTCTGGCTTAGCGACCGCGCCCCGGGTCCAAGAGGAACTCCAAGCCCATCCTCACGGTGGTGTGGGGCTCTGCGCGGGCTGGGGCCACTATGTTCCATTTGGGTTTCCCTTAAGGGACTGCTTCTTTATCATTTCTTTATTCCCAGGGCCTTGGCGTAGCCAGCATCCGTTCACGCAGTCATTTACCCAATTAAAGTGTGGAGCTTGGCAAGACTGGCGCTACAAGGCGATTTTAGGACTTTAGTGCCACGACCTGATTTATGTCTTAAACAACAACAACAACAACGGCGCACTCTGTCTTCTTTATGGAGAACAGACTGCGTGGGAGGGGATGTGGAGGCAGAGAGGCTGTTTAGCCAGATGCTGTGGTTATCCAGGAGAGGAATCATGGTATTTTGGACCAGGTGGGTAACCTGGGCATATTTAAAGGGCAAATGAAATCTAATAAATGGTGAATTACATCATAAATTGCATAGGAAGATTCCATTTTTAAAGATGTAAATTCTCTCCCAAATGACCTATGACAATAAAAAAAAATTCGACAACACTAGTGTGCTTGGTGGAGTGTGTGTTATAACTGCACAAGCGGACTGCAAAATGTACATGAAAAAAATAAAGAGCCAGAAACAGCCAAACAAGCTTTTAAGAAAAGAGCAAGGCAGAGTGACTTGTCCTGCAGATACAAAACTTGTTATAAAACAATGGTAAATAACAAAGGTGGTGTGTTTGCTCCGGGGTCAACAAAGAGCCTCGCGGAGCCAAATAGAGTTGCCATCCATGTAGAAACCTGCACATGTAGAAACCTGCTGTGAGTTGGCATCACAGGTCAGGGGACAAAGGTTAGATATTCATTAAACAGTACTGGGATAGCCAAATCCCTACTTGTATAATACATGAAACTCAACTCCAGGTGGATTAATGATCCAAACGTGAAAAACAAAACTTCTAAAACTTAAGCAATATGTCACAGATATTTTGAGTGCTATTCCTCATCCTCCAAATTCCTATGAATGTTTAACTAGCTTTTTCTCTGTACCATACCCTGTGCCAAGTGCTGGGCTCAAAAAGATATATAAAAGATCGCCCCTTCTTGGCTGGGCACTGTGGCTCATGCCTATAATCTTAGCACTTTGGGAGGCCGGAGTGGGTGGATCACCTGAGCTAAGAAGTTTAAGCCTGGACAACATGGTAAAACCCCATCTCTACCAGAAATACAAAAAATTACCTGGGCATGGTGGCGTATGGTCCCAGCTACTCAGGAGGCTGAGGTAGCAGGATTGCTGGAGCCTGGGATGTGGAGGTTGCAGTCGGCTGAGATTGTGCCACTGCACTCCAACCTAGGTGATAGAGTGAGACCCTGTCTCTGTCTCTCTCACACACACAAAAGAAAACTAACAATTATTAAAAAAACAGAACAAAACCAGTTTCTCCAAAGAGCTTGTGAGCAAGGAGATAGACATGTAAATACTTGTTTGAAATAAATGGTAACAATTCAATAGAAAACTTGCAACAGTAGAATGTGGAATATATTGTATAACTAAGTGCCATGAGAACACACAGAAGGGATTGACTAGTTGCCTGCAGAATGGGCATGTGGAGAGGTTTAGTAGATACAAATGTGTCAGTTGTCTGTTGCCACAGTAATGCTATAAGACAACTGCAAAACCTTGGGACTATGCAACAGTAAACATTTAGTTTTTTTCTTGAGTGTATGGGTTGGCTGGGAGGTTCTGCTGACCTGAGCTGGGCTCTGCAGAGCTTGCTCATGTGTCTATGGTCACCTTTGGGCCATCAGTGGCATTGCTGATCTTGGCAGTGCTCTCTCATATGTGTCTGGGGCCTCAGCTGGGATAACTGGGTAGGGATGGCTCCGCTCCATGTCTCATTCCTCCAGCAGGCTGGCCTGGAAATGTTCACATGGCAAAGGCAGAGAAAGGAGAGAGTTGATGCACTCAAGGCCTCTTGAGGCCAAGGCTTGAAACTGGCAAACCTTCATTTCCAAGGCATCCTATTGGTCAAAGCAGGTCAACAAGGCCAGCCCCTATTCAGGGTGAAATAGACTTTATCTTTTGCTGAGAGGAGCTGCCAAGAAACGTGGTAAGCAGGTGTAGACATATAGACTCGTGGAGAATTGTGGATTTTTTTTTTCTTCAAAAATTCTGTCACATGTAGTTTTTGTCTTTCCAGCATCTCAGTTTCTCTTGGGGAATTCCCCTGCCACATTTCATTTGATCTTGTCTGATTATCAATCATGGTACTTGATCTCCTCCTGCCTGCCACAGTCATGGGTACATGGCCCAAGCTGGGCCAAACAGAATTCTGCCCTGAATTTATATGTAGGCACTGGGGAAGAGAAGTAACCTCTCCTCCCCGCCTCCCTTCCCCACCACACACATATATTGAGACAGCTAATCTAAGAGAATGTGGATTAAGGGCTGCTAGAGCTGTGGAGGTGAAGCCAGGCTAAAAGATGTGAGAGAGACAGAAGTCAGATGACATCATGTCAGGCCCTACACTCAGCCAAGCCCGAGGCTAGATCTGCCTCCTGGTCTACCTCCTGGGCTTCCAGCTATGGGAGTCAATAACCCCCATCCCCCACCCCAACTCTTTTCTTTTCCCTTCCTTTTCCTTTTTCCTTCTTTTTAAAATCTTAAGCTCTTGTGAGTTGAATTTCCATCCCTGACTAACAGGAGAGGAGATGTTCATAGAGGTGGTGACATCTGAGCTAGTGCGACCAAATTTGAAAAAGTGGGAAAAGCAGATGGATGAAGGAAGAAAAATGAGAGGGAATTAAAAGTGGAAAGCAAGGGTTTGTATGATTTCCAGTCATTGTTTCAATTACAACCATTTCAGAAACAGCTTCCATAAAGCTGAAATGACATTTCTCTTTGATTCAGAAAACGAATGCTTGGGAATTCTTGCTAGGCTTGCATCAACAAAAGTTGCAAAACCCTTGCATTTTAATATGGACTTTGACCATTCAGGGAACAGCAAAAACAAAACAATGCTTAAATCAGCAAAGGTTGGGAGCATTTCTGAGCATAGCAAAAGTTCAGGGAGCCAAGGAAAGATCTTGCTGAATGTATCACAAAGTGAAGTTTTCATCAGGACAGGACAGGTAATCCAATGAGAACCATATTTTTTGTTGTTTGTTTAAATGAACTCTTTAATGAAAACTTTAAATTCCAGATGATATTAGCCTTTTTTTTTTTCCCAGAGCCTCATCAGGCTGCACTCTGTCACCAGGCTGGAGTGCAGTGGTGCGATCTTGGCTCACTGCAACCTCTGATTCGCTGGTTCAAGTGATTCTTCTGCCTCAGCCTCCTGAGTAGCTGGGACTACAGTTGCACGCCACCATGCCCAGCTAATTTTTGTATTTTTAGTAGAGACGGGGTTTCACCATGTTGGCCAGGATGGTCTCAGTCTCTTGACCTTGTGATCCGCCCTCCTTGGCCTCCCAAAGTGCTAGGAATACAGGTGTGAGCCACTGCACCCGGCCGCCACGTTGTTTTTGATTATAAAAGAAATACGTAATCAAATGAATTTGAAAAGTACAGAAAAGTACAAGTGTACACTCAATGCTACTCCCCAGAAATCTCCCTGCTAGATTTTTAGTGTATTCCCTTCCAATATTTTCATTCCTTTTCTGACCCATCAAACTTCTGTTCATCCCATGCTTGAGTTTCAGCTCTCTGTATGCAGAAACCCAGAAGCAAGTGGCACAGTGCTTAAGCACACAGGATCTGCAGACGGGTCCGCCTGGGTTCTGATTCCACCTCTGCCTGGATCGGGTGTTAGACCCTACACAAATTAGTTCCTTGATCTTGCTGTGCATTGGTTTATGTCTAAATGGGGTAAGACTAACACTTACCTGGGGCCATCGTGACCGTTACCTGAGATTACATATGTGCAGAGATGAGCAGGGTGCCTGGTCAATGGTGAGCCTTGTTAATTGAGAGCTGTTTTTCTTAGAGTTCCAGCTTCATGGCTCCTGCAGCACTTCATAAACTCTCTCTGCATAGTTTTACAGTCCTGTCTTCTCTCTAGCCCATGAACTCTTTCAAACAAGAAACTCTGTCCTTCAACTTTCTGTCCCTGGTGTCTAGCAGGACATCCAGTGAATGCTGTATTTGTTTGTTAAATATGTGGTGAGAATCCTGGTCCATGTGTTTTATGTTTTGCTTTCTTCACTCAAAGTTATATTTTATAAACATGTTCTCAAGTCACATCATAATCTTCATTATTCATTCTTTTATGCTTTTTATTCACTAAATGCTTATTGAACAGTGGCTGATTCTACATTAGTCATTATTCTAAGTGCTAAGGAGTCTACGGTGAATGGAACACATGTAGCCCCTTGCCCTCATGCAGTTGATTGTGTAGGAAATGAAGACAGACAATAAACACAATGAATAAGTAGAATATATAAGGCCGGGCATGGTGGATCACACCTGTAATCCCAGCACTTCGGGAGGCCAAGGCGGGCAGATCACATGAAGTTGGGAGTTTGAGACCAGCCTGACCAACACGGAGAAACCCTGTCTTTACTAAAAATACAGTATTAACCAGGTATGGTGGTGCATGCCTGTAATCCCAGCTACTTGGGAGGCTGAGGCAGGAGAATTGCTTGAACCTGGGAGGCGGAGGTTGTGGTGAGCTGAGATCGCACCATTGTACTCCAGCCTGGGCAACAAGAGCGAAACTCTGTCTCAAAAAAAAAAAAGTGTAGAATATATAGCATGTTAGAAGGTAGTAAGTCCTATAAGGAAATAAAGAAGGGGGTGTGGGGGTGACAGGGAGCCAGGTCAGGGAAGACCTAGGGGAAGGTGCCCTTTCTTGTTTGAATGGCTGTAGAACATTTCATGGAGCAGGTGTGTCAGCTTCTACCTGACCTGTCGAAGAAAATCTTTTTGCACTACCCACTCATGCACATTGGATGCAGTGTGTTTTTTTCTCAGGTGAGGGAAGACCTGGAGATTTTGGGTCCAGAAACTCAGCAGAGCCTTACAGAAGGGAGGGAGAGGAATGCCAGTAACTGAGTGTCCACTGTGAGTGGGGCAGGCAATACATACCCTAACCACTTGCACAAATATCTTCTCTCGTCTTCACTGGAACCCTGAGGGGTTAACTACTTATATCGGTCAGGCTTCTCTAGAGAAATGGACCAATAAACTGTATCTATATCTATATCTCTCTATATATACTATATCTCCATCCATCTCTCTCTCTCCATCTATTTGTCTAGCATGATTTATTTTAAGAAATTGGCTCACATAATTGTGGTGATTGGCAAGTCTGAAATCTCTAGCGCAGGTCAGCAGGCTGGAAACTCAGGCAAGAGTTGATGCTGTAGTTTTGAGGCTGAACTTCACTGGGAAAATCAGGTTTTCCTCTTAGGGCCTTCAACCAATTGAATGAGGTCCACCCACATTATTGAGGGTAATCTTTTTTGTTTAAAGTCAGTTAGTTGTAGATGTCAACCACATCTACAAAACTCCTTCACAGCAACACCTAGATCGGTGTTTGATTAATTCACTCTATAGACTAGCCAGGTTGGCACATAAAAGCAACCGTCACACTACTCTACCCCTGATTTTACATCTCCATTTCTACTCTTGCCTCTAACTGTTCAGTCCCTGATCTCTTGGAAAGGTAAATAAAATCATGCTCTCTCTGCTTTTAAATCATCAGCAGCTTCCAGTTATACTTATGATAAAATTTGAACTCTTTACTGTGGCCTATGGACCCTCATGATCTGTCCTGTTCCAGTTTTCCAGTTTTACCATATACCACTGCTCCCCATGCTCATGGTAATGCTGGCTCAACAGGGCAGCTTTACCTACCACAGGGCCTTTGCATATGCTGTTCCCTCTGCCTGGAATGCTCTCAGGTCAAATGTCATTTCCTCAGAGGTACCTTCCCTGGTCACCTGTCTGGAGTAGCCCCTCTCACTCACACTGGAGCTCATTGCTTGTTTATTTCTTTTGTCATACTGTCACTATTCAGAATTACCTCCTTTAGGCCAGGCATGGTGGCTCACGTCTGTAATCCCAGCACTTTGGGAGGCTGAGGTGGGAGGATCATTTGAGACCAGGAGTTCAAGACTGGCCTGGGCAACATAGTAAAACCCTATCTCCACAAAAAATTAAAAAATTAGCTGAGCATGGTGTGGCACACTTGTCCCAGCTAGTTGGGAGGCTGAGGTGGGAGGATCGCTTGAGCCTGGGAGGTTGAGGCTGCAGTGTGCTGAGATCATGCTACTATACTCCACCCTGGGCAATAGAGCAAGATTATTTCTCAAAACAAAACCAAAAACAAACTAAACAAAAAATTACCTTGTTTACTTATTTTTGATTTGTTTCTTCTCTATGTTTTCAGCTAGAATTTTCTACCATAAGGGCAGGAATCCTGTCTTCTTTATCCCCTGCTATATTCTCATCTCCTTGAAAGGTGCCTGCAGTTACTGTCACAGCCCAGATTATGCCACGGAACCATTGTGGTGAGGACTCTGTGGTCTCCACCCCTGAACACTGAACGAAAGTCACTCCTCTCCTGAAACTGGTTGCTGCAGCCACTACCAGAATGGAGTCTCCCCTCTCTGGGCAGGAGCATCTGATTGGCTGAGCTGAGGTCACATGCCAGGCAGCATCAGACCTTTCCTGTAGAGGCCAATGACGCCTGCCTCCCACTCAGACACAGAAGTTCCCTCCTGCCCTTTCTCAGTCAGGGTACCCGCACTCCCGACATCACATCATCCTGCTTTGTGTCACCGGCTTTCCATAATTTCTGACACTAATTTTCAGTTATTAGTGTCACCTTCCTCAGAGGTGCCTTCCCTAACCACTTGTCTGGAGTAGCCAAGAGTAATTGCGTTGTTTGTCGTTACTTTCAATGGCAAAAACCACAGTTACGTTTGCATCAAGCGAATACTTTTGCCTGTTCTGGAACTCATTCATGCTCTGAAACATTTGTTATTCATATAAATGGAATCATACAGCCACACTTGTATGTGTATATGTCTGGCTTCTTTCACGCAGCATGTTTTTGAGATTTATCCATGGTGTTGGATTTTTTTCCCATTGTGGCGTAGAATTCTGTTATATATCACATTTCTTTTTGTATCCATTTTTCAATTGTTGGACCTTTACAGTATTTCCAGTTTGGGGCTGTTATGAATAAAGCAGCCAAGAACATTCAAGCACAAACTTTTAAAAAAAATTAATTTATTTATTATACTTTAAGTTCTAGGGTACTTGTGCACAACGTGCAGGTTTGTTACATATTGTATACACGTGCCACGTTGGTTTGCTGCACCCATTAGCTCATCATTTACATTAGGTATTTCTCCTAATGTTACCCCTCTCCCATCCCCCTGGCCAGCATTTCTTGTTTTAGAGTGAAAGCCCAGTAAGCCTCACATACAAAGCATCTGAAGAACACGTCATGAATTGGCTCTTTGTTTAAAAATAAAGCGTGCTAAGCATCACTTAGAAGCCAATTATGTCTTTGAAATAGTTCCTAGAGGCTAAAGACAGTGTTTATCATTCTGAGAAAACTGAGCCACTCCATTATGGGTTTTAAGGAACTGGTTCATTAGTCAAATTAATCTTATTATATGTAATAGGGCAGAATTAAGGAAGAATGATACTTCACATTTCTCTTTGCCCTGGTTCAGCACTTGCTGTTCTATTTCCTGCACTCTTTGGAGAGGAATACCATACTCTGCTTGCTGTTTAGATCCAATCCATGCATTCATCTAACATGTATTTGCTGAGCACCTACTCTGTGCCAGCGCAGGACAGGCACCAATTAGTGAGTGAGACTGAGTCCCTCCTTTTGAGAAGCTTGCGATAAATGAATACATACACATTCCATGGGTGATAAGCAGGATGAAGAATGTGGGATGAGAGGTGAGAGCAAGGCAGGATGGGGGCCTATTTTAGAGGAGATGTGGAGGGAAGACCTCTCTGTAGAGGGGATGTTGGAGCAGAGGCCTGAGTGAAGGAAGAGAGTGAGCCGTGTGGCTATCTGGGGAAGAGCATTCCAGGCAGAGGGAAGAACAAGTGAAATTTGCCTCAGGACTGTCCTAAAGGCAGATTGTAAAGGAAGCTAGTGTGAATTTCTGATAAGGATGTTGACCAGACTGAGACATGGGGAGGCTGAGGGTAAACTAAGTCAGGGCTCCAGCAAGTACATACAGCACCATTGTAGGAATTTCGCAAGGTTACCCTTTCTGGCAGACAAGTTACAGCTGACCTCCTGAGGCTCCTCTCTAAGATTGAAAGAGCCCCAGGCTATGATTGAAAGAGGCCCAGGCAGGCCCAGCTCGTAAGCAGAGTCCCTGGTGAATTCCAGCTTCCTCCTGCTCCCCTGGGCAGGAGCACCTTTGTGCAGTGCACAGGCTGCACAACTGAATGTGGCAGTCCTCACGGAGGGTCATTTGAAACAGACTCATCCAAGTCATAGGCAAATTGCAACACAGAGTAGACATTCTTTTTCTGGTTATTTTGTTATGGATTTGAAAACTCTCACCAAGAACCCTGAAACATTCGTGGAGGGATAATATATCGAGATTTTGGCTGGTTAGCTGATTAACTGATCCAACCCCCAACTCCCTTTGCTATTCCTCTCCTTCCTCATCAAATGGCTGAGCTGTTCTGGGCTAATTTTCTCAATGATAAGCTGCATCAAGGCAGAAAGAAAGGCTCTAGACTCAGAACTCTAGGGTCAATACATCTGAATCCTTAGGGGGATGGAGAAAGTCTGAATGGAGACAAGATGTTTGAAAGAAATCATTCACTTTATTCCCGCCCTCCATTTCTGTTTTCCTGTCCTCTGTAGGCAACAGCTCTAACACGTTACAAAATATCTTTGCAGAATATGTAATGCTTTGGGCCTATGGTTTTAAGTTATAAAAATGGTATTCTTTTGGAGATCCCATTTGCTTTCTCACTTGTCACTCACTTCTGAGTGCTTGGGATCTGTTTATGTTGTTTTGTATAGATCTAGTTTGTTCTTTCTAACTCCTGATAAAATTCCCTGGAGTAGAGCCACCACGTTTTACTTACCTACTACCTAGGATGCATTTTACTTATCTACTACCTAGGATGTGTTGTGGTACTTCTCAGTACCATAAACCCTGCAAAAACTTATTAACGTATATCCAATTATGGTCTTGTTTAATAAGGACTCCAGAAACATATCCAAGGGTGAAATTTCTGTAGATACCTGCCTGTCTAATTTAGATAGCACTGTCAGAGGACTTTCCAGAATGATGTCATTGTATAACTCATCACCAGTGTGCAAAAATGCTCCTGTTTTTTTCATATCTCACCAAGACCTGGTGTTATTCTTCTTTCTAAGTTTTGCCAATCTAATGGGAATAAAGTGCTATATTGTCATTTTAATTTGTATTTCTTTGGTTATTAAAAAATTTGAGAATCTTCTCCTCTACTTATTAGCACTTCTTTATGTTTGTTGCCTTTTTTCCTTTCTTTATATCTTTGTAAGTGTTCCCAGTCTGCCAAAAACATTGCTAATATCTTCCCCCAACCTGTCATCCTCCTGTTAGTTTTGTCTCCAGTGTACTTTTGTTGAACAGATTATCTCGAACATCGGTGTAATTAAATCCATTAATTTGTTTTTCTTTTGTTTTGGCCTTTTGACGTCTTATTAGAGAAGGTCTCCCTCAACACTGGGCTTAAAAGGTTTGCTCTAATGTTTAATGCTTTCGTTGTATAGTTTACACCTCACATTCAGGTCTTTCATTCATCTAGAAGGTAAAATGTAATCTAAAATCTGTCTAGAGTTTGTATGCGGTATGAGAGGTAGGAATTCAGCTTTATTTTTCTTCAAAGAGTGAGCCAGTTTCCCTTGCACTCTCAGCTAAACTGGATCAGGGCGTTTAAGGCATGTCAGGATTTACTGCTCCCACAGAATGGAAATGATTTCATCAGGCTGAAGGAAGAGGAGAGCAGAGGGAAAACGTGGAAAACTCAGATATTAATGTGCTCCACGGAGAAGGAATCTGCATCCTGCTTCCCTGACAGAGCATGGTGATGAGTCTTGGGAGATGGGGACTTCGCTTCATGGAGATTCTTGGGCTCTCAGTGTGGGATATGAAAACAGCTAGCAGATCCAAAGTGTCCCACGGACAGGAATGAGGGATGTGTAAACACAAGTACTGACAGACGGATGAGCAACTATGTAACCAGTGAGCTCTTTGAACTGTCGCAAGATCACAGGGGCCCTCCCACTATGTCCTGGAAATTAGATGTAATCCCTAGAAAATGAGGAGGTAGGTAAACTTCGAATTAACTAAGATAAACATTCAATCACCCCGGTGGAAAGAGGGCTCCAGATAGAGATTTTTTTTTTAGCTCAATTATGGGAGATGCTCATGTTATTGGCTAATAAGTGAAGTTCACACATACATCTTTATGGTTTCAGTTTGTCTTACTACATCAAGCAAGGTGATGCCTGAACTAAACTTGATCAGTTGCAACCATAGGTTGGCTAAGAATCCAAGAGTTTGGCAAAAATCAATGAAAGTATCCTGTGAGAACCAGTTGCCTATATGAAACTTAGAATAAGGAGTATTGTAAAATTTATAATCATTTGTAAATTTTGCTCTACACATCCTTTATGTCAGTATATTTATAATGAATTTGCTTGATAGGTGCAGCAAACCACCACGGCACACATTTACCTATGTAACAAACCTGCACATCCTGCATGTGTACCCCAGAACTAAAAATAAAAATTAAAAAATAAAATAAATTTTCTTTCTATATATACACACCCATATATACAGCATATATATATACACATATAGTATATATGTATATGCATGACAGCAAATCCCCTGAGGTGCCTATATGCATATCCACATATGTGATATATCCACACACATATCCACAGTGTGGACCCCAGCACTCCCCCTTAGTGTTCTGGGTTCCAGAACCAAGAAGCATCTCCTCCAAGATGGGAAAAACGTTGTCCTTAACAGCAATGTTGAACAGTTGAATTATTAAGCAAATCTGGAGTAGCTCTTCCTGGGGAAGAAAATGTTTTCATTGCTTAAGCTAATTAAGTTGGAGTTACTACTTCTTGCAGCGAAAATGTCCTCACTGATACCCTGATTGTGGAATAGTTTGGGGGCTAGTTGTTAAGTAATCGTCTGTCTGCTCCAAACCCAATTTTTTTGTGCAATGCTTTGTGATTCTATGACTCTGTAAGCCACATTTGTGCTTTGCCAGCTGGCTCTAATGCAGACCCAGGGAGGGAGGAAAGACTGAAAGCAGAAGGAGAGACATGTCCCTTCCTGTCTGCATCTTATTCTTGTTGGCATCACTACAGCCTTGCTTCTTCATCCAAGAGCTAGGTTTTTTCCACACACCCTGATTCAGCCCCATTACACCCCTTTAGAGATCCCAGCACCTCTCCTCGGGGTTCTGGGTCCTGGAACCAAAGGGCCTCTCCTCTAAGCTCAGGGCCAGGAGCACCAGCCAAAAAGTGCTCTCTTTTCCCCGAGTCTCTCCGATTTCATAATCCCAGCCTCTCCTCTTCATTCCCCTGGTATTAGGAATGGTAGCTGATTCCTGCAGTTGCTACACTGTGATGGCTTCAGTGTTCTGTCACCTGTTTAAACAATTCTTTAGATTAAATCCTCTGTTAAAATAACTTCTGTATTTTCTGTTTCCTGATGAACTCCCTGACAGACAGAATGTGTTCAATGGACATTCGTTGATTATCTTCCCATATCATTACTCCCCTTCTTCTGCTGAGAGAAGCAGTCACTTGTACCCCAGTTTGTAGCAGCCACTTGGTTGGAGAGCATAGAATCCAGATTTCAGCTCCAGAATGATTTGCTTAATCCTACTAGCATGTTACGTGCCCATAGCTGCAGTTCTTGGCTAAGACAAAAGGCATGTGTTCCAACTGGGGACAGAGAGAGGGCCTTCAGGATGGCATGGGAGGCAGAGAGCTCTGGAGGCCCAAAGGGAGAGGTGGGTGCTGCTGGGAGGGAGTGCAGCACATGGGGCCAGAGGATTATGCTGACATACCCAAGTGCATGGCAGAGAGAGGGAGAGAAATCCAGTGCCTGGCCTCGATGCTGACCTTCTGGAGTCAGTACAATCTCTGGGCTCTTCTGCCATTAGTCTCACCTCTGAATAAATTGGGCCAGATGTTCTGTTATATGGAATCTAAAGAGCCATAACTGATGGCATGAAGATGGGAAACCAGGGTTTATTGAGCACACAGCATATACCCAGCTCTGGGCTGGGCTCTCTTGTGTAAGCTGTGTTGCTGAGCCCTCTTTGTACTGCTGTTTCCATAGTACACATGTGGAAACTGAATCACAGAGAGGTGAAGTATTATACTCAAAGTCACACAGAAAGTAAGTGCAGAGCCTACATATTTTTCTCAGACAACATTTTGTGATGAGGATAACTATAATTCAGGTTTAAGTGGCAGCAAAACTATCTATGCCCTCAGAGAGAACAAGGGGGCATGTATTTAAAGAGGAACACATAGAAAGGGGGTTTTCACATAGAAAGTCTTAGTCATCCTGACAGGATTCTTCTTGTTGACTTTATTGAGGCATAGTTTATATAACACACACTGCACAATTCACGGTAAGTTGTATAGTTCATTGAGTTTTGACCAAGTTATATACATTTGTATATCTGCTATCACAATTGAAATTTAGAATATATCCAGTGTCCAAAAAAGTTTCCCTTGTGTCCCTTTGCAGTCAAGCCCCAATCCCCAACAACCATTAGTCTGCTTTCTGTAACTCTAAATTAGCTTAGCCTTTTCTAGCATGCCCAATCAATGGAATCCCTATAGCATGTCTTTTGTGTCTGTCTTGTTTTGCTTATCACAATGGCTGTGAAATTCCTCCACGTTGCTGCGTGCATCAGTGCATTGTTCCTTTTCATTGTCATGTAGTATTCCATTGTATAAGGAAGCTGGATTTTTCATCCATTGAACAGATAGGATTTTTGAGACCAGCTTCTTGGCAGCCACTGGAGTGGGGATTTTGGCCAAGAGGCTTTGCCAGGCACGGTGGCTCATGCCTGTAATCCCAGCACTTTGGGAAGTCAAGGTGGGAGGATCACTTGAGGCCAGGGGTTTGAGATCATCCTGGGCAACACAGCCAGACCTTGTCTCTATGAAAAGAAAAAAAAAAAAAAAGGAAGAAAAGAAATTAGCCAGGTAAGGTGGTGAGAGCCTGCAGCCTTAGCTACTTAGGAAGCTGAGGTGGGAGGATGGCTTGAGCCCAGGAGTTCAAGGCTGCAGTGAGCCATAATCATGCCACTGCACTCCAGCCTGAGCAATAGAGCAAAACTCTGTCTCTAAAGAAAAAACAAAACAACAGAAAAAGGCGGCTCTGGGGTCTGGATGACTTGGGGAGGTGTGGTCCGAGGTGGTGATGCACTGAACGGTTCTGCTTGTAGCTTCTCCATGCAGAGGTGGCCTCTGAAATTTCTGTTTACCTCAATTCAGTACCTCTGTAGACCATATCAGCTTCCTGCTTTGTCAGATTTTCAGTGCAATCCTGAAAATGACCGCTTGAGGCAGGGTTGCAGAGGAGGACAGAGAGGCTCAGGGAAGGGAGAGCTTGCACACTGTCAGCGTCGTTTTGCAGGGCTACGAGGAGGGTCCAGGTTTTTGTTTCCAGGTGCATGACTCTCCCCCTTACTAATCTCACTGTTGACTTCAACAGCCCCGCTTGCATAGGAAGAAGTCCCTAATGTGACTGAGCTCAGCCTGCAAATCAGCTCTTGACATGGTTGGCTGTTGCGTAATGTGGAAACTTCCTTGAGGAAAAAGGCCTTTGATTTGATTTTGGTGGACAGGTAGGGAGGAAAAAAATCATACACATTCTCTGGATTACATCATAGATAAAAATGGGACTTTTTAAGAGGGCCCTGTATTAAACAAAAATCTGTGAACACCTATTCTGTGTTGTAGCTGAGACACTCGATTTTTCAGTTAATATTTTGCTTTGTTTAAAGATGCTGATGGTTAATTTGCATACAGCTGGAAAAAAGTCTGGTTCTTGCATGGCAATTTCTAGGAGACCTGAGACCCTTTTAACCAACACACTGCCTGCCAGGTGTGTACTTGATTTTTTTAGACATGTTTGCATGCAGCTAAGGCCAAAATGTGTTCAATTCATTTAGGAGAAATGCTGCAGCGCAGTACGCCAGAGCTTGAAAAATGCACTTGGATTTCAATTCAATTTCCCTGCTAAATAGTGCATTTGTGTCCGTATGGCTCAGTGTACTCTAGCCAGTATCGTGAATCTCAAGGCTTTCTATTGCAGACAACAGAGGTCCTTCCTCCTAGAGTAAACAGAAAGTAATTTGTTAAAGGATATTGGATAGTTTGCAAAACTCTGGAGTGTTTAAAGAACCAGGCACAGCACAGTTGGGAGAATCAGTCAGTCATATCAAGGGTTGTTCTAGCAAAAACAATGCAGCTGTTAACCACCTGCCACTCGGCACCTGTAGGTCTAGGGACTAAGCCACAGAGCTGTCCAGGTGAGCCTCTTATCTGCCACAGTCCTACCTTTCACTTCTGACAGTCATGACCAAGTCTAGTGGTACATCAGACAGGCCTAAACCAGGTCACGCACCTGTACCCACACTGCAAAGGAATCTGAGACTTTGCTTTTTAGCTCTTCATCCCCTATTGTGCTGTGAGGCAAGCTTCGAGGGCACTGGAATGGGTGCTGAGGGAGCCAGCTTTTTCAGTCTCTGCCACAAGTACTCACCATAATTCAGCAGAGACCATGATGTTAGAGGAGCAGAGCCAGAGTCTATGTTGTCCCATTCAAGGCAATGTTTCAAAGTTTGATTTTTGAACCTCCGTTTCCTAATTTGAGAAATATGGTTAGAAATTGTACATTACAGAGCATGCTGAGCGGCTTGGATCTCCCTTCAAATAAGAACTTGCTGTTTCACTGTGAGGAGTGAATTTAGCTGACAGCTTCTAGCTGTCAGAGCCTTCAGGGTCCACCTTCACTTTTGAGCAGAGGCCACACTGTTTCTAGTTCCCGCCAGCCAACGACCAAGCATGGTGGGAACACTAGGGCCTATTTCTGCCAATGCATGATGCTTGTGATGGGAAATCTTTGCTCTGAAGATCCCTATTGGGTTGGGGTGGCTGAATCTTCTGTCACATCTGCTTCGCAGTCTTTTCCCTGCCTAATCCTGCTTCCTCTCCTTTTTATCATCCACAGATATTACCCCTAATAAACTTCTTATATTCTTAATTCTGTCTCAGTGTCTGCATCCCAGGGGACCCAACTGATACATGGGACTTTGGTGAAGATGAAATGAGGCAATAATCCATGAAAGCATTGAACAGAGTGCATGATACACAATTTTGAGAATTTCCTCTTTAATTCCTCCCTTTCCATTATAACCTATGTCTAATCCAATAGAAACTTCCATTATTTCCACCTTCAAAAATGTACCTTGAGGCCAGGTGTGGTGGCTCACACCTGTAATCTCAGCACTTTGGGAGGCCAAGGTGGACAGATCACTTGAGGTCAGGAGTTCGAGACCAGCCTGGCCAATAAGGTGAAACCCTGTCTCTACTAAAAATACAAAAAATTAGCGGGGCGTGGTGGCATGCACCTGTAATCCCAGCTACTGGGGAGGCTGAAGCAGGAGAATTTTTTGAACTGGGGAGGTGGAGGTTCCAATGAGCTGAGATAGAGCCACTGCACTCCAGCCTGGGCAACAGAGCAAAACTCTGTCTCAAAAAAAAAAACAAAACAAAAAACAAAACAAAACCTTGAATTCATCTACTTTTTGACGACCTCCAGTGCTAAGACCCCAGTCCAAGGCACCATTGTTTCTAGCCTTGTGTTAGTTTGCTAGGGTGACATAGCAAAGTACCATGAACTGGGTGAATTAAGCAACAGAAATTTATTGTCTTGCAGTTCTGGAGGCTGAAAGCCCAAGTTCAGAGTGTCGGCAGGGTTGGTTCTTTCTTGGGGCTGTGAGAGAGGATCTGTTCCATGCCCTTGGCTCTGCTGCTGGTGGTTTGCTGATAATTGTTGGTATGCTGTGGCTTGTGCGAGCACCACCCCAATATCTGCCTCCATCGCATGGCATTCTCCTTGTGTGTCTGTGTGCAGCCAAATTTCCTCTTTGTCACTTATTTTATTTTTTTTGGGACAGAATCTCGCTCTGTCGCCAAGCTGGAGTGCAGTGGCATGATCGTGGTTCACTGCAACCTCCTTCTCCTGGGTTCAAGTGATTCGCCTGCCTCAGGCTCCCGAGTAGCTGGGACTACAGGCACGTGCCACCATGCCCAGTTAATTTTTGTATTTTTAGTAGAGATGGGATTTCACCATGTCGGCCCAGATAGTCTCAGTCTTTTGACCTCGTGATCTGCCCGCCTCGGCCTCTCAAAATGCTGAGATTACAGGCATGAGCCACCACGCCTGGCCCCAAATTTTCTTTTTTTTTTTTTTTTTTTATAAGGATACCAGTTATGTAGATTAAGGAACCACCTTCCTCTAGTGTGACTTCATCTAAACTTAATTACACATGCAACCATCCTATTTCCATAGAAGGCCACATTCTGAGCTACTGGGGGTTAGTATTCAGCATGTGATTTACTGGGGAACACCATTCGGCCCTTAACAGGCCTGAACAAAGCCTCCTACTTGGTTTCCCTGCTTCCTCTACTACCCAGCATTGAGGACAATCTTACATGCTTGAATCTGACCACATCGTTCCACCGCTTGGCTCCCTGGGTGTCCTCCTGTCACACATGGAATGCCGCCCAACCTCCTCACGTGGCTGGCGAGGCCCTTGTGCTCAGGCGTGGACATATCTCTGGCTTCATCCCTCACCACTCTCGTCAGCTCGGTAACTCGGGCCTCCTTTCCTCAAGTGTGCTGAGTTCTTTCCCACCCCGCGGCTTGTGCGCTGGCTGTTTTGCACTGTCTGGAAATCTCTCCCCTCCTGGCTCTTTCACAGATAGAATCCTTCCCTTTATTCAGGTCTCAGCTCAAACGTCACTTCTTCCAAGAGGTCTTCACTCACCCCCAAGTTAAGAAGGCTCATCCATCGGGATAGGTTAAATTATGTTGTGCTAGCAAATGACCCTCGAATCTCAGTGACTTACAACAATAACAATTCTTTTTTGTTTTGTTTTGTCTTTGAGACAGAGTCTCGCTCAGTCGCCCAGGCTGGAGTGCAGTGGCGCGATCTCGGCCACTCCCGGGTTCAAGCAATTCTCATGCCCCAGCCTCCCAGGTAGCTGGAATTACAGTCGTGTCCCACCACGCCCAGCTAACTTTTGGATTTTAGTAGAGACGGGGTTTTGCCATGTTGGCCAGGCTGGTCTCAAACTCCTGGCCTCGAGTGATCCACCCACCTGGGCCTCCCAAAGTGGTGGAATTACAGGCATGAGCCACTGTGCCTGGTCCAACAATGACAATTCTATCGAGGGCCAGCTGCAGCTCCTGTTCACAAAGACTTCACTCTGGGACACAGGCTGATGAACAGCCTTCACTGGGACATTGCTGGACTTAGGGCGGAGTGGAGAAAGTTGGTGAGCCTTAAGCATAAAAACCAGGCTTCTTCCTGGCAATAATACACTTCTCTCCAGCCTTGGCTAAATCAGGTCACATGGACACTCCCCAGTTCCCCAGGGTGGGGACCTATAATAGTCCCATAGAGTACAAAGCATGTGTTCCTTAGGGATGTATAAAGTCCCATAGCTAAGCCTGAAGTCAATGAGCTGGGCAAGTAGAATATTCTCCCAAGGAAAGGCAGCAAATATTATGAACAATAATTTACCAAAAAGGTCACCCCCAGTCTGTATTTTCTCTTAATGCTTCCTATTGTTTGCTTTCTTTCATAGCAATTATTACAATTATAAATTGTAAATAAGTCCACGGTGATTTAGGAGCAGTGTGTGTACTGTGTGTGTATAAATACGTCATCGGATAAATGAATACGTAAACTTGAAAGATCATGGAACAAGGCCAGACTTTGGAATCAGATAGAATCAAGTATGAATCTCAGCTTTGCCTCTTCTTAGTATATGACCTCAGGCTAGTTAACAAGTATTTCAGTGCTGTAGTTTCTTCGTATTCAAAACAAGGATGATAAAACTTTCATCACAGTTGGCCCATAGAGGGCACCAACAAAACATTAGTTTCCTTCTCACTGTGTTGGTTTTGTAGCCATCATTATTTTTTAGGCGTGTGTGTTCACTGCGACATATATGAGCAATAACATGACATTGATTATGTTGCAGCAAATATAGAAGAACATTTTTTTTTTAAAAATTGTACTTTAAGTTCTGGGATACGTGTGCAGAACGTGCAGGTGTGTTACATAGGTATACATGTGCCATGGTGGTTTGCTGCACCTATCAACCCGTCATCTAGGTTTTAAGCCCCACATGCATTAGGTATTTGTTCTAATACTCTCCCTCCCCTTCCCCCTCGACCCCCTGACAGGCCCCTGTGTGTGATGTTCCCCTCCCTGTGTCCATGTGTTCTCATTAGAACAACATTTTTATACTGGCTTTGATTCAGAAATCCCTCCATTTGAGATTGGCTGTGTTTTGCAGTAATTTAACCCAATTAATTAAATTGTAGATTTATACATTAATTAAAGTAAATTTAATTTAATTTCATGATCTCTTGCTCTGCCACTGAGTCTCATATGCTCTAGTGAATGTGTTCAATTTGGCTTTAAAAAATGACATCTGTTGATCTATTGACTGCCTTGTTTCAATTTGCAAATTTGCTTTTCATGCCATAAGTAGTTTAAAAAATATATTTTTTAAGTAATAATAATGAGTCTTAGTCTCAAATCAATCTATGTGATTTGGAGAGTTATCTCTGGCTCTTTAGCATTTGATCCAAGAGCTACTCCGATATACAGAACATCCCAGCCACGCTTTCTCCAATGGATAGAGATTATGGTCTTTGAAGTTAGACAGGGCTGGGCAAGACACTGGCTCCATCATCTTATTCATTCTGAGACTTTGGGAAAATCCCCTCCCCTCTTGGAGCCTCCGTTTTCTCTTGGGTAAGATGAAGATGATGTCTGCACAAGCTCCTCACCCAGACAGGATGAGTGAAGACTATCACATCATGCCCAGGAATCAGGACTGGTGCAATTGGTAGCTTTTACTGGCCCATGAGCTGTGGTACCTGCCACTACAGGAATGAAAATAGGAAAGAATATTAGACAGAAACCAAAATAAAAACATGAATGTACTGCCAAATAAATCTTCATTCTGGAGGGCTTAGGATGACCCTGGAACGAGGTGGCAGCAGGGTGCATAAGGGGTGGCAAGCAAACGGCAGGTATTCTTTTTTCCATAGAACAATTTGGGGATGGCTCTCTGGTAGGCAGATAGCTGCAGCCACTTTATGTAGAATGCTGGCATTTCAGGGAATGCTCTTTGGCAAAAGGAAGCCTACCCTGGGTGACTTCGTCCGAAAGAGGACTTGATGGTAAACATAACGGGGCACTCACAGGCTAGAAAAGAGCGCCGAACCTTCAGGTCTGCCATGGAGGGGTCAGGGAAGCACCGGGGGCTTCAACAGCACACAATGACAGAGCAACACTCTGGAGGCTGTTGCCTGATGGCTCAGCTCTGACCTCCTTTTCTTTTTATTGTGATAAAATAATATAAAATTGACAATTTTCACTCTGTTTAAGGGTATGGATCAGTGGCATTGACTACCATTGCATTGTTGTGAAACCATCACCACCATCTATCCACAGAACTCTTTATATTTTGCAAAACTGAAACTCTGTAATTGTTAAAATAAAGACTTCAGATAAATTAAATTTAACAGAGTTTAATTGAACAAAGAAAGATTCATGAATTGGGCAGTCTCCTAAACCAGAATAGGTTCAGAGAGACCCCGTTGCTGCAGCATGGTCAAAGATCGCTGGACAGAAAAAGGAAAGTAATGTACAGAAACTGGAAGTGAGGTGCAGAAACTACTGTATTGGCTACAGCTCAATGTTTGCCGTATTTAAACAGGGTCTGGTCACCTTTGATTTGCAGAAACTCAGTGACTGGTACAAGAGTAGGTTACAATCTGTTCATACATCCA